>NC_000019.10:57582559-57924245 GCF_000001405.40 Homo sapiens | reverse complement strand
CAGAGACTCATTGCTGCACTTAGGACATGAGGAGATTTTGTATAGTTGTCAAGCATGTTTGTCAAAAATAATAGAAAATCCATGTTTTTCTTTTTTTTTTTTTCTAAGACAAGGTGTTGCTCTGTGACCCAGGCTGGAGTACAGTGGCGAGATCATAGTTCACTGCAGCCTCGAACTCCTCAAGCAATCCTTTTCCCTCAGCCTCCCAAAGTGCTGGGATTACAGGCCTCAGCCATCATGTCCAGCCCACATTTTTCTTTTGAATCAATTCTTTAAAGCCATAATAAGGAATAAATGACATTCTGTAAACTATACATATTTAAACTGTACCATGTGGTAAGTTTAGACTTTCATAGAAACCCATGAAAGTGGCCAGGCACGGTGGCTCACGCCTGTAATCCCAGCACTTTGGGAGGCTGAGGCAGGCGGATCACGAGGTCAGGAGATCGAGACCATCCTGGCTAACATGGTGAAACCCCGTCTCTACTAAAAAAATACAAAAAATTAGCTGGGCGTGGTGGCAGGCGCCTGTAGTCCCAGCTACTCGGGAGGCTGAGGCAGGAGAATGGAGTGAACCCGGGAGGTGGAGCTTGCCGTGAGCCAAGATCGCACCACTGTACTCCAGCCTGGGTGACAGAGCAAGACTCGGTCTCAAAAAATATATATATATGTGTATATATGTGTGTGTGTGTGTGTGTGTGTGTGTATGTATATATATGTATATATGTATATATGTGTGTGTATATATGTATATACATGTATGTATATGTATGTATATATGTATATATATGTGTGTATATATGTATGTGTGTGTATATGTATATATATATATATTTTGCATCCCTTGGCATAAATGGGTTAGGTAAGTGTGTCACTAAATAGAAAAATACTCCCGTCTGCAATGAATTAGAAAGTTGCTTTTGATTCTTTCTTAATTTTTTTTGTTTTTGAGACAGAATGTCCGTCTGTCTGCCCAGGCTGGAGTGGCACGATCTCAGCTCACTGCAGCCTCCACCTCCAGGGTTCAAGCGATTCTCCTGCCTCAGCCTCCCGGGTAGGTGGGATTACAGGCATGCACCACCATGCCCGGTTAATTTTTGTATTTTTAGTGGAGATGGGGTTTTACCATGTTGTTCAGGCTGGTCTTGAAGTCCTGACCTTGTGATGATCTGCCCGCCTCGGCCTCCCAAAGTGCTGGGATTTCAGGCATGAGCCATAGTGCCTGGCCCTTTTTTTTTTTTTTTTTTTGAGACAGTGTCACTCTGTTGCCCAGGCTGGAGTACAGTGACACAATCACAATTCACTGCAGCCTTGACCTGCTGGACTCAAGTCATCCTCCCACCTCAGCCTCCCAAGTTGCTAGGGACAGGCATGTGCCACCACGCACAGCTAATTTTTAAAATTTTTCTGTAGAGATTAGGTCTCACTATGTTGCCCAGGCTGCTCTCAAAACTCCTGAGCTCAAGGGATCTTCCCACCTTGGCCTCTCAAAATGCTAAGATTACAGGATGAGCCACTGTGCCTGGCATGCTTTTGGTTTTTTTCTTGCAATTTAACAAAGTGGTGTCCCATATATTTAAGTATCAAATGTATAACTGAATTTTCTTTCTTTTCAGGGATCTCAAGGGCATTTCCCTTTGCCCACCTCACCTTTTCATATTTGGTAAACTGTATGCATTTGCCTCCAGCCCAAGATTATAAATATGAACTGATTATGATCTGCATGTTCTCTCTTTGGGTTCAAGCATTTCCTTACAGAAGAGCCACCGTGGAAGTCATGGGTAAATATGTGTTGAATTGGTAACTCCCTCTTGGAGAATTTCTTGTGAATTACACAGCAATAGGGGAACTCATTTAACTGGAGACATAATCTCAATTTGTAAAGTGTGGCCCATTTTCTAACATTTTTATTTTGCATACCCTCCCCTCTCTTCTCGATTGATGAAACTAACAAAGAGGTTAATAAAAGCCCATCTCGTCATGTACAGGGACTCATGCCTTTAATTCCAGTGTTTTGGGAGACTAAGGCAAGAACATCCTGGAGGCCAGGAGTTCGACACTGTATAACAGATATATCTGACAGCAGTAACTCAAGCACACCCTAAGAATGACCCTGTGGTCTAAGAAGAGTGTTGGTTCAGCGTTCCAAACGAAGAAATCCAGGAGTGGCCAACCTGGAGGTTTCTGAACCCCTGGCCTGTTCCTTGGAATGAGGCCCTTTGTTTTGAGCTAGGCGGAGGGTGATAAGTGAAAATACTATATAAACTGCATGCTTCTTTCAAATGATAGTGGTTTTTTTGTCCAGCCTGCCGCTCCTGGACTGCCCTGTATCTAAGTCCTCAATAAACCCTATGTCTCATTTTCTTTCTTTCTTTCTTTTTTGAGATGGAGTTTCGCTCCTGTTGCCCAGGCTGGAGTGCAGTGGCGTGATCTCGGCTCACTGCAACCTCCACCTCCCGGTTCAAGCGATTCTCCTGCCTCAGCCTCCCAAGTAGCAGGGATTACAGGCATGTGCCACTACACCCGGCTAATTTTGTATTTTTAGTAGAGACGGGGTTTCTGCGTTTTGATCACGGTGGTCTCGAACTCCCAACCTCAGGTGATCCGCCTGCCTTGGCCTCCCAAAGTGCTGGGATTACAGGCGTGAGCCACACGCCTAGCTCTATGTCTCATTTTCTAGCTCTGGCTCTCATTCAGTTCTTGGACATGGTGCCATCCTTGTTGAAGTCAACAGGGTAGGGATCAAGCATGATAGAGACCAGCCGGGCAACACAGCACAACCCTGTCTCTACCAAAACAGCTGGGCATGGTGGCAAATGCCTATAGTCCTAGCTGTGTGGGAGACTGAGGTGGGAGGATCATTTGAGCCCAGGGATTTGAGGTTACAGTGGGCCATGATTGCCCCATTGCACTCTATCCTAGACAGCAGAGTAAGACCCTGTCTCTCACCTGGCGAAATTAACAGAAGCTTTTCATATTACTTTGCTGAAAGCTCTTAAATTGGTTTTGCTTAACCTATAAACAACTCCTTTCAGAAAACAAGTATTCCGTTGTGAGAAAATTACCTATCATGCCATGAGGTTGGATGGAGGATTGTATGAACCAACTTAATTCAAAAGGGATCGACCAAGCATGGTGGCTAACGCCTGTAATCCCAGCATTTGGTAGGCCGAGGCAGGTGGATCGCCTGAGGTCAGGAGTTCGATACCAGCCTTGCCAACATGGTGAAACCTCGTCTCTTCTAAAAATCCAAAAATTTGCTGGGCGTGGTGGTGGATGTCTGTAATCCCATCTACTCTGGAGGCTGAGGCATCTTTTTATGTATTTATTTATTTTTTTGAGACATAGTCTCACTCTGTCACCCAGGCTGGAGTGCAGTGGTGCAACCTCTGCTCACTGCAACCTCTGACTCCTGGGTTCAAGTGATTCTCTTGCCTCAACCTCCCAAGTAGCTGGGATTACAGGTGTGCGCCACCATAACCATACCCAGCTAATTTTTGTATTTTTAGTAGAGACAGGGTTTCACCATGTTGGCCAGGCTGGTCTTGAACTCCTGACCTCAGGCGAGCCACCCGCCTCAGCCCCCCAAAGTGCTAGAATTACAGGCATGAGCCACCACACCCGGTAGGAGAATCGCTTGAACCCGGGAGGCGGAGGTTGCAGTGAGCTGAGATCGCACCACTGCACTCCAGCCTGGGTGACAGAGTGAGACTCTGCCTCAAAAAAAAAAAAAAGAAGAAGAAGAATCTCATTTTAAAGCCAAAACCATCAGACTGACCATTCCAATTATGTGCTGAGCATAATTTAATCTCTTGGACATTGGTGCTAACATTTCTCTGAGGTCCTAAGCTTTTTCACCATCTACTGATGTTTCCATAGACCCACTTCTGTCAAAACTGTTTAATAATTACCTAGTCAATGTTTTCTTGTTTTTTGCTTTTTATATTTTTGGGGGAGCGGGAGAGAGACGGAGTCTCGCTCTGTCGCCCAGGCTGTAGTGCAATTGCACGATCTAGGCTCACTACAACCTCTGCCTCCCGGGTTCAAGCAGTTCTTCTGTCTCAGCCTCCCAAGTAGCTGGGACTACAGGCACTTGCTACCACGCCTGGCTAATTTTTTTTTTGAGATGCCTAGGCTGGAGTGCAGTGGCGTGATCTCCGCTCACTCCAAGCTCCGTCTCCTGGATTCACGCGTTTCTCTTGCCTCAGCCTCCCCTGTAGCTGGGACTACAGGCACCTGCCACCAGGCCTGGCTAATTTTTTGTATTTTTAGTAGAGACGGGGTTTCACCGTCTTAGCCAGGATGGTCTCGATCTCCTGACCTTGTGATCTGCCCACCTCGGCCTCCCAAAGTGCTGGGATTACAGGCGTGAGCCACCACGCCCAGCCTACCTAGTCAGTATTAATAGGCTTTTGTATCTTGCAATTTACAACTGTTTCTCTTATGTAATATTAATTTTTCATGCAGAACACTCCCTCCTCTCAAATCAATGATAATCACTTCCCATCAATGACATGAACTCATGGCTTTTACAAATGCCCAGTATGAACAGATGGAGAGCACCAACTTTAAGTACTGTTTGAAATGCTTGTTCTTTAGTGCCGTAAAGAAATAGCACTTGACTTGGCCGGGCGCGGTGGCTCATGCCTATAATCCCAGCACTTTGGGAGGCCGAGGTGGGAGGATCACCTGAGGTCGGGAGTTCAAGACCAGCCTGACCAAGATGGAGAGACCCCATCTCTACTAAAAATACAAAATTAGCTGGGCATGGTGGCGCATGCCTATAATCCTAACTACTCAGGAGGCTGAGGCAGGAGAATCACTTGAACCTGGGAGACGGAGGTTGTGGTGAGCCAAGATCGCGCCATTGCTCTCCAGCCTGGGCAACAAGAGCGAAACTCCGTCTCAAAAAAAAAAAAAGAAAGAAAGAAATAGCATTGAACATAAATTTAATTTCCTCAGCAAGGCCATTTTTACTTTCTGCAGAAACGGTATACTCGCCAGCAGTTTTGCTGTGAGATTACACTGAACAAAGGAGACAGGGTCATTTATAACCTGCCTGACGCATCCACCTTACTGCTGTGTCCGGTTTCCACTGGCTAAATACAAATTCACATTCTGTATTTGTCCTGATTGACTAGCAACTTAGAACATTTTTAAAAGAGGCAAAGGCAAGAGGAAAACGAAGGAGGAATTAACTTATGGAATGCTAAGAAAGGCAAAAACACCTTCAAATAAGAGGAACAGGCTATGACAATGCTTGCTTGGACCAGTGTAAACATGCCAGGGCAAATATTTAGGCTAAATTGTGGGAGCTAAGAACATAAAGTACATGGATTTTTTTAATTACGGCTAGAAGATATTTAAGAATGTTAGCACAGGTCTTTGAATAAATTTTGCTTCTAAGAGAAGTTACTATTTATTCCTAATTAGATGGGAGGAAAGTCTTTGAAGAGGAACCTGTACTTTACTTTTTACAGACTGTAGCCATCACTACTACCAAGATACCATTTATTTTATTGTTTTTTGTTTCTTTGTTTGAGAGAGTCTCGCTCTGTCGCCAGGCTGCAGTGCAATGGCGCGATCTCAGCTCACAGCAACCTCTGCCTCCCGGGTTCAAGTGATTCTCCTGCCTTAGCCTCCCGAGTAGCTGGGACTACAGGCGTGTGCCACCACACCCGGCTAATTTTTTTTTTGTATTTTTAGTAGAGACGGGGTTTCACCATGTTAGCCAGGATGGTCTCGATCTCCTGAACTGGTGATCCGCCTGCCTCGGCCTCCCAAAGTGCGAGGATTACAGGCGTGAGCCACCGTGCCCAGCCTTATTGTTCTTTATAAGACTGATGTCAAATTACTAAAAGGAGTTGAATGTAAGTTAGAATATCAAGTAAAGGATACTAAGTGGGAAAAAGTGTTGTTCAATTAATTGAACGCTATAATGATTTGTGAACCCCCCAAATTTGAG
The DNA here is from genome assembly GCF_000001405.40 of Homo sapiens. Taxonomy (NCBI): domain Eukaryota; kingdom Metazoa; phylum Chordata; class Mammalia; order Primates; family Hominidae; genus Homo; species Homo sapiens. Next base: position 57,918,280 of record NC_000019.10, on the reverse strand, counting down.
ACAGGTCTCAGTTAATTTAAATAGTTTATTTTGCTGGCCAGGTGTGGTGACTCATGCCTGTAACCCCAACACATTGGAGGGTGAGGCAGGCAGATCACGAGGGAGATCGAGACCATCCTAAACAAGGTGAAACCCCCGTCTGTACTGAAACTACAAAAATTGGCGTGATGCCACGTGCCTGTACTCCCAGCTACTCGGGAGGCTAAGGCAGGAGAATCACTTGAACCCGAGAGGCAGAGGTTGCAGTGAGCCGAGATCGCGCCACTGCACTCGAGCCTGACCAAAGAGCGAGACTCCGTCTCATAAAAGAAAAAGTTTATTTTGCCAAGGTTGAGGACACATGCCCGTGACACAGCCTCAGGAAGTCCTGACGACATGTGCCCATGGTGGTTGGGGTACAGGTTGGTTTTATACATTTTAGGGGGACATGAGACATCAGTGAATATATGTAAGAAGTACATTGGTTCCGACCAGAAAGGCGGGAACAACTCGAAGCAGGGAGGGGACTTCCAGGTCACAGGTAGACAGGTAGAGAGACAAATAGTTGGATTCTTTTTAATTTCTGATAAGTCCTTCCAAAGGAGGCAATCAGAATAGGCATCTATCTCAGTGAGGAGAGGGAAGACTTTGAATAGAATGGGAGGCAAGTTTGCCCTGAGCAGTTCCCAGATTGACTTTTCCCTTTAGCTTAGTAATTTTGAGGCCACAAGATTTTCCTTTCACAGATTCTATCAGCAGGAGAGTTGTTTTCTGTAGGAATCACAGAGATTCAGCTTTGCACTCCTGCTATAGGGGAGCACATCCCTAACTTCCTTCATTTGCCTTAGGCACTCTAAGGCTTCTGAGGGCCTTCAGACACATTATAACACAACAACGCTTATCAGCCTCTGCTTCCAGTGCAGGTATTTTGCGACTGAACGACTGTTTCAAACGGTGTGGTAATTTGGATTTTTAGCCTTTAGGAGAATCCTAAATAATAGTTTTAGCTTGAGCTCCCTATTATTTACCTTGCGCTCCCCGAAATCTGAAACAGTATTTTTCCAGATTCTTGAGTGATTAGTTACAGACACTAGTCTCCAGGAATCTCAATACGGCTTCTAAGGCTAGGTGAGACCCCTCCTCTGCCCTAGAAAGGCGCCTTTTTTTTTTTTTTTTTTTTTTTTTTTTTTTTTTTTTTTGAGACAGAGTCTTGCTCTGTCGCGCAGGCTGGAGGGCAGTGGCGCGATCCCAGCTCACTGCAAGCTCTGCCTCCCAGGTTCACGCCATTCTCCTCCAGCCTCAGCCTCCAGAGTAGCTGTGACTGTAGGCGCCCGCCACCACACCCAGCTAACTTTTTTTTTTTTTGAATTTTTAGTAGACACGGGGTTTCACCGTGTTAGCCAGGATGGTCTCCATCTCCTGACCTCGTGATCCGCCCACCTCCGCCTTCCAAAGTGCTGAGATTACAGGCTTGAGCCACTGCGCCCGGCCAGAAGGGTGCGCTTTTTAAGGAGAACCCCTGACCTGATGGCGGGCTTTTCCTGCAGATGGACTCTGGGTATCGCTCTTTTTAGCGCCATGGAAAGTGGGGAACTACATTACCCAGAAAGCTCTGCGTTAAACGACAGCCGGTCAGAGCCAATGAGCACTCGGAAAGAAGGCATTTCCACGTGTGCACGTAACGTAAGGCTGAGACTTCCGGGGTCTCTAGTAGCGGCTGTGTATCGGTGACGCGGGTGTTTCCCCAGTTTGTGGCCCCTGAGTGCTGGGGGGGGACCGCGGTGACTGAACCTAGAAGGTGGAGAGGAATCGTCCTCGGTGCCCAGAGGCGGCTCTGCAGCCCCGTGACGGCGACCACTGCTCCCGGGCCGTGCTTCCCCAAGTAGTCCGATGGCAGCGGCTGCGCCGAGGCGCCCGACTCAGGTAATTGTGGCGCCTTCTGTGCCCTCAGGTCACCCCATCGTCACCCAGGTCCTAAACCAGCGAGGGAGCGGCTCCTGCTCACGGGTCTGTAGCCGGTACCCGGCGTAGGAACACTGAGGCGCTCGCAGGAGGGGTCCCTGTGTAACTGTCCAGTGGGGGTCCCTGTGTAACTGTCCAGTGGGTTCACCTTGCCAGCTGCCTAGACAGAGCCGATTTATGAAGACTGGAGAATTGCGATGGAGAAATAGTAATTGACGCAGAGCCGTCAGGCTGTTCTGGAGACAGGAGTTTTATTATTACTCAAATCAGTCTCCATTAGCATTCCGGGATCAGAGTTTTCAACATTAATTTGGCGGTAAGGGTTGGGACCTGAGATGGATTCATAGAGGGTTAAAGTGAGTTTTTCATGCTGTTTTCTGTTCTGGGTGGGATGGCAGAACTGATTGACCCAGATTACCGGTCTGTGTGTTGTCAGCTGATCCATCCAGTGCAGGATCTGCAAAATACCTCAAGCACTGATCTTAGGTTTTACAATAGTGATTTATCTTCAGGAGCAACTTGGGGAGGTTCAGACTCTTGGAGTCAGAAGCTGCATGACCCCTAAACGGTAATTTCTAACCTTGTAGCTAATTCGTTAGTCCTGCAAAGGCAGGCTGTTCTCCAGGCAAGAAGGGGGTCTTTTCAGGAAAGGGCTATTATCAATTTTGTTTCAGAGTGAAACCATGAACTGAATTCCTTCCCTAAGTTAATTCAGCCTATACCCAGGAATGAACAAGGACAGCTGAAAGGTTGGAAGCAAGACGGAGTCAGTAAGGTCTGATTTCTTTCACTGTCATAATTTCCTCAGTTATAATTTTGCAAAGACGGTTTCACCTGTTTCTGACACCCGTGGGATGCGGTGGGGAGAGCAACAAGCACAGGGAGGGGCGCAGGCAATGGCCTGGAGATGGACGGAGCCGGGAGGATGGAACCTGTCTGGAACAAAGTGTGAGGTGGAGCTCTCCCTGGAAGAGTAAGCAGGCCGAGGGCTGTGCATTCAAGGTGAGGACGCTAGAAGCCATGGAGAGTTTTGAATAAAGGAGGGACATGATCCAAATCCAGGCTTTTAAGGTTTCCCAAAGGACATTCAAAGGAAGAATATCGTAGAGAGGATGAAGACTTTGGGGTCTTGGGAGGTTGAATCCTTTTTGTAGCTCACATAGGTGGTAGAGATGACATTTTGCACTGAGACAAGCAGGTCAGACAACCAGCCGTAGGGTTACCTGGTTCCAGGGACAAGAAAGGGTTCAGGGAGGCCTGAGCTTATCAAATCCCGTGACATGTTTGTAATGTCTGCCTCTCCCCTCAGGCACTCCTGGCTGCAGAAGCACTTAGGGAACCCACACAGGGAAGTGGAGGGTGTTCAATCCCCTCATTGGTCTTGACCCCATCCACAGGTTCTCTAGCTTGTGGTGTGCTGGGACTCTTAAGTGCCATTTTTTCAGTCCTTTGATCCGAGGACCCTGGAGAATCTCTAAAGACAGGATACTGAGGCCATGGCAGGTTATATGCAAGTATGCCCATTTCTGTCAGCCAGTGTAAACACTCTTGTAAGATTAACCCAGGATTTGCTACCAGGTTGTGAAATGCTTAGAGATAAAAAGGATCAAAGTCAGAAGGTGATATTACCACAGTTCTACTGGCTACCGGCTTCATCTGGTTGGACCTTGGTGCACACACTATGGGTTGAGGGAAGAGGAAGAAATGTCAGAGATAAGGCTCCTGCCATAATCCAGGTGAGGGTTAGTGGATCAGATACGTGGCAAATCACATGAGTCTGGATACAGGATTCACTTTTTGTAAAGAGACAGCTAGGTTTTCTTTCTGTCTTTTTTTTTTTTTTTTTTTTTTTTTTTGTGGAGTTTCGGTCTTGTTGCCCAGGCTGGAGTGCAGTGGTGCAATCTTGGCTCACTGGAACCTCTGCCTCCCGGGTTCAAGCGATTCTCCTGCCTCAGCCTCCAAGGTAGCTGGGATTACAGGTGCTTGCCACCACGCCCAGCTAATTTTTGTATTTTTAGTAGAAACGGGGTTTCATCATATTGGCCAGACTGGTCTCGAACTCCTGACCTCAGGTGATTCGCCTGCCTCAGCCTCCCAAAGTGCTGGGATTACAGACATGAGCCATCACGCCTGACAGACAGCTAGGTTTTCTAATGCGGATGATAAGGGCATGAAAGAGGAATCAGGCATGAGCCCAAGGTTTTTGATCTTAGCAGCTGTAACCATGGACGCTGCATCAGCTGACATGAAGTTGGTATTGACATAATATTGACTGTGGATATCAAGAGTGTTGTTTTGGCCATATGAAGAGTCAGTGACCAATAAATGGTGGCATTAAATGGATAACTAGACATACAGGATGGGGTATCTGGGAGGGTGTTGATACTGGAGACATCCAATATTTGAAAGCTAATGGGTGAACTTCAGTAAGTTAGTTATGGGTCCATTTAGGAGGACATGCTTCAGATTTTGGTGGTAAATCTTTTCAGGGGCCAGGAAGGTGTGACTACAGGCTGAGGAGTGGATCTCTTACTTACGTCCCTGAGTGATGTTATTGGGCTTCCTAAACACCTGAGAGGGTGTGAGTGAACATCATGGCAGGATGTATCAGACAGTAGAGTTTGGAAGGGGACATAGACATCCGAGGAGAGAATAGATGAGATAGATGCATGCAGAAGCATAGGAGTAAGGAAGATGACACTTCTGCCTGAGTTGGTGCCAAGTTGTAACTATTTATCACTGTCTGGATTCATAAACGTTTTGAGATGACTTTGGGAGTGCCTGGAGAGTTTCATTCAGCTTGGTGCATGTGGGCAGTGAAAAATATGCTCATCTGTGATAGTAGATGTGGTTTGGTTCACAAATCCAGGGGCTGGGCTTTAAACAGCATTAGATGGACAGAGGAGGGTTGCTACAGCTGAGGTCTCAGCTGGTGCAGCACAAAAGTGAAATAGGTCCATGGATATCTGAAGCCATATGTGGTTCTGTGTGGCTATGGAGTCATTCCGGGAGACGTTCACAGGATGATTTGGGATTACCACTGCTATTGTAAACCATGGAAATTCTGTGTTAATATTGGATCCTATTTGTATTTGTCAAGCATAGTCTGGATGCTTATCCACATTTTGGTATAAGGCCAGAATTGAAGGCCCAATATGATGTGTCACTTTGACATCTTGTGAAAGTGGGACAACCTTAAAAGGTGTGAGTACAAATCTCATTCCCACTCTGCTCTCTTGAATAATGTATCCTAGCCTAACAGCCCGTTTTATCAAGGTGATAAGGCAGGGTTCCAGGTTGTTATATTTTGTGGTGGGTTTCAATTCCATCCCTACCAGCAGAGTTATGGAAACAAACCATTGCATATTCCCAAGGGAATCATGGGCCGTTATACCCTCTTCATCTTGTGAAATAATTTTATTTGTGGGGGCTGGGTGCAGTGACCCACCCCTGTAATCTCACTTTTGGAGGCCAAGGCGGATGGATCACTTGAGACCAGGAGCTCAAGACCAGCCTGGCCAACATGGTGAAACCCCCTCTCTACCAAAAAAAAAAATACAAAAATTAGCCGGGTATAGTGGTGCGTGGCTGTAATCCCGGCTACTTGGGAGGCTGAGGCACGAGAATCACTTGAACCCAGGAGGCGGAGGCTGCAAAGAGCCAAGATCATGCCACTGCACTCCAGCCTGGGTGACAGAGCTAGACTATGTCTCAAAAAAAACCCCAAAAAACAAAGTTCTATTTGTGGGGATGCCAGAGAGAGGCTGATGGTAGGGAAAACTCAGGTAGGGGTGGCCATGGGGATGTGTCTTTGCAGTATAAAGAATGATGTATATTTAGAGAGGGAGTTTGTCCAATGGGCTCAGGCAGCTGCCCTGGGCTTTACATGAGCTTGGATATCGCTATTCAGAAGGGGATGGACCTTTTTATGTCAGGACCTCAGCATGGATACCTATTTGTCCACTTACTGCTTATTGCTGATGGCAATTGACCAGTGGGCCCATGAAGAGACAAAGGCACTAGTGGACATAGTTTCAACACTATGTTGGGGACCTTGGGAGGAGGATGGGCAAGTGTGGGTGTGTGGGAGAGGTGGGTTGTGGTACCTCAGCAGAGGGGCTGTTTGTGGTTTCATCTGTCACTATCATAGCAGGGCACTGTGACCTTTGAAGATGTGGCTGTGAACTTTTCCCAGGAGGAGTGGTGTCTTCTTAGTGAGGCTCAGAGGTGCTTGTACCGTGATGTGATGCTAGAGAACCTGGCTCTCATATCCTCGCTGGGTAAGTTGCTCACGCTCACCTTTGTGACCTGAGCTAGTGTTACTGTTCCCCTGTTTTTCATTGACAGGACTGTCTTTCTCACTTAAGGAGCCTGGACACAGGTTCCTTCTACACTTCTCTATGTAAGTTGTGTGTATTGCCTTTTCCTTTCCTTAAGCACCTCCAACACCTGCTTTGCTCCAGGCTCCCAGGGAAGGAGTCAGAGTCAGGAGTCTAATAGGCACCTAAGTGTATCCACTTTGCCTGCTCTCTGGCTGTCAGGTGACTGTCCAAATCGGTAGCTCTTGTGTGCCCAGGTTCTATTAACACTTCCTTCCTCTATCTGACAATGCTTTGTGCCTCCCTGTGCCAAGAATTGCCTTCATTGACATTGTCACTACCTACATAGACCATAGACCATAGACTCTTCTTGCAAGACCCTGCTTAGGAATTCTTTTGTAATACTTACCTTACTCTCCTGTGGGCTGTCAGGTGCTTAGTTGTCCTGAGCTAGTGTTGGCTGTTCATCTCTGCTGTCTCTCCCTTCATAGTTACATCGTCGGGTCCTATGTACTGGGTGTGAGATGGAGAGACCTCCATGTTTGACAAGATGTGGTTCAATTCAGGCTCATCACGATAGGCTCAAAGGGAGCCTGTCCCTCAGGAGTGCCATGCTGGGGGAGGGCATGACTTCAGGGGTTTATCCAAATCATACCAGAAACCATTTATATTTGCCAAGTGTTTTTGTGGCAATATGAGTAGGCACACACTATTTGTCTTTTTCTCCCCATTGTTGAGAGTTTCACACGTGTTAGTTCTGTACCTTTTCACTTCTACTGTGATATCCACCCCAGCACTAATACTCACATCTCACCCATTTTTCTTGTGCTTTCATCTGCACTTGTCTCTGATATTGGTGTATCGATTACATATTAGGAAGTGTATGCCCTATGTTAAACCATCCATGACCACCCTCTGCTGTGTTGTACTCATGTTTTCTTGGTCTTGACATATGCTTCTATATTTATATTTTTTGAGATGGAGTTTCGCTCTTGTTGCCCAAGCTGGAGTGCAATGGCACAATCTTGGCTCATTGCAACCTCTGCTTCCCAGGTTGAAGTGATTTTCCTGCCTCAGCCGCCCAAGTAGCTGGGATTACAGGCCTGCACCACCACACCTAGCTAATTTTTTCTTTTTTTAGTAGACACAGGGTTTCACCGTGTTAGCCAGGCTCGTCTCCAACTACTGAACTCAGGTTATCCACTTGCCTCACCCTTGCAAAGTGCTGGGATTACAGGCATGAGCCACCGCGCCCAGTCCATATGCTTCTACATAGCACTCACATGTCATTAGGAGATAAGGTCCCGTACACAACTTGTGTTTAGAGGAAGGAGCTGTGGACCCTGCCTCTACTCCCTGTGTTGCCTGTATGCTTGTGCTCTTTACATCATGAGGCCTCCTGGATTCTGTGACCTTTATAGCCCAGTAATGCTAGGCAGCTCATTCTTCTTTTTATTATTATTATTATTATTTTGAGATGGAGTCTCGCTCTGTTATCCAGGCTGCAGTGCAGTGGTGCGATCATGGCTCAATGCAAACCTCCACCTCCCGGGTTCAAATGATTCTCCTGCCTCAGCCTCCCGAGTGGCTGGGATTACAGGCGCTCACCACCACATCCAGCTAATTTTTGTATTTTTAGTAGAGATGGGTTTTCACCATGTTGGTCACGCTGGTCTCGAACTTCTGACCTCAGGTGATCCACCCGCCTCAGCCTCCCAAAGTGCTGGGATTACAGGCGTGAGCCACTGCGCCCGGCCAGCAGCCCCATCTTCAACTTGAAGCCAACATTGTGTTCCTGCAAATATTTCTATAGATTAATTCCTCAATTTGTGAGACGTACTTGTGGGTGGGCTGTGCCTTCCCGTCAGAGGTACTTTGCACTTGACCAGCATTTTCTTGCTCTCAGGTTGTTGGTGTGGATCAAAAGATGAGGAGGCACCTTGTAAGCAGAGAATTTCTGTACAAAGAGAGTCTCAGAGCAGGACTCCTAGGGCAGGTGTTTCTCCTAAGAAGGCTCACCCCTGTGAAATGTGTGGCCTCATCTTGGAGGATGTTTTTCACTTTGCTGACCACCAGGAAACTCATCACAAGCAGAAGCTGAACAGGAGTGGAGCATGTGGAAAAAACTTGGATGACACTGCATACCTTCATCAGCACCAGAAGCAGCATATTGGAGAGAAATTCTACAGAAAGAGTGTCAGAGAAGCATCGTTTGTAAAGAAACGTAAGCTCAGGGTGTCACAGGAGCCATTTGTCTTCCGCGAGTTTGGGAAGGACGTTCTGCCCAGTTCAGGATTGTGCCAAGAAGCAGCTGCTGTAGAGAAGACAGACAGTGAAACTATGCATGGCCCACCCTTTCAGGAGGGAAAAACTAATTACAGTTGTGGAAAACGCACAAAAGCCTTCAGCACCAAACACTCAGTTATTCCACACCAGAAACTTTTCACTAGAGATGGATGTTATGTGTGCAGTGATTGTGGAAAATCCTTTAGCAGATATGTCAGCTTCAGTAATCATCAGCGAGATCACACTGCAAAAGGACCTTATGATTGTGGAGAGTGTGGGAAATCTTATAGTCGAAAGAGCAGCCTTATTCAACATCAGCGAGTCCACACTGGAAAGACAGCTTATCCCTGTGAGGAGTGCGGGAAATCTTTTAGTCAGAAGGGCAGCCTTATTAGCCATCAGCGTGTTCACACTGGAGAAAGGCCTTATGAGTGTAGAGAATATGGGAAATCTTTTGGTCAAAAGGGTAACCTCATTCAACATCAGCAAGGTCACACTGGAGAGAGAGCTTATCACTGTGGGGAATGTGGGAAATCTTTTCGTCAGAAGTTCTGCTTTATTAACCATCAGCGTGTTCACACTGGAGAAAGGCCTTACAAGTGTGGAGAATGTGGAAAATCTTTTGGTCAAAAGGGCAACCTCGTTCAACATCAGCGAGGTCATACTGGAGAAAGGCCCTATGAGTGCAAGGAATGTGGGAAATCATTTAGGTACAGATCCCACCTCACTGAACACCAGAGACTTCACACTGGGGAAAGACCTTACAATTGTAGGGAATGTGGGAAATTATTTAACAGGAAGTATCATCTTCTCGTTCATGAGAGAGTTCACACTGGAGAAAGGCCATATGCGTGTGAGGTATGTGGGAAATTATTTGGTAATAAGAACTGCGTGACTATACATCAGAGGATTCACACTGGAGAAAGGCCGTATGAATGCAATGAATGTGGGAAATCATTTCTTTCCAGCTCTGCGCTTCATGTTCATAAAAGAGTTCATTCTGGACAAAAGCCTTATAAGTGCAGTGAATGTGGAAAATCCTTTGCTGAATGTTCCAGTCTCATTAAACACAGGAGAATTCACACTGGAGAAAGGCCTTATGAATGTACCAAATGTGGAAAAACATTTCAGCGAAGCTCTACCCTCCTTCATCATCAGAGTTCACACAGGAGAAAGGCCTTATGAGTGCAGTGAATATGGGAAATCGTTTGCTGAAACATCCCGTCTCATTAAACACAGGAGAGTTCATACTGGAGAAAGGCCTTATGAGTGCTGTCAATCTGGGAAACATCAGAATGTCTGCTCTCCTTGGTCTTAAGAGACTTCGCATTGGAACGGAGTCTCATTCTGTCACCCAGGCTGGAGTGCAGTGGTGCAATCTTGGCTCACTGCAACTTGGGCCTCCCAGGTTCAAGTGATTCTCCTACCTCAGCCTCCCAAGGAGCTGAGATTACGAGTACACCACACCATGCCCGGCCAAATACTTGGTTTTCAGTACCACAAGAGCTATGAGCTGGTTATCCACTTCATGTGGAATCATAAGTGTCCCCAAGTGACAATACGTATAGATTGCTGGGCAGTGAAACAGTTAAGATGTCACCGTAGCTTGCTTTCTATTCAACATCTTTCTAAGATTACCTTACTATTTCTTTTGTTCCAAGTTTGTATTTCCTCAGAGTTCTCACATATGGAAAGGATACACACTTTGTAGAAACAAGAACTTTATGTTATCCAAGTTCTGGGATAGCCATGAGCTCCAATTACCTCAGAGCTCCGAGTCCTCTACTCAGTACCCGTTGAGATTTATGTGTTCTGAGGCTTTTGTCTTCTAGCTACTTACTTCATTCTCCATGGGTAACGTCATTCATCCACATTAACTAATTTCCTCACTCCAAGCTCTTTTCTGGAGATAATCTCCAGTCCCTGTGCAGACACTGTCATTGCACTTTCTGCTGAAATGGTAGTTTCTTGCCAGCAAGGTGAGATTATGGAATCCAGAATCTTTTTTCAGGGGCCACATGCCCATTTCCCCACTTGCATGAATGTCGACACTGTAGCCACAGTTTTGGCCGTAAATGTGAATTTGGCAAGTAACCACTGTTCCCAAATTGGGAAATGTCCCAGTCAGAAGAAGATTATCTGGGACACTGATACTGACAGGGAGATGGGACATTCTGAGGGACCCGGAGGCAGGGAGCCACCTCCTCAGCTTCCCTGAGGGCTGCCTAGAATCTCTCTTGTTTCCTCTCACTCTGAATTATTCTTCCTCTCATGACTGACCAAACACATGGAACCTCACAAAGTCCATTTTAAGAGCTTTATCTTGTGAAGTGAAGAACATGAAGATAGTTTGAATCAAAGTTATTGAGTGGACACTTAATGTCTTTATAACATTTTTTACATATGTGTTTGTGTTTTTTGGGGAGCATAATTTGCAAATGGAATATCTGTTATTTTACTAAGATGCTTCATGGATACAAGAGTTAAAACTTCCTGTCCCATTTAGTGAAACAAAAGGTTAAGAAATGTGGATAAAGCTTGTAAGTTAGAAATGGCAAGATAATCAGCTATATGAAGAATCTCAGCTGGGTGTTTTGGCTCAGGCCTGTAATCCCAGCACTTTGGGAGGCTGAGGTGGGTGGCTTACAAGGTCAGGAGTTCAAGACCACCCTGGACAATATGGTGAAACCCTGTCTCTACTAAAAATACAAAAATTACCCAAGCATAGTGGTGGGTGCCTGTAGTCCCAGCTGCTTGGGAGGCTGAGGCAGGAGAATTCGTTAAACCTGGGAGGCATAGGTTGCAGTGAGCCGAGATTGCACCACTGCACTCCAGCCTGGTGACAGAGCGAGACTCCGTCTCAAAAAAAAAAAAAAAAAAAAAAAAAAATCTCAATCCCTAAATGTTACCTTTTATAACAGCAGGTTATATGGGCTTAGATATTATCCCTAAATTTTTTTTTTTTTTTTTTTTTGAGACAGAGTCTCACTCTGTCACCCAGGCTGAAGTGCAATGGCATGGTCTCGGCTCACTGCAACCTCCGCCTCCCAGGTTCAAGTGATTCTCTTGCCTCAGCCTCCCAAGTAGCTGGGCCTATAGGTTCCCTCCACCACGCCCACCTAATTTTTGTATTTTTAGTAGAGATGGGCTTTCACTACGTTAGCCAGGCTGGTCTCAAACTTGTGACCTCATGATCCACCCCCCTCAGCCTCCTAAAGTGCTGGGATTACAGGCATCTGCCACGGCACTCGGCTTATCCCTAGAAATCCTATGATAGCATGATGTATAGGCACCTAAAGGCATGGCACTTGAGAAATGTGAATAAGATTGTAAGTTACAAATAGCAAGGTACAGTCAGATGTTAACAGTCTCAGCCCCTAAATGTCACCTTGTATTACAGCATGTTATATAAGCACATACAGGCACATACATGAAATAGTGATACTTCATTCTCAGTAATATTTTTCATCCTTCTCACTGGAAAGATCTTTGATGATTTTTAATCAACATAGGAGTTTCAATGATATCTAGAAGTTTAAAAGGGCTCGTTCAAACAAATTATGACCATACACCCTGAAGAGTATGTGTCTGTCTCTTGTGGTGTAAATTTTTATTTTATTACACCCAATTATGTTCCCACAAAACCTTTATAATTGGGAAATTAAGGAGCCTTCCTCGGAAATGGAGGTTGCAATCAGCTGAGATGGTACCACTGCACTCTAGCCTGGGCAAAAGAGCAAGGCCCTGCCTCAAAAAAAACAAAACTTTTTTCTTCATAAACTACAGTTTATATAGGCAAAACTTTCAGTACTAAGCAATTTTAGTCTCTGCAGGCTCTTGTCTTGAATTAATACAACTTTTGTTAATTCTCTTATGAAGTTAAATCTTCCTGCTTGTATGCAACTTATATGTTGAAATTTTTTTGTACAAAAGATTCATACATCTTTCCTGTTTGAAATTATTTTACCGTGCTTCATCAATCTAATGTTTGTTATTTTTATTACACCAGTAATTTCCTCATTGTGTTGAATCTGAAAGTGGCATAGAAATTGATACGTACCTAGAAATGTTTAGCCAGTCGGTGTGTATTTGATGTAGCAATTTTTTCCTTTGAATCACATACTCTAAGAGAAGTAACTTCCTCTTGCTAACCTCTACTTTGCCTAAGTGATGAATTAATCCTCTTTAGATGATTATAGTTATCTTTTCAACACTTAGCAAGAAAGAATCTATAAAGAAGAACTATAAATCTGTAAAGAAGAACTTTCCCAGCCGGGCGCAGTGGCTTTGGTTCAGTGCTTCTCAGCCTTTTGGCTAAGATCAAGTGTGAGACGCAGTTTCACTCTTACTGCCCAGGCTGGAGTGCAATGGTGAAATCTTGGCTTACTGCAACCTCCGCCTCCCAGGTTCCAATGATTCTCCTGCCTCAACCTCCAGAGTAGCTGGGATTACAGGCACCCGCCACCACACCTGGCTACTTTTTTATATTTTTAGTAGTGACAGGGTTTCACCCTGTTGGTCAGGCTGGACTTGAACTCCTGACCTCAGGTGATCCACATGCCTCGGCCTCCCAAAGTGCTGGGATTATAGGCATGAGCCACTGCACCCAGCCCCCAGCATCATTTTCTTCAGAGAACATTCGAGGATTCTTCATGATGGCTGGGCTTTTTTTTTTTTTTTTTTTTTTGAGACGGAGTTTCACTCTTGTTGCCCAGGCTGGAGTGCAATGGCACAATCTTGGCTCACCACAACTTCTGCCCCCTGAGTTCAAGCAGTTCTGCCTCAGCCTCCCGAGTAGCTAGGATTATAGGCATGCACAATCACACCTGGCTAATTTTGTATTTTTAGTAGAGACGAGGTTTCTCCATGTTGATCAAGCTAGTCAGGAACGCTCGACCTCAGGTGATCCGCCCGCCTTGGCCTCCCAAAGTGCTGGGATTACAGGCGTGGGCCACCACTCCCGGCGATGCCTGGGCTTTCATTGGGTATTAAGTCTACAAACAGCACCTTCAATTTAAACTGTCAATTACAGTTCTTAAGATTTAGGAAGTGATGGAGCTTGGAAAGTTACGAGATTACAAAATCCGTGAAAGTCCATTAGAAAAACCACAAGATGGAAAAAAGTATAAACCAGGCCACAAAGAAGCTTCAGAGGTCCCTGCTGTCCCAGGGACAGATACCTGCAGTGTCCAGCATCTCAGTGAACATGACCTGCTTTCAAAGGCAGGGGCTTAAAGCGAGGGTGGCATGGGACCGGTGGAGGCAAAGTGTTGGGGTGATCAGACCCAACACCTGGTCACTGGGGCTATGAAGTCTGGCAGAGTCAAAGGAATGAGACAAGACAAGAGTACATAGGGTGGGTCTCAGGGGCCAACGCCAGTATGGAGGCTGCAAAGGCCCTGAGCTCTAGGAGCCCACACTATTTATTGGTAATCAAACAAAGAAGCAGGTGGAGAGGACGTGCGGATGTGGGGGCAGACAGGTGAGGATGTGGGGGTAGAAAGCGGTGCATCAAGCGTAGCTGTGATGGCTTAGCATATGCTCTGCTACTTGAGATAAGGGAGAATAGGTTCTTCTAATTCAAGATACAATCAATTTATGATCTTGGGAGAACAAAGTGCAAGGGGCCAGTGAGTCTGGACACACTCCAAAGGCTACAGAGGGTTTTATGCCCTGAGCCCTGGGTTCTCTCCAAGCCACAAGGGGTTTCATACCCTGGGTTTAGATTGTACTGCGGCAGGGCAGCCTTCCACCCTTTGGCACAGAGTTTGGTGTTCCAAAGGTCATGAGGGGTTTTAGACCCTGGACCCAGGACATGTTCCAAGACTCTTTTACATTATGTCAGAAAAACGAGCCCTGCCTCAGCTCTTCTGCCAACATGTCTCCCTTTTTTGTCCTGCAAAACCGCCACAGCTATCATTGCTTGTTCTTGGCAGCGGCTTTCTCTCCAGAAGCGGCTTCCGCATCTGTAGATTAAAAGGAGACAGCACAAGCACATAATTATTAGAACAAAATTTACAAGTGTAGAGTTTCCAGTGGTCTTAATCCATTTAAGAGAATTGATTGCAGACAACCCATTGGCTGCCTCGCTGAAAATATCAGTTCCAGGGAGCAGGGTTAAGTGAGCCTGAGAGGCTTCAAAAACCTGCTCTTTTACTTTTACAATATCAAGGGTGAGATTTTCCTCTCTGCCCACTAGATGGCATTTAATTTCCCATTGGTGTTCTGTTTCATTCTAACTATGAGGAGTAACGCAAAAATCGGATGTATTCCAGTCACATTGCATTTGAATTCTAGTTTCTAAACTTATGATGCAATCCCCCATCCAAATTACTGTCTGAGGGAGATCATTAATTTGACTAACTATATTTTGATCTGTTTGGGCCTGAGAGCTCCATAATTTCATAGAATTCTTTTTCCATTTATCAACAAATTTGACAGTTTGCACAGATGAGTGTAAAGCCACACTAGCTACTGCAGCAGTGGTGGTAACTGCAGTGAGGCCAATTATAGCAAATATAAGAGCAACTATAAATCTTTTTGAACGGGATAAGAGTTTTGTAAGGATCTCAGTTATAATGTGAATGGACGGTGATGCCTCCCATGGTCTATTTAGAGACACAGGGATCCAAACTCCTTCTCTGGCTCTAATTAACAAGATAGTTTGATTTTTATCAAGATGTCGTTAATGCAAGTAAACAAGTGACATTCCTGGCAGGTGATAAAACGGGTATTTATGTAAAGAGTAATATTTCCGGCCTGGCGGGGTGGCTCACACCTGTAATCCCAGCACTTTGGGAGGCTGCGGCGGGCGGATCATGAGGCCAGAAGATCAAGACCATCCTGGCTAACACGGTGAAACTCCGTCTCTACTAAAAAAAATAAATAAATAAAAAGCCACAAAAAATTAGCCGGGCATGGTGGTGGGCGCCTGTAGTCCCAGCTACTCGGGAGGCTGAGGCAGGAGAAAGGCATGAACCAGGGAGGCAGAGCGTGCAGTGGGCCTAGATCACACCACTGCACTCCAGCCTGGGGGACAGAGCGAGACTCCGGTCTCAAAAAAAAAAAAAGAAGAGTAATATTTCCTACTGCTAACGTAAAAGGTGGTCGGACACAATTTTGATTCCAAAAGGTCCTGTTAGAAAGAAAAGAGAGAACATATTTATATTTACCTCCCTCCCCTTTATACTTATTATATTTACCCTCCCAAATTGTGATTGAACTTTGAGCCATAGCTAATTTCCATAATCCTGAATGTTCCTGTCCTATGGCAGGAGATATCATTTTTGGAATAGGGGTGATAATGCCACCAGGGCTCCATATAATAGGAACATCAGCTTCCGTCTGAATGTACCGTGTATGGTTCTCTTTCCAATGAGTCCATCAGCTTATTTTATAAGAAGGCCCTTCAGTGCAATTTTTCTTAAAAATCCCCTTAGGGGACCAGTCAATGACGATTCCATAGGAATTATTTTGTAGCACCCCAGCCTTACTTGCTACACAATTTCCCCAATGCCAAGCGTCCACACCTTCAAACCAAACTCTATTTTGTTTACATTCGAGTTTGTCTGGTCAGAACTGCTGAGTTTCAGGGCTGGAATGGTTATATTTTAAACTTTGCCCTGAAATCATATATAAAGTAGCCTGTGATTTATTTTTTCCAGGGATTACTGCCAACCATACTTGTGTGCCAATTTGTAAGCATCCAGCAGCAGGTCCTAGGCATATTGGAGGATATTTATATCCTATTGATATATTCATTTTCATCCCTTCCTCATTAGGATGCATCGGCACTCTGTTATCTATGGGCTCAGGCATCGAGGTTCTGTCATTGTTGTACACCTCAATAATAGGGTCCATCCAACTCACAGACCTAATTAAAGGAGGAAATGGGACATAAGTCCAATAAGTAAAATTTTGAGTTGCTTTTACAGTAGGGAGGCTTACCGCCACAGTAAGTACCACCATCATAGCCACCATTAGGTTACTAGTTGTTTTTGATTTGTTCTGTGCTCTCAGATTGTCCTCTGCATCTGTGCCAGTTTCCTGATTTGTCCCCATGTTGGAGGGTCTGCCTGGTGAGTATTCTTGGTCTTTTCCTTTGTCTCTGAGATTTTCATTCATGCCATCACTCGTATAGGGAGTTCTGGCTCTTCCCAGAGTCCTCTCTTCCTGGTGTGGCTCATGATAGACCTTCAGATGTTTGGTGGGCACCCACAGAGGCACCTGATTGTCACTTGGAGAGACAGAAGCAAATCCTCTTCCCCATGTAATTATTTTTCCTTTTTCCCAACTCTTTGTATGTGCATCCCTCCACTGTATATCTTGTCTGGCATTTTTATTTTCCTTTTGTCCTGTTAAGTGTTGTTCAGCTGCTGTCATGGGCTGATCCTTTTGTAAATTTAAAAAATTTAATGTTAATAAAGCGAGGTGTAATTGTATATGTAGGGTTTTATATACCTGGTCTCCCTCTTTCTGTTTTTGTAACTGAGTTTTTAAGTTAACAATGAGCTCTTTCAACTATCTCTTGTCCCTGTGAGTTATATGGAATACTTGTAGTATGAGTAATATTTCACTGCTGTTAAAATGCAGCCATGGCTGCTGGGCGCGGTGGCTCACGCCTGTAATCCCAGCACTTTGGGAGGCCAAGGCGGGCGGATCACGAGGTCAGGAGATCAAGACCACGGTGAAACCCCGTCTCTACTAAAAATACAAAAAAAATTAGCCGGGCGCAGCGGCGGGTGCCTGTAGTCCCAGCTACTCGGGAGGCTGAGGCAGGAGAATGGCGTGAACCCGGGAGGCGGAGCTTGCAGTGAACCGAGATTGGTCACTGCACTCCAGCCTGGGCGACAGAGCAAGACTCCGTCTCAAAAAAAAAAAAAAAAAAAAAAAAAATGCAGCCATGGCTTTGCTGCAATACTCTGGGCCATTATCGGTTTTGGTTTTTTCTGGGATTCCCATAACTGCAAAGCAAAAAAAAGGTTTTTTAACATGAGCTGTAGCTTCCCCTGTTTGATATGTGGCCCAGATAAAATGTGAATAAATATCTACTGAAACATGAACAAAGGACAATTTTCCAAAAGTGGGAATGTGTGTTATGTCCATCTGACAGATGGAATTTGGAGATAGACCTCTAGGGTTAACTCCTGCTCCCTGATGTGGCAGATGCAGGACTTCACCGGCAGAAAAGTGTTTTACAATCTCCTTAACCTGCTTCCAGGATAAGCCGTATCTTTTTCTGAGGCCTGCAGCATTAAGATGGGTTAAGGAATGGAACGTTTGTGCATCGGCAAAAGCTGCAGAAACCAGTGCATCCGCCCTTTGATTAAGTTAAAAGGACCAGGGAGGTTAGTATGTGCTCTCATATGAGTAATATAGAAAGGGGAATGTCTTTGTTGTACTGCTTGTTGTAAAGAATGAAATAAAAGATTAAGTTGTTCATCAATATTTTGTGTGATTTGCACCACATAAGCTGAATCAGAAACAATATTAACTGGCTTTTTTAAAGTTTTCAGTACTGTAATTACAGCAATAAGTTCAGCCCTTTGAGCAGAAGCAAAGTCAGTTTGAAAAACTTGTTGTTGAGGTCCCACAAATGAGGCTTATCCATTACTAGACCCATCAGTAAAAACAGTAATGGCCCCTTCATTAGGGGCTTTTTGAGTAATAGAAGGCAATATCCAGGATGTTAATTTTAGAAATGGAAATATCTTAGATTTAGGATAATGATTATCAAGAATGCCAACAAAACCTGCCAAATTAACTTGCCATTCCTGGGAATTAATGTAAGTTTGCTGAATTTGTTGTTTGTTTACTGGAACTGTAATTTGATTTGGATCATATCCCATTAACTTTGTTGTGTGCAGCCTTGCTTGTCCTATTAGTACAGCAATTTGATCTGAATACAGAGTAAGCGTTTTGGTTGTATTGTGAGGTAGAAAAAGCCACTTCACCAGATCATTCTGTTGAACAATAACTCCTGTAGGTGAATGTTTAGTAGGAAAAACTAAAAACTGTAATGGCTGCATAGGGTTAATTCGTTTCACTTGTGCTTGTTGAATTTTTTCTTCAAGTAATTGAAGTTCCCCTAATGCCTCTTTGGACAGGGAGCATTTACTGTTTAAGTTAGAATCACCTTGTAAGGCAGAAAAAAGGTGAGACATAGCATAGGTAGGAATGCCTAAAGTTGGACAAATCCAATTAATGTCTCCTAATAATTTTTGAAAGTCATTTAAAGTTTTTAAATTATCTCTTTGAATTTGAACCTTTCGAGACTTAGTAGCACTTTGTTCTACCTTCATTCCTAAATATTGAAAGGGAGTAGAAGTTTGGATTTTATGGGGGGCTATGATTAGTCCTGCAGCAGTTACAGACTTTTCTGTTTGTGGCATAGTGTTAATTCCTCCCTAGTGTCAGCTGCACATAAAATATCATCCATGTAATTGATAATATAACATTTTTTAAATTGTTCTCTAACTGGCTTAATAGCTTTTCCAACATAAGTTTGACAAATAGTTGGACTACTTAACATGCCTTGTGGGAGTACTTTCCAATGGTATCCGCTGATTCTTTGTTATTTATAGCGGGAACAGTAAAAGCAAATTTTTCATAATCTTGGGTAGCTAAAGGAATGGTAAATAAGCAATATTAGAGGCCAGTATTTTGGAATCATTGTTGGAGAGGGCAGCCCTGGTTGCAGTGAGCCCATGGGTTGAATTACAGCATTAACAGCCCTTAAATCTGTTAACATTCTCCAGTTACCTGATTTTTTCTTTTCTTTTTTTTTTTTTTTTTTGAGACAGAGTCTGGCCCTGTCACCCAGGCTGGAGTGCAGTGGCACGATCTCAGCTCACTGTAAGCTCCGCCTCCCTGGTTCAGCCATTCTCCTGCCTCAGCCTCCCCAGCAGCTGGGACTACAGGCACATGCCGCCACACCCGGCTAATGTTTGTATTTTTAGTAGAGACAGGGTTTCACTGTGTTAGCCAGGATAGTCTCAATCTCTTGACCTTGCCATCCACCCGCCTCGGCCTCCCAAGTTCTGGGATTACAGGCGTGAGCCACCGCGTCCGTCTGATTTTTTTCTTAATAACAAACAGGAGAATTCCAAGGAGAGAAAGTAGGCTCTATGTGTCCCTTTTGCAATTGTTCCTGTACTAATTCTTTTAAAGCCTCCAGTTTTTTCCTGTTTCAGCGGCCATTGCTCCACCCAAACTGGTTTGGCAGTTAACCAAACAAGAGGAATGGGAGCTGGAGGCTCAGCAATAGCCGCTCCTAAAAATGATACCCTAATGCGGTTCGATCTGTTCGCCCTTTTAGTTCTAAAGGTTCTGGTTGGTCACTTTCATTCTTTCCTAATCCTTTTCCTGGGAGATATCCCACTTTTCTCATCATTTGTTTACTGTTATTACTATACTGATCCATAGGAATAGATATTTCAGCACCCCATTGTTGCAATATGCCCCTTCCCCATAAATTGACAGGAATAGCTGTAATAATAGGTTGAATCGTCCCTTCTTGGCCATCCAGCCCTAGACATGGCAAAATTAAGGAACTTTGAAAAACTTCTGAAGCAGCTCCTACTCCAACAATACCAATGGATGCCTTTTGTTTGGGCCAGTGTCAGGGCCATTGATTTAAAGCAATAATAGAAACATCAGCTCCAGTATCTACTAACCCTTCAAAGTCCTTTCCTTGGATGGTTACTGTACAAATAGGTCTCTTATCAGACATTCAATTAACCAAATATACAGCTTTCCCTGCTGAGTTAGTACTACCAAAGCCTCCTGTTCTTTTTACAGTGCTGTTTCCCAGTTTTGTATAAGGTAACAGCAACAACTGAGCAATTCTTTTTCCTGGGGAAACAGACCACAGAGTTGAGGAACTAACAACTAGTTGAATCTCTCTGGCATAATTAGAATCAATTATTCCTCTATGTACAGTGACACCTTTTAAATTTAAGCTAGACCCTCCAAGCAATAGACCAACTTTTTCTGAGGGTAAAGGGCCCCTAACACCCATGGGGACCTTCTTTGGTGGCTCCCCAGGAAGTAGGGAGTGGGAATTGTGCTGCAGAGATACATGGCAGCACTGCCTGCTGTGGCGGGGGACAATTGTTGTACGTTTGTAAGGGCACTGACTGTGCGGATATGCCTTGGTTTGTTGAGGGGCCTGAGGTGTGCCCCTCTTCCCTTTTCCCAAAAGAGGTTGTCCATCTTTACTAAATTTAGAATGACACTGTCTTGTCCAGGGATTGCCTTTCTTATACCGGGGGTATACATCGGGACTTTTCTGTTGATTGATGGTAATAGTTTTGCCTTTTGATTTCCTTTTCTACATTCCTTTTTTGTGTGTCCAAATTGCCCACAATTAAAGCAAGAGCCTGAAAAATGGGGCGTATTTTTCCCACCTTTAATCCAGCCATAGCTTGAGCTAAAAGAGTAGCCTTGTGTAAGTTACCCCCAATGCCATCACCAGCCTTAATATATTCAGCCAAATGAGCCTTCCCTCTCATAGGTCTAATAGCATTTTGACACTCTGTATTAGCATTTTCATATGTAAGAAGCTGTATTACAACATCTTGAGCTGTTTTGTCAGTTATGGCCTTATTCACAGCCTCCTGGAGCTGAGCAATAAAATCAGTATATGGTTCTTTAGGTCCTTGTCAGACAGAACTGAAAAAAGGATATTTTTCTCCTGTAACATTTATTCTGTCACATGCCCGTAAGCACACAGTGCATAACTGAACAATGGCAACATTCTCCATTACTGCTTGATTTTCTAATTGACCCCAATTAGGACTGACTCCCTTTAACTGTTGAAAGGAAACAGGCACAGATGGCTGTGCTTGTGTTTTTTCCCTTGCCTGAGTTTGAGCTTCATCAGCCCACCGGGTTTTAAACTGTAAGTACTGAGATAGAGTGAGAACAGATTTTGTTAAAGTATCCCAGTCATATTTTATCAATCTATTATTCAGAGCCACATTTTTTAGTAAAGTTTGTACAAAAGGAGAATTTGGCCCATATTGACTAATGGCTTGCTTAAATTCCATTAATAGCTTAAAAGAAAATGTGGCCCAACTAGCTATATTTTTCCCTCCTTGCTGGGTGATAGTAACAGGAAATTGCCATGCTTCAAGGTCTCCCTCAGCTCTAGCCTTTTGAATAGAATTTTGTATAGCACCACCAATTGCTCCAGATTTTAATGTTGCAACTACAGGAGCAGTAAATTTTACAGCTAATTCATTTTCTCGCCCATTATGGGGAGGGAAAGGAGGTGGCCATTCACTTAATTCAGCAGGTGGAGCTGATGGGTTAGTAAAACATACCCTTTTCAGTTTCCCTTTCTTAATTTCCTCTGGTTTTTGCTCCTCGCATTCAGAATCTGAAGTTAGTTTTTTACACACTTGTCTTCCTCATCTGAATCTGTCTCGTGATCTGTTTGAAATGGCTCAAGAGCAGCCTTTATCAATGCCCACACCAACCAATCAGAAACTGGAATTTTGGCTCCTTCTTTATAAGCCTTTTTAAAATCTCTGCCAATTCTTTTTTTTTTTTTTTTTTTGAGATGGAGTCTCGCTCACAAAAGTGGCTCGCTCAAAGGCTCTCGTGCCCCTTTTTTCAGGTGCGCTCTCATGGCGACTGGCCAAAGAGGCACCCCTCTGTGCAAACGTAAAATTTCTTTGCTAAAAATCGTTTGTTCGAGTGTTCAATTTCCTTAAAATTTTGAGCGTTATTCCTGACACTATGTATAAACAAGTACCTAGGGTGGACGCATTCCTCCTCTGACTTTCGGGAAGAGCCTGCTCTGTCTATGGAGTGGCTATTCTGTCATCACTTTACTCTCTTAACAAATTTACTTTTCTTTGCACTGTGGACTCACCCTGAATTCTTTCTTGTGTGAGATCCAAAGAACCCTCTCTTGGGGTCTGAATTGGGACGCCCTTTCTGGTAACATCTTTCTGGTGAACCTTGAAGGGATGATACTGAAGAAACCCACCGGCCCAAAGGAAATAGGCTGCAGCACTAATTGGCCGACTTTGGGTAAGTGGTGGGGCACCTGGGTAAAGGATGAGATTGGGTTAGAGGCCCAGCTTAGGGAGTTAGAGTCTCTCCTAAGACAGAGAGGGTTAAAGTTTCCTCTCAATAAAAGGCAAGGACGTGGCCAGGTGCGGTGACTCACACCTGTAATTTCAGCACTTTGGGAGGCCGAGGCGGGCGGATTGCCTGAGACCAGGAGTTCGAGACCAGCCTGGCCAACATGGTGAAAACCCATCTCTACTAAAAATACACAAATCAGCCAGGTGTGGTGGCACACACCTGTAATCCCAGCTACTAGGGAGGCTGAGGCAAGAGAATTGCTTCAACCCAGGAGGCAGAGGTTGCAGTGAGCCGAGATCGCACCACTGCACTCCAGCCTGGGCAACAGAGTGAGACTTCATCTCAAAAAAAAAAAAAAGAAAGAAAAGAAAAGAAAAGGCAAGGAGGCTTGACTGACCCTGGGTTTGAGGCCCAATTTAGGAAGGTTAGAGTCCTTCCTAAGATTTAGTCCTTCCTAAGAGTTAGAGGCCCCTCTCAGTAAAGTCCCTCTTGGCTAAGAACTGGTTTGGCACCACAGGATGTCAACTTTGCATTAATCTGTCTTGTCCTCTTTGCTGTATGAATCAATCTCTTGGTTGCTCTGCTTCACTGTCATTTTCAGGGGACTTCATTTAACTTGTCTTAGGGCTTTTATTATACTCTTCCCCTGTGTGCCTTCTGATTTCCATCCATTTGCTTGTGAAACATTGGGAACAAAAAGCATTGAAGGCTCCGTTTCTAAAATTGCGTATTCAGGTTTGGTATTTAACAGCTATGAGCAATAAGATTAGATAGATGTGGCTATGATTTTTTTTTTTTTTTTCTGAGACGGAGTCTCGCTCTGTTGCCCAGGCTAGAGTGCAGTGGTGCAATCTCGGCTCACTGCAAGCTCCACCTCCCAGGTTCATGCCATTCTCCTGCCTCAGCCTCCCAAGTAGCTGGGACTACAGGCACCCGCCACCACGCCCGGCTAATTTTTTTTTTTGTATTTTTAGTAGAGACGGGGTTTCACCGTGTTAGCCAGGATGGTCTGGATCTCCTGACCTCGTGATCTGCCCGTCTCAGCCTCCCAAAGTGCTGGGATTACAGGTGTGAGCCACTGCACCCAGCCGGCTATGCTTTTTGCAGCTATGCCAACTAGGTGTGATCAAGAAGCACTAGGATACAAATCAGGGGACTTTTCTCCTTGCTGTTTTGTTTCATTTACAGACTAAAAACAAAATGAAACAAAATAAGAAAACCCACTTCTTTTCTTTCTTTGATTTGGGCAAATCGGCTTCTTTTTTTTTTTTTTGAGATGGAGTCTCACTCTGTTGCCAGGCTGGAGTGCAGTGGCATGATCTCAGCTCCCTGCAACCCCCACCTCCTGGGTTCAAGCAATTCTCCAGCCTCAGCCTCCTGAGCAGCTGGGACTACAGCCACCATGTCCAGCTAATTTTTGTATTTTTAGTAGAGACGGGGTTTCACCATGCTGGCCAGGATAGTCTTGAGCTCTTAACCTCGTGATCCCCTCACTTCAGCCCAAAGTGCTGGGGTTACAGGCATGAGCCACTGCACCTGGACTTTTTTTTTTTTCGAGACAGAGTCTCGCTCTGTCACCCAGGCTGGAGTGCAGTGGCACCATCTCAGCTCACTGTAACCTCCACCTCCTGGGTTCAAGTGATTTCCTGCCTCAGCCTCCCGAGAAGCTGGGATTACAGGTGCACACCAACATGCACGACTAATTTTTTTTTTTTTTTGAGATGGGGTCTCTCTCTGCCACCCACGCTGGAGTGCAATGGTGCAATCTCAGCTCACTACAATCTCCACCTCCCAGGTTTAAGTGATTCTCCTGCCTCAGCCTCCCGAGTAGCTGGGATTACATGCATGCACCACCACACCCGGCTTATTTTTTCAATTTTTAGTAGAGACGGGGTTTTACCATGTTGGCCAGGTTGGTCTCGAACTCCTGGCCTCAAGTGATCTGCCCACCTCGGCCTCCCAAAGAGCTGGGATTACAGGCATGAGCCCCCGCACCCGGCCATGACTAATTTTTTGTATTTTTAGTAGAGATGTTGTTTCACCATGTTGGTCAGGCTGTTGTCGAACTCCTGACCTCAGGTGATCCACCTGCCTCTGCCTCCCAAAGTGCTGGGATTACAGGTGTGAGCCACCACACCCAGCCAACTGACTGGTAGGAAATTCTTGCTGGGTGCAGTGGCTCATGCCTGTAATTCCAGCACTTTGGGGGGCCCAGGCGGGCAGATCACCTGAAGTCAAGAGTTGGAGACCAGCCTGGCCAACATGGTGAAACCTTGTCTGTAGTAAAAATACAAAAATTAACTAGGCATGGTGGTGCGTGCCTGTAATCCCACCTACTCAGGAGGCTGAGGCAAGAGAATCGTTTGAACCCAGGAGGCGGAGGTTGCAGTGAGCCGAAATCACACCACTGCACTCCAGCCTGGGCGACAGTGCAAGACTCCGTCTCCAAAAAAAAAAAAAAAAAAAATCAATAACAAAAAAGAAATTCTTACCCTTTTGCTGGCATTCCAGCATTCCAGGCTTCTGGTTTGCCTTTCCCTGAGAGCCTCTAGTGACCCAGCTGGCTGCACCACACCCTTGGGGGCCAATCTGCAATACAAAGCTAAATTATCTTTTTCCATTCTGGCCAGAGCAAAATACGTGTGACAAAACATACACATTAGCCACTCGGCTCCGCCTGGAATATCTAACAGGCAAGGCTCAAACTTGCCCTGGTTGGGCCCCATCATCTTTAATCCAACCTCCGACCATGAGTTTCAACTTGGTCTCTGGGCAAGATGGTCACCCTGAATAACAGAAAAGATAAGAAAGGGAAAGGAGACAGAGAAAAACATTGCCTGTGGCAGGGTGGGGAAGGCCAGGAGCTTAGAGAGGCCAGAGAAGCCCCCCCCACTCCCATTGCAGTGACACTGAAAAGTTCAGGTGGCTGCTTGTCAGTAGCAAGGGGATCTTTTCCAGCAGTCCCATCAGCTCGCAAGTTTTCCCTTTTGGGGAGGAAAAAGCTCCCCATGTCCCATGATCCTGTACATTCCTAGTCCTGTCACCCATAGCCATCAGCAAGGCAGATTATTCCAAAGAGAACAGCAGTTAACAGCCCATTGTGCCAAACCCATTCCTAGCCAAGAGGGACTTTACTGAGAGGGGCCTCTAACCCCCTAACTCTTAGGAAGTAATCTAATCTTCCTAATTTGGGCATTGAACCAAAGTTTGGTCAAGTGTCCTTGCCTTTTATTGAGAGGAGCCTTTAACCAGGAGAGACTCTAACTCCACCAAGTTGGGCCTGTAAACCAATCTCATTCTTTATCTGGGTATATGCACCCCACTCACTCAAAGTGAGCCAAGTGGTGCACACAGATGATTTTCCTCTGGGTTGGGGGTTTCTTCAGTGTCAATGAAAAGAGTCAAACTCTGTAGACTATGTGAAGAGATTTATTCTGAGCCAAATATGAGTGACCATGGCCTGTGACACAGCCCTCAAGAGGTCCTGAGAACATGTGCCCAGGGTGGTCAGGGCGCAGCTTGGTTTTATACATTTTAAGGAGGCAAGAGACATCAATCAAATACATTAAAGAAATACATTGGTCTGGGCCGGGTGCAGTGGCTCACGCCTGTAATCCCAACACTTTGGGAGGCTGAGGTGGGCAGATCACAAGGTTGGGAGCTTGAAACCAGCCTGGCCAACATAGTGAAACCGTGTTTATACTAAAAATACAAAAGTTAGCCGGGCATAGTGGTGCGCACCTGTAGTCCCAGGTACTCAGGATGCTGAGGCAGAAGAATTGCTCGAACCCAGGAGGTGGAGGTTGCAGTGAGCTGAGATCATGCCACTGCACTCCAGCCTGGGTGACAGAGCAAAACTCCTGCTCAAAAAAAAGAAAAGAAAGTAAAGGAATAAAAGAGTGGGTACTCCATAGACAGAGCCGCCCGGCTAATTTTTTCGTATTTTTAGTAGAGATTGGGTTTCACCCTGTTGTTAGCCAGGATGGTCTCCATCTCCTGATCTCATGATCCTCCCACCTTGGTCTCCCAAAGTGCTGGGATTCCAGGGGTGAGCCACCATGCCTGGCATGGCTGCCCATTTTTATGGTTATTTCTTGATTTTTTTTTTTTTTTGAGGCGGAGTCTCACTCTGTCACCCAGGCTGGAGTGCAGTGGTGCAATCTCGGCTCACTGCAAGCTCCACCTCCCGGGTTCACGCCGTTCCCCTACCTCAGCCTCCCAAGTAGCTGGGACTACAGGCACCCGCCACCACGCCCAGCTAATTTTTTGTATTTTTAGTAGAGACAGGATTTCACCGTGTTAGCCAGGATGGTCTCGATCTCCTGACCTTGTGATCCACCCACCTCAGCCTCCCAAAGTGCTGGGATTACAGGCGTGAGCCACCGCGCCTGGCCCCTATTTCTTGATTATATCCTAAACAAAGGGTGGATTATTCATGCCTCCTTTTTTTAGACCATATAGGATAACTTCCTGATGTTGCCATGGCATTTGTAAACTGTCATGGCACTGATGGGAGTGTTGCAGTGAGGACGACCAGAGGTCACTCTCATGGCCATCTTGGTTTTGGTGGGTTTTAGCCGGCTTCTTTACTGCAAACTGTTTTATCAGCAACGTCTTTATGGCCTGTATCTTGTGCTGACCTCCTATCTCATCCTGTGACTTAGAATGTCTTCACTGTCTGGGAATGCAGCTCAGCCTCATTTTATCCAACCCCTATTCAAGACGGAGTTGCTCTGTTAAACACTTCTGACAGCTGTGGTTTCTTCCCACAAAGAGGTTGCAGATGGGGTTAGGTTCTTGTTCTGCCAGCTTGGCTCCTTCCCAATTCCTGTTAACTTACTGATTTATTAGGGCCCCATAGATTAGAAATTATCATTTAGGAGTCATGCAGCCAGGGGCCACAAGACTGTAAACATCCCCAGTTGTTCCTAGGGATGGTATCACCATTGCAAAAGCTAAGATTGGTGCTGGAGATATTTTTCAGACCCTGAACTTGATGGATCTGATGGCACCACTCAGATGGGTAAACTGGCTTATCTGGTCTTGTGCCTCCCTCTCCCCCAGAACCCACTCAGCACAAGAGAACAACTTTGACTCCCTATGATTTCATCTCCAACCCAACCAATCAGCATTCCCCAATTCATGGCCCCCTATCTACCAAATTATCCTTAAAAAACCCCAGTCTCAGGAGGCGGAGGTTGCAGTGAGCTGAGATCGTGACATTGCACTTCAGCCTGGGCAACAGGAGCAAAATTCTGTCTCAGAAAACAAACAAACAAATAAACAACAACAACAACAAAAAACCCCAGTCTCGCAATTTTCAGGGAGACTGATTTGAGTAATACTAGTAAGACTCCAGTATGCTGTTCATCCAACTCTGTGTGAATAAAACTCTTTTTCTTTTGCAATTTCCCTGTCCTGATAAATTGGCTTTATCTGGGCAGTAGGAAAAATGAACCCTCTGGGTGTTTACACGTTCATTTTAACAATACAATAATGGTTATTAATCTTTGCATTAATCTTTGCTTCCAGTGGAAGAATTTTGCATCTGAAGGACCATCTGAAATGATAGGTGAATTTGGATCTGTAGCCTTTGGGAACATCTACACTAACTCTGAAATAATATTTTTCCATACACTAGGGTAATCAGTTACAGCCAATAACCCCAAGAAATCTCAATGTGAGTTCTAAGGAGAGGCAGGATGATCCTCTGCCTAGGAGAAAGATCTGCAATCTTTTATTTATTTTTTTATTTTTATTTTTATTTTTTTTTCCAACATGGAGTCTTGCTGTGTCACCCAGGCTGGAGTGCAGTGGCAGGATCTCACTCACCGCAACCTCTGACTCCCATGTACAAGAGATTCTCCTGCCTCGGCCTCCCCAGTAGCTGGGATTACAGGCGCATGTCACCATGTGGGTTAATTTTTGTATTTTTAGTAGAGGCGGGGTTTCACCATGTTGGCCAGGCCAGTCTTGAACTCCTGACCTCAGGTGTTCCACCTGCCTCGGCCTCCCAAAGTGCTGGGATTACGGGCGTGAGCCGCCCGCACCTGGCCCTTATTTTTATTTTTTAGATAAGAGGTCTCGTTCTGTTGCCCAGGCTGGAATGCAGTGGTACGATCTCGGCTTACAGCAGCTTCGAACTCCTGAGCTCAAGCGATTCTCCCTCCTCAGGCTCCCTAACCCTAACCCCAACCTTAGGGCAGCTGGGACCACAGGCCCGCCCGACCACACTCCGCTAATATTTTTTATTTTTTGTAGAGACAGGATTTTGCTTTGTTGCTCAGGCTAATTTCTAACTCCTGACCTCAAATGATCCTTGTGACTTGGCCTCCCAAACTGGTGGAATTACAGGCGGGAGCCACCATACCAGTCAGGACGCACATCTTAAGGATACTCCCGAGGTGAAGCTGGGCTTTTCCTGCAGAAGCGCCTCTGGGAATTGCGCCCTTTACCCTCCTTGTTGCCTAGGGAACTACATTACCCAGAAAACTCAGCCTCGAATGATAGCGTAGAAGACCTCTGAGGGCTCAGAATAAAGGCGTTTCCTGTGTGCACGTGACAATGGGTCCGGACTTCCGGCGCCCTCTGGTGGCGGCCATTTTGATTGGTGTTGGATTTATTTGTAGGAGAGGCTCCTGAGCGCTAGGTCCGCACTGTGGTGACTGAACCCAGAAGTCGGGGAGCAGTTGTCCTCCGCTGCACAGAGGCTACTCTGGAGCTCTGTGACGGCGCCCAGCGTGACCCACTCCTGGGCCAGGATACGGACCGTCGTGCCCATATCTCCTGGCTGGTCGCCCTATCCTCCCGACTCTGCTTAAAACCACGTGGTTCGATGGCTGCCGCGGCTACGCTGAGGCTCTCCGCTCAGGTAATTGTGGGGCCTTCTGTGTCCTCAGGTCACCTCATCGTCACCCAAAAGCAGCGAGGTAGCAGCGCCTGTTCACGGCTCTGCAGCCCGGACGCCGGCGTTGGGACACTGAGGCGCTTGCGGGAGGGGCCCCATTTCTGACACCCGTGGGATGCGGTGGGGAGACCGGCAGGTACAGGGACTGGCGCGGGCAAAGGCCTGGAAGTGAACTGAGCCAGAAGGATGGAATCTGGGGTCCACAGGTGCCTGTTGGGAGCAAATTATGAGGCGGAGCTCCTCCTGGAAGAGCAAGCAGGCTGGGGGCTATGAACTCACGTGAGGACCCTAGAAGGCATGGAGATTTTCGAAGAAAGGAGGGATGTCATGAGCATTGTAAGGGTAGAGATAATCAGGTCCATGCATGTTTGTGTCTTTGCACAGTGTCAGGTGATATTTGAGTCAACAAAAGCCATGAGCTAAATGGAGTTCGAAGGAGGCAATTCTCTTGTGATTCCAGTTCACTTGGTAGTTGGCCATGGGCACAGAGGCTGAAGACACTCCCCAAGTCAGTCAATATAGCAAACAATACACAATAGTATACTTAACATGTAAATGTTAAAGGTTAAACATAACACTGTTGTACCCGGGCGAGTTAGAAAAACGCCACACTTTGAGACGAATTAAGAGTCCTTTATTCAGCTGGCGGCCAAAGAGACGGCTAACGCTCAAAATTCTCTCGGCCCCGAGGAAGGGGCTTGATTAACTTTTATACTTTGGTTTAGGAAGGGGAGGGGAGCTTAAATGCAACAACTCTTCAGAAGTAAAAACATGCAAAAAATTAAAAGGATAAATGGTTACAGAGAAACAAACAATTTAAAAGACAAATGGTTACAAAAAGGCAAGGTACCAGGTGTGGCGCTCTAAATCCTTCATAAGAGTTAGATATGGGCACTACGCCAGACACAAACTCAAGGCTTTATGGTGTTATCTTTTGAGCAAAATCCTGGGAACTTCATACATGGTTTGTTCCCAGTCCCTTATCAGTTAATTGGACTCCTTTGATATGTTGAGAATCTGCTTACACAAGTTAACTCCTTGAGGAAAGGGGGGTGGGTAAGGAGTCCTTAATGTCTTGTAAATCAAGGGGGCCAGGTGGAGCTCGTCTGGCTTTCTCAGCTAAGCGAGAGTCTATTCATGTGGAAACGAGGCTAGGTGATTAAGAGAGCAAAAGGGAGAGTCTAAAAACAGGATTAGTGAAAACAAGGTTGGGCATTACAACACAAGGAACAAAATAATGCTTAGCATCAAGAGGAAAAAGATATAGGAGCAAACGTTATGGAACCAGTTTAGAGGGAGCAAGGAAGACAAAAGGCATCTTGGTCTGGGCCAGTTGGTGGGCAATTGGCCTGCAGTCTTACAAGGAAGAGTCTTTGAGGTGGCAGAGCCTTAGGCAGCAGATGCTGAGTTTTGAGCTGCTGAAGGCCTAATCTTTTACAGTTACAGAATACTCTGGTGAGAACTGATAGTGGAAGAGTTTCCTTGTTTGTGACCTTACCTGGTTAGATGTAGTCTTTATTTTTTATTTTGTTTTGTTTTCTTGAGACGGAGTTTCGCTCTTGTTGCCCAGGCAGGAGTACAATGGTGTGATCTCGGCTCACTGCAATCTCTGCCTCCCGGGTTCAAGCGATTCTCCTGCCTCAGCCTCCCAGTAGCTGGGATTACAGGCATGCGCCACCACACCCGGCTAATTTTTTGTATGTTTAGTAGAGACGGGGTTTCTCCATGTTGGTCAGGCTGGTCTCAAACTCCCGACTTCAACTGATCCGCCCGCCTCAGCCTCCCAACTTGCTAGGATTACAGGCATAAGCCACCACACTCAGCCTATTTTATTTATTTATTTATTTTACTGAGACAGCGTCTCAGTCTGTCACCCAGCCTGGAGTGCAGTGGTGTGATCTCAGCTCACTGCAACCTCCGCCTCCCGGGTTCAAGAGATTCTCTTGTTTCAGCCTCCCGAGTAGCTGGGATTACAGGCACCCGCCACCAC
This sequence comes from Homo sapiens, assembly GCF_000001405.40. NCBI lineage: Eukaryota > Metazoa > Chordata > Mammalia > Primates > Hominidae > Homo > Homo sapiens. The sequence goes on along the minus strand of NC_000019.10, from coordinate 57,886,740 downwards.
ACCTGGCTAATTTTTTGTATTTTTAGTAGAGATGGGGTTTCGCCATGTTGCCTAGGCTGCTTTTGAACTCCCAAGCTCAGGCAATCCGCTCGCCTCGGCCTCCGAAAGTGCTGGGATTATAGGCGTGAACCACCGTGCCTGGCCGTCTTTTTTTTTTGTTTATTAAACAAAGCATCTTACCCTTGATGGCAGAGTGCCCTGTGAAATACAAATTGTCTTTTTCTAAGATGGAGTTAGTTATGTCAAGTGTGCTCTATACAAAGGACAGGATCAAAATCTGGATTTTAAAGGTTTTCCGAAGGCCAATCAAAGGAAGAACAGAGTGGAGAGAAGTGATGAGCACCGTGGGGCCCTGGGAGGTTGAATCTTTGTTGTAGATCACATAGGTGGCAGAGATGACATTTTACATTGAGGCATGCAGGTCAGACAAGCAGTCTGAGGTCACCTGACTCCAGGGCCAAGGAGGGGTACCTGGAGGTCTGAGCTTATCACATCCTATCAGGGACACATTCCTGTAATGTCTGCCTCTCCTCCAAGCACTTAGAAGCATTTTAGGAACTCAGATAAGGAAGTGGAGAGTGTTCCATTCCCTCACTGGTACTGACCCCGACCTATATGTTCTCTAGCTTGTGGTGTTGTGGGACTCTTTATTTTTTATTTTTAAAAATATTTTCTTTTTTAAATTTTAAATTTTTGTGGGTATATAATAGGTGTATGTATTTATGAGTTACAGGAGTTATTTTGTTTTTTTGTTTTTTTTTTTTTGAGAAGGAGTCTCACTCTGTCATCCAGACTGGAGTGCAGTGGCGTGATCACAGCTCACCACAACCTCCGCCTACAGGAGATATTTTGATACAGGCAAGCAGTGGGTAATAATCATACTAGGGTTAATGTATCCGTCACCTCAAGCATTATCCTTTGTGTTTCAAACAATCCAATTATACTCTTTTTGTTATTTAAAAATGTACAATTAGGTTGTTTTTACTGTAGTCACCCTGTTGTGCTACTAAATACTAGATCTTATTCTCTTTTTCTAGGTCTTATTCTCTTTTTCTAGATCTTATTCTCTTTTTCTAGATCTTATTCTTTGTTTTTTGTTTTTTTTTTTTTTGAGACACAGTCTTACTCTGTTGTCCAGGCTGTAGTGCAGTGGTGCAATCTCGGCTCACTGCAACCTCTGCTGCCCAGATTCACGCGATTCTCCTGCCTCAGCCTCTGGAGTAGCTGGGATTACATGTGCCTGCCATTGCGGCTGGCTAATTTTTGTAGTTTATAGTAGAGATGGGGTTTCACCATCTTGGCCAGGCTGGTTTTGAACTCCTGACCTCATGATCCACCCACCTCAGCCTCCCGAAGTGCTGAGATTACAGGTGTGAGCCACCACCGCGCCCTCACATTTTCTTTTCTTTTTTTTTTTTTGAGACGGAGTCCTTCTCTGTTGCCCAGGCTGGAGTGCAGTGGTGCGATCATGGCTCACTGCAACCTCCGCCTCCTGGGTTCAAGCGATTCTCATGTCTCAGCCTCCCAAGTAGCTGAGACTAAACACGTGTGCCACCACACCTGGGTAATTTTTTGTATTTTTAGTAGAGATTGGGATTTCACTGTGTTAGCCAGGATGGTCTCCATCTCCTGACCTCCTGATCCACCGGCCTCGTCCTCCCAAAGTGCTGGGATTACAGGTGTGAGCCACTGCGTCCGGCCTACATTTTCTTTATCCATTTATCTGTTGATGACCACTTAGGTCACTTCCAAGTCTTAGCTGCTGTGAACAGTGCTGCAGCAAACATGGGAGTGCAGATATCTCTGTGATATACTGGATTCCTTTTGGTTTATACCCAGCAGTGGGATTGCTGGATTATATGCTAGCTTAATGTTTAGTTTTTTAAGGAACCCCCAAACTGTTCTCCATAGTGGTTGTACTAATTTCCATTCCCACCAACAGTGTACGAGAGGTCCTTTTTCTTCACATCCTCACCAGCATTTGTTATTGCCTGTCTTTTGGATATAAATAAGCCATTTTAATGGGGTGAGATGATGTGCATTCTCTTATGACCAGTGATGTTGAGCACCTTTTCCTATACCTGTTTGCCATTTGTATGTCATTGTCTTTTGTTTGTATTTTTGAGACAGGATCTTGCTCTGTCACCCAGGCTGGAATGCTGTAGTGTGATGATGGCTCACTGCAGCTTCGACCACCTGGGCTCAGGCTATCCTGCTACCTCAGTCTCCCAAGTGGCAGGGACCACCACAGGCATGTGCCACCTTGCCTTGGCTAGCTTTTAAACTTTTTTGTAGAGATGGGGGTCTCACTGGTTAAACAGGGTGGTTATAAACTCCTAGGCTCAAGTGGTCTTTCTGCCTCAGTCTCCCAAACTGCTATGATTATAGCTGGGAGGCACTGCTCCTGACTGTATGTCTTCTTTTGAGAAATGTCTATTGAGATTTTTAAATGGGATTATTAAGGGTTTTTCCTATAGAGTTGTTTGAACTCTATATATTCTGGTAATTAATCCCTTTGCAGATGGGTAGTTTGCAGATATTTTCTCCCATTCTGTGGGTTATCTCTTCACTTTGTTGATTGTTTTCTTTGCTGTACAGAAGCTTTTTAACTTGATCTGATGCCATTAGTCCAATTTTGCTTTGGTTGCCTGTGCTTGAAAGGTATTACTCAAGAAGTCTTTGTCGGCCAGGCTCGGTGACTCACGCCTATAATCCCAGCACTTTGGGAGGCCAAGGCGGGCAGATCACCTGAGGTCAGGAGTTTGAGACCAGCCTGGGCAACATGGGGAAACCCCATCTCTACTAAAAATACAAAAATTAGCTGGGTGTGGTGGTACATGCCTGTAATCACAGCTACTCGGAAGCTGAGGCAGGAGAATCACTTGAACCTGGGAGGTGGAGGTTGCAGTGAGCCGAGATTGTGCCATTGCGCTCCAGCCTGGGCAACAGAGTGAGACTTCATCTCAAAAAAAAAAATAAAGAAATCTTTGCCCACTTCAGTCTTTTTTGGTAGTAGTTTCATAGTTTTAGGTTTTAGATTTAAGTCTTTTTTAATCCATTTTGATTTTTTTTTTTTTTTTGAGACAGGGTCTCTCTCTGTCACCCAGGCTGCAGTGCAGTGGTGCGATCTCAGCTCAGTGCAGCCTCCGCCTCCCAGGTTCAAGCGATTCTCCTGCCTCAGCCTCCCGAGTAGGTGGGACTACAGGTGTGCACTACCACATCCGGCTAATTTTTGTATTTTTAGTAGAAACGGGGTTCCACTATATTGGCCAGAATAGTCTCGATCTCTTGACCTCATGATCCATCCGCCTTGGCCTCCCAAAGTGCTGGGATTACAGGCATGAGCCATCATGCCTGGCCAGTTCTATTTTTTTTTTTTTTTTGAGATGGAGTCTCGCTGTCGCCCAGGCTAGAGTGCAGTGGCGTGATCTCAGCTCACTGTAGGCTCTGCCCCCCTGGGGTTCATGCCATTCTCCTGCCTCAGCCTCCCGTGTAGCTGGGACTACAGGTGCCCGCCACCTCACCTGGCTAATTTTTTGTATTTTTAGTACAGATGGGGTTTCACCCCATTAGCCAGGATGGTCTCGATCTCCTGAATTTGTGATCTGCCCGCCTCGGCCTCCCAAAGTGCTGGGATTACAGGTGTGAGCCACCACACCCGGCCAGTTCTGTTTAATTATTTTAATTTCTTTGCCAAATTTATCTGATAGAATTCTGAATTCTTTCTCCGTGTTTGTCTTGAGAAATTCCTCAAAATAGCTATCTTGAATTATCTGTCTGAAAGGTCATGTATCTCTGTTTCTCCAGGATTCGTCTTTGGTGCTTTATTTAGTTTGTTTGGTGAGGTCACGTTTTCCTGGATGGTGTTGATGCTTGTAGATGTTCATCAGTGTCTGGGCATTAAACAGTTAGGTGTTTATTGTGGTCTTCACAGTCTGGGCTCATTTGTACCTGTCCTTCTTAGGAAGAGTTTCCAGGTATTTGAAAGGACCCGGGTGTTGTGATCTAAGCTGAATCTACTTCAGCGGGAACCCCACACTCAGTAATGCTGTGACTCTTGCAGACTCAGAGAGCTATACCACCTTTGTGGTCTTGAATAAGATCTGAAATATTTCCCTTGATTAACATAACAGGTAGAGACTCTTGTTGGGTCTTCCCTCACTTTGTCCCAGCATGTCTCTGTCAGTGCTGAAGTGCCTGAAACTGGGGGTTGGGACAGAAGCACCCCTTTAGCTACCACCACTGGGACTGTGCTGGGTGAGAGCTGAAGCCAGCACAGCACTGGGTTTCACCCAAGGCTCCTGTGACCACTACATGGCTATCGCCTGTGTTCCCTCAAGGCCCTAGCCCGGTACAGTCAGCAGGTGGCAAAGCCAGACAGGCTTATGTCCTTCTCCTTAGGACGGTGAGTTCCCCAGGCCTCAGGTTGGTATACAGATGCCATCCATGAGCCAGGGATTGGAGTAAAAATCCTTAGAAATCTACCTGGTGTTCCTTTGCACTGCAGCTGAGCTGGCACTCAAACTACAAGCTAGAGCCCTTCCCACTCTTCCATCCCCTTTCCACAGGCAGAGCAGCCTCACTCTGTGGCCACCACCAGCACGGGCCCACAGGGAGTGCTGTCAGACTACCACTGAGGTTCCATTAAGGGCTAAGAGCTCTTCAGTCAGCTTGTGGTGAATGTTGCCTGGTCTGAGGCTGACTCTTCAAGACTCACCCAGGGCAGGTCCAGCAATGTCATCCACGAGCCAAGGCCTGGAATCAGGGACCCCAAGAGGCTTCTTGGTGCTCTATCCCTCTGTGGTTGAGCTGGCAGCTGAGGTGCAAGACAAGGTCCCCTTTACTTTTTCCTCTGTTATTCTCAAGCAGGTGGGGTCTCTGACCGTAACCACCACAGCTAGCAGTGTGCTGTGTTACATCTGAAGCTGGCATGTCTCAGAGTCTCACCCAGTGCCATCGCATACTACCTGGGTACTGCTGCTAGTTATTCAGGGTCCAAGGGTTGTTTAGTCAGAAGGTGATGGGTCCTCCCATGACTGAATTCTTCCCTTCAAGGCAGCAGGTTCTGTTTTGGTCCAGAGTGTGTCTAGAAATATTATCTGGGTGGGCCTGGAATGGGTCCTCACAACCCTGCCCAGTGCCCTATCCTGTGGCTGAGGTGACATCCAAAATGCAAGACAAAGTTCTTTTTGCTGTTCCCTCTCCTCTCCTCGAGTGGAAGGAAGGAGCCACGTAGCCTGGGGTTGCATGAGGGGTGGCACAAGCACACCCTTAGCTACCTCAACTGGTGTCTCAGTAGGTTGTGCTCCCCCAACCCAACCAGGTCCCCTGGCTCGGAGCCCAGCTCAGCACAGGACATGCCTAGGGGTTGCAGTCCTTGTGGCCTCGACCGCCTTTCAAGTTTATTTAGGACTTCAGAGCCCTCCAGCCCACAGTGGCAAGGCTTGCCAGATCTCAAGTCCTGACCATTGGGGTGGGCGATTCCCCTCTGGCTGGGCTGGTCGCTATGCTTACTCCCTGGGTAGGCGTCCGTTGAGTTCAGCCCAGTTTTGCTTTCTGCTATGACAGGGAAGCACTGAGTTCTGTGCAACGTCTGACAGTCACTGCGCTTTCCCTTCCCAGGAGCACAGATTCTCCACAACAGGCAGGCACTGCTGGGGGATGGGGAGGAGTGGCATTGGCAACTCAAGACTCTACAGCCCCTTTTAGTGCCATTTCCAGTAATACAAAATTAAATCCAGGTACTGTGAGTGCTCATTTGATTTTTGGTTCTTACAAAGGTGATTTTTTTCTGTGTTGACAGTGTTTAAATTTGGTGTTCTGGGCCGGGTGTGGTGGCTCACGCCTGTAATCCCAGCACTTTGGGAGGCTGAGGCAGGCGGATCAACTGAAGTCAGGAATTTGAGACCAGCCTGGCCAACATGGCAAAACCGTGTCTCTACTAAAAATACAAAAATTAGTCGAGTGTGGTGGCAGGTGCCTGTAATCCCAGCTACTTGGGAGGCTGAGGCAGGGAGAATTAGGGAGAATTGCTTGAACCCCGGAGGCAGAGGTTGCAGTGAGCCAAGGTAGCACTACTGGACTCCAGCCCTGGTGACAGAGCGAGACTCTCTCTTAAAAAAAAAAAGAAAAAAAAAAGGTGTTCTGTTAAGGGTATGATGGGTGCAGCTTTCTATTCCGCCATCCTGCTCTGTTGCACCTCTCGAGCTCAGTCCTTTCAACCGGAAACACTAGAGAAACCCTAAACCCTAGGCCCTAAGTCCATAACGCAGGTGGTATGGAGGTATTCCCATTTCAGTGAAACTGTGTAAACACTTAGAAGGTCAGCCTTGGATTTGGTAGCAGTATGTGAAATGCTCAGAGATAAAACTGATCAGAGTGGGGAGGTGATGTTACTTCTCTGCCTGGCTCCACATTGGAGAAAGGAACATGGGGTTAAGGGAGGAGGAAGGAAGACAGCGTTGAGGCTCATTCTGTCATCCAGGTGAGGTTTAATGGATGATTGTTGGCCAAGGAGATGTCGCTAGAATTGTGATTTACATTTGGTAAAGGAGCAGCTAGATTTTCTAATGCGGTCGGTAAGGACATGCAAGAGGGTTTCAGGTATGACGCTGGGGGTTTTTTGTTTTTGCTTTTTTTTTTTTTTAGGTGGAGTCTTGTTCTGTCACCAGGCTGGAGTGCAGTAGCATGATCTCTGCTCACTGCAACCTCTGCCTCCCAGGTTCAAGCAATTCTCCTGCCTCAGCCTCCTGAGTAGCTGGGACCACAGGAGGCACACGGCATCACGCCCGGCTAATTTTTGTAATTTTAGTAGAGACAGAGTTTTTCACCGTATTGGTCAGGCTGGTCTTGAACTCCTGACCTCAGGTGATCCACCCACCTCAGCCTTCCAAAGTGCTGGGATTACAGACTCGAGCCACCGTGCCTGGCAACCCTAGGGTTTTTGGCCTTAGCAGCAGCAGTGATAGAAGCTGTATCAGCTGAGATGAGCAAGTTGGGAGTAGGCATAATATAGTCACTGGGAATATAAGGAGGGTTGTTTTCACCATGCTCAGACCCTGAGATGCTTGTCCACATAGGTCGGGATATCTGGGAAGGAATTGATATTGGAGACATCCAGTATATGATAGCTAATGTGTGGACTAAGGTGCGTTAGCCATGGGTCCCATTTTGGAGGGCACACTTCATAATAAGGTAGTAAATCTTTTAGGGAACCAGAAAGGACTGGTTGGAGGCTGAGGACTAGATGTTTTGCCTGGGTCCCTGGCGGACATTATTGGCATTCATAACCTGTGTTATGCATTCACACAGGAGAGGGAGGTAAGTGACAATGAATGTAGGGTGTATCAGAGGGCATAGCTTGTCGTGGGGCAGACTTCCATGGAGATAATAGAGATGAGATGCAGGCAGAAGTACAGAAGTAATTGAGGGAAAGGTCATCATTGCTGAGGGGCTGGCAAGTGTAGCACAGAAGTGGAATAGGGTCATGGATAGCTGAAGCCACACATGGTTCTGTGTTTCTGTGGAGCCATGCAAGGAGGTCCTCACAGAATTACTTGAGACCACCGCTCCTTTTAGGATCCAATAGAATTGCAGTTCTGTGGTAATATTGGATCGGTTTGAATGGGCCATACACTCTGGATGGTGTCAGCTACGATGTAGTGTAAGGCCAAAAATTAAGGCCCAGTGTGATTTGCCACCTGGATGCCTGGTCATATTGGTATAACCACAAATGGCCTGAGTGCAAGTTTCTTTCCCATTTAACTCTCTTTTTATATATTTTAAATTTTTTTCCCTTGTGTGCATGTGTATGTGTGCGTGTGTGTGTGTGCATGTATGTAGAAAAAGACCTTGCTGTGTTGTCCAGGCTGCTCTTGAACTCCTGGAATCAAGCAGTCCTTACACTTTGGCCTCCCAGAGTGCTGGGATTACAGGTGTGAGACACCATGACTGGCCACTTCACACTCTTAAGTAATATATCTGAACAGGTGCAGCGGCTCACGCCTGTAATCCCGGCACTTTAGTAGGCTGAGGCGGGTGGATCATTTGACATCAGGGGTTTGAAAGCAGCCTGCCCAATATGGTGAAACGCCATCTCTATTAAAAATATAGAAATTAGCTGGGCATGGTGGTACATGCCTGTAATCCCAGCTACTGAGGAGCTGAGGCAGGAGAATTGCTTGAACCCAGGAGGCGGAGGTTGCAGTGAGCCGAGATTGCACCACCCCACTCGAGCCTGGTGACAGAGTGAGACTCCATCACAAAAAAAAAAAAAAAAAGGTAATGTATCCTAGCCTCTGAAGCCTTTCGATCAATGGGACCAGGCAGAGTTCCTGTTATAGTTTGTAGTGAGTTTCAATTCCATTTTTATGTCCAGAGTTATTCAAATAAGTCAATGGCATCCTCCTGAGGGAATCAGGCCATTACACTCTCTTCATCTTACAAAGCTTGCATGCCATGGCCATGGTTGCTCTCTCTTATCCACAATGCAACCCCCATGTGGCTCTCTGTGGTGAGTGGTGTCCCTCTTATCAGGCTGTTAATATATTTGATTTTTTTTTTTTTTTTTTTTTTGAGACAGAGTTTTGCTCTTGTTGCCCAGGCTAGAGTGCAACGGCGCAATCTCGGCTCACTGCAACTTCTGCCTCCTGGGTTCAAGCGATTCTCCTGCCTCAGCCTCCCAAGTAGCTGGGATCACAGGCGCCCGACACCACGCTCAGCTAATTTTTTGTATTTTTAGTAGAGCCGAAGTTGCACATTGTTAACCAGGCTGGTCTGAAACTCCGGACCTCAGGCAATCCACCTGGCTCGGCCTCTGAAATCACTGGGATTACAAATGTGAGCCACCGCGCCTGGCTCAATACAATTGATTTGTAGATTGCTCTTGATGACATGTGTAGAATATCAGATGTAATTTGTTTTACCAACATTATAGCCCTAGGGGTAGATATCAACCCACACTAGTTGAAGAAAAAGGAGGGAATTAAGATACTTTAAGCTGGCTGGGCGCGGTGCCTCATGCCTGTAGTTTTAGCACTTTGGGAGGCCGAGGTGGGAGGATTACGAGGTCAGGAGTTCGAGACCAGCTTGGCCAACATGGTGAAATCCTATCACTACTAAAAATACAAAAATTAGCCAGGTGTGGTGGTACATGCCTGTAATCCCAGCTGCTCGGGAGGCTGAGGCAGGATAATTGCTTGAACCCAGGAGGTGGAGGTTGCAGTGAGCCGAGATCATGCCACTACATTCAGCCTGGTGACAGAGTGAGACTCTGTCTCAAACAAACAAACAAACAAAAAAATATACTTTAAGTTGTTTAAAGGCCAGAGAGAGGCCAGTGGTGTGTGGCAGTCACCTGGGGATGGACATGGAATGTACCTGGAAGTCTAAAGAATGAGGTGTGTTCAGAGAGGGTATCTCTGCTGTGCTGAAGGTGCCACATTGGGCTTTCCATGACCTTGGCCATACTAGGGAAAGTGCCTGTCAGGAGGGGGTGGACTCTTACGTCACAACCACCACACAGATACCTATTTGTTCAACTATTGTTGGTGGCTATACCCCATGACCAGTGGGCCTAGTTTCTCCTATGTTTGAGGACCTTGAGAGGAGGATGTGCGAGAGTAGATGTGTGGGAGAGATGGATTGTGATACCTCAGCATAGGGGCAGTTTGTAGTTTCATCTGTCAACATCATAACAGGGCACAGTGACTTTTGAAGATGTGGCTGTGAACTTTACCTGGGAGGAATGGAATCTCCTTAGTGAGGCTCAGAGATGCCTGTACCGTGATGTGACGCTGGAGAACCTGGCACTTATATCCTCCCTGGGTAAGTTGCTCACACTCACCCTGTGACCTGAGCTAGTCTCTGTTTTCCCCTATCTTTCCCCATTGGTAAGACTTTCTCATGTCAGGAGCATGGACACAGCTTCCTGCTTCAGTTCTGTGGGTAGGTTCTTGGTTGGTAGGTCTGAGGTGTACATACTGCCCTACTCCTTTCTTGGAGCAGCCCCAACACCTGCTTTACTGCAGGCTCCCAGGGAGGGATTCCCAGTCAGAAGCCCACCTTGTTAGTCCTGTGGATGTTTGGGTGTCCTTGTCCAGATTTCAGGTTCCTGTGTACCCACAGTCTACTTCCTTTCTCTAGCTGCTATTTTCTTATGCCTTCCTGTGGCAGGAATTGCCTTCACAGACTACATCACTGCCTATATAGACCAGAGGCTGTTCTTGCAAGACCTTCTTTAGAAATTCTCCTTGAAATACTCAGTTTTTTTCTCTCATGGGCTGTCATGGGCTGAGTTGTTCTGAGACAATGTTGGCTGTTCCCTTGTTCTGTCTTTCCCTTAGTCTGTGCATCATTCATGTCCCATGTATTTGGTCATCATTGTGGTGGGAGGCACAGTCCTCCATTTGATCCAGAAGATGCAAATGAATTCAGCCTCAGCATAATAGGCTCAGAAGGAGTGAGTCCCTAAAGAGTGGCACCCTGGGCTGGGGATGGTGGCTCACTCCTGTAATCCCAGCACTTTGGGAGGCCCTGGCAGGTGGATCATGAGGTCAGGAGTTCAAGACCAGCCTGGCCAAGATGGTGAAACCCTGTCTCTACTAAAATACAAAAAGTAGTCAGGCCTGGTGGTACATGCCTGTAATCCCAGTGACTCGGGAGGCTGAGGCAGAGAATTGCTTGAACCCAGGAGGGGAGGTTGCGGTGAGCCCAGATCGCACCACTGCACTCCAGCCTGGGTGACAGAGCGAGACTCCATCTCAAAAAAAAAAAAAAAAAAAAAAAAAAAAAAAAAAAGCGGCACCCTGGAGGAGGTCATGGAGTCAGGGCTTTATTGAAAGCATACCAACAACCTGTTCTATTTTAGTAGTAGTTTTGTGGCAAGGCAAGTAGGCACACATAATTTGTCTTTTCTTCCTCATTCTTGAGAGCATCACACTTGTCTACCTTATCGCTTCTACTCTTTCTTTTTTAACTTTTGACCCACTTGTACATGAACTTGTACCCTAATGTCCATTCTCCTATCTAATCTTCATATCTCTGGGCCCCAGATCTCATCCATTTACATACGTCACCATCTACAGTGTTCTCTCCAGTGTTGGCATAGAGATTTGTGTTAGCGAATATATATACTTTGTTAAACTCTCCTCGAGTAGCTGCTGTGTTGTGCTTGTGTTTTCCTTGGCCTGGACAAATCCCTCTCTACAGCACTCACATGTCATGAGGACATAAATTCTGCAGATGAGTGGTTTGCAGATGCAGGGATTGTAGACCCTGCCTGTACTCCCTGTTTTACATACATGGTTGTGTCCTTTAACTTATGAGGCCTCCTACATTCTGTGACCGTTATAGTCCAGTAATAATACATAGCACCATCTTCCGCCTGAAGCCAACATCCTGTTCCTCCAAGTAGTTCCTTGGAGTAATTCCTCAGTTTTTCAGATACACTTGTGGGTGGTCTGTGCCTTCCCACCAGAGTTAACATGCACTTCACCAGCATTTTCTTGCTTTCAGGTTGTTGGTGTGGAGTGGAAGATGAGGCGGCACCTTCTAAGCAGAGTATTTATATACAAAGAGAGACTCAGGTCAGGACTCCTATGGCAGGTGTGTCTCCCAAGAAGGCCCACCCCTGTGAGATGTGTGGCCCGATCTTGGGAGACATTTTGCATGTGGCAGATCATCAGGGAACACATCACAAGCAGAAACTGCACAGGTGTGAGGCCTGGGGGAATAAATTGTATGACAGTGGAAACTTTCATCAGCACCAGAATGAGCACATTGGAGAGAAACCCTACAGAGGGAGTGTTGAGGAGGCGTTGTTTGCAAAGAGGTGTAAGTTGCATGTGTCAGGGGAGTCATCTGTCTTCAGTGAGAGTGGGAAGGACTTTTTGCCCAGGTCAGGATTACTCCAGCAGGAGGCCAGTCACACTGGGGAGAAGTCAAACAGCAAAACTGAGTGTGTGTCTCCCATTCAGTGTGGGGGAGCTCACTACAGCTGTGGAGAATCCATGAAACATTTTAGCACCAAACATATACTCAGTCAGCACCAGAGACTGCTCACTAGAGAAGAGTGTTATGTGTGCTGTGAATGTGGGAAGTCCTTTAGCAAATATGCTAGCTTGAGTAATCATCAGAGAGTTCACACTGAAAAAAAACATGAATGTGGAGAATGTGGGAAATCCTTTAGCAAATATGTTAGCTTCAGTAATCATCAGAGAGTTCACACTGAAAAAAAACATGAATGTGGAGAATGTGGGAAATCCTTTAGCAAATATGTTAGCTTCAGTAATCATCAGAGAGTTCACACTGGGAAAAGACCTTATGAATGTGGAGAATGTGGGAAATCGTTTAGCAAATATGCTAGCTTCAGTAATCATCAGAGAGTTCACACTGAAAAAAAACATTATGAATGTGGAGAATGTGGGAAATCCTTTAGCAAATATGTTAGCTTCAGTAATCATCAGAGAGTTCACACTGGGAAAAGACCTTATGAATGTGGAGAATGTGGGAAATCGTTTAGCAAATATGCTAGCTTCAGTAATCATCAGAGAGTTCACACTGACAAAAAACATTATGAATGTGGAGAATGTGGGAAATCCTTTAGTCAAAAGAGCAGCCTCATTCAACATCAGCGATTTCACACTGGAGAAAAACCTTATGGGTGTGAAGAATGTGGGAAATCTTTTAGTTCAGAAGGACATCTTAGGAGCCATCAACGAGTTCACGCCGGAGAAAGACCTTTCAAGTGTGGAGAATGTGTGAAATCTTTCAGTCATAAGCGCAGCCTTGTTCACCATCAGCGAGTTCACAGTGGAGAAAGACCTTATCAGTGTGGAGAATGTGGGAAATCTTTCAGTCAAAAGGGCAACCTCGTTCTACACCAGCGAGTTCACACTGGAGCAAGACCTTATGAGTGTGGAGAATGTGGGAAATCATTTAGTTCAAAAGGACATCTTAGGAACCATCAGCAAATTCACACTGGGGACAGACTTTATGAGTGTGGAGAGTGTGGGAAATCTTTTAGTCATAAAGGCACCCTCATTCTACATCAGCGAGTTCACCCTAGAGAAAGATCTTATGGGTGTGGAGAATGTGGGAAATCTTTTAGTTCAATCGGGCACCTTAGGAGCCATCAGCGCGTTCATACTGGAGAGAGGCCTTATGAGTGTGGAGAATGTGGGAAATCTTTTAGTCATAAGCGCAGCCTTGTTCACCATCAGCGCATGCACACTGGAGAAAGACCTTACAAGTGTGGAGACTGTGGGAAATCTTTTAATGAAAAAGGACACCTTAGGAATCATCAGCGAGTTCACACTACAGAAAGACCTTTTAAGTGTGGGGAATGTGGGAAATGTTTTAGTCACAAGGGTAACCTCATTCTACACCAGCATGGCCATACTGGAGAAAGACCTTATGTATGTAGGGAATGTGGAAAATTATTTAAGAAGAAGTCTCACCTCCTTGTACACCAGAGAATTCACAATGGAGAAAAGCCATATGCTTGTGAAGCTTGTCAGAAATTTTTTAGAAACAAGTACCAACTCATTGCACATCAGAGAGTTCACACTGGAGAAAGGCCTTATGAATGCAATGATTGTGGAAAATCATTTACCCACAGCTCTACATTCTGTGTTCATAAGCGAATTCACACTGGAGAAAAGCCTTATGAGTGCAGTGAATGTGGAAAATCTTTCGCTGAAAGCTCCAGTTTCACAAAACACAAAAGAGTTCACACTGGAGAAAAGCCTTATGAGTGCAGTGAATGTGGAAAATCTTTTGCTGAAAGCTCCAGTCTCACTAAACACAAGAGAGTTCACACTGGAGAAAAGCCTTATAAATGTGAGAAATGTGGGAAATTATTTAACAAGAAGTCTCACCTCCTTGTACACCAGAGTTCACACTGGAGAAAAGCCATATGAGTGTGAGGATTGTCAGAAAGTTTTTAGCAAGAAGGACCACCTCATTGCACACCAGAGAGTTCACACTGGAGAAAGGCCATATGAATGCAGTGATTGTGGGAAGTCATCTACCCACAGCTCTGCATTCTGTGTTCATAAGAGAGTTCACACTGGTCACACCACCTTATGAGTGCAGTGAATGTGGGAAATCCTTTGCTGAAACTTTCAGTCTCATTAAACACAGGAGAGTTCACACTGGAGTAAGGTCTTGTGATTGCAGCAAATGTGGGAAAAAAGTTACCTGAAGGTCTTTTCTCCTTGAATATCAGAGAGTTCACACTAGACAAATAAAATACATTTGGGCAATTTTGTAGCCACACCTCTTTGCTCCTTCAAGATCAGAGTTAACACTGGATCAGGGCCTTACCAGTGTGACATGTGAGATATTTATGTAGAAATCTAGCTTCATAACACACAGGAGACTTCCCACTGCAGAAATGCCTTTTGAATGTAATGAATGCAAGAAAGCCTTCAGCCTTTTTATTGGAGCCTCAAACATTGACATGAGAAAAACACCATAGATGTATATGGAATGTTATTTCTTTTTCAATGTAACCCTTTGAGAGTGCCACCTACCTAGATTGAATGTCATTTATTGAGCATCTGCAAAAGTTCCAAGTGTGTGGCAGCTACAGTGCATTTTTCACTATACCCAGGTACCTTGCTAGATTTTTTTTGAGACAGGTTGTCACTGTGTCGCTCAGGATGGCGTGCAGTGGTGTGTTCACATTTCACTGCACCCTTGATCTGGGCTTAAGTGATTCTGTTGCCTCGGCCTCCTGAGTAGCTGAAACCACAGGCATGCACTACCATGCTCCACTAATTTTTTTAAGTTTTGGAGAGACAGGGTCTCACCATGTTGCCCAGGCTGGTCTTAAACTCCTGGCTCAAGCGATCCTTCCACCTTGGCCTCCAAACATGCTGGGATTACAGGTGTGAGTTACTGTGCCTGGCCTTTTTTTTTTTTTTTTTTAACTTTTAATTTCTGATCGAGTCACAGAAGGATTTGTTGAGTAGCTTCAGCACTTCTTCCTTTGTCATTTTTTTCTGTCTGATAAGTCATGCCATGGACGTTACCCATTTTTATCCCAGAGGCCTCTTACGTTGACTTGAAAAGACGGACTATGTCTTTCAGAGATCTTGTGGGTATCACATCAATCTTGACAAATTTTCTACCCTCCAAGTCATGATCCTAAGAACAGCTTGCCTCCCATTTCTCCGGTTTGTGCTATTATGAAGGCCTTATTGTTTCAGCCTTCTTCAATCTTGAGGGTTGTTGTCACTGTATGGGTGGTTCAGAAATAAGTAGGTCCTGTTACTATGAAGGGGGTCACAGCTTTTGTTGGCATAGCTAAACTTTGTGGCTCATGGAACAGTATGAATGCAGAATGTAGCTTTCTCCACTTGTGGACTGCTTTGCATAGCTGCCAGAGGCCTCCAGAGAAGACCTTCAGGGCTTTGTGGTCTTTATCTGTAGCACGGATACTAAAATTTGTGGGTTCATAGGTCAGCTGGATACAGGGCATTTTTTGTGACAATTTCTGGCATTTTTTGAACAAGACAAAATTCTTTTACGAGGTATATTGCATTGTACTTGGTACGGCTGAGGGAAGTCTGTTGCCCAGCTCTTGCAATGCAGACACATGCCCTGATATCCAGAATTCTGTAGGATAACATCACAGATTGTAATGCTATCAGGTGAAATTATAATTTTATAGAATTACTTTATTTATAGGCAGTGGAGGAGACAGAATAATGTAACTGCAACTCATGTCTTTTTTTTCTTTTTTTTTCTTTTTTTTTGAGGCAGAGCCTCACCCTGTTGCCCAGGCTGGAGTGCAGTGGCATAATCTTGGCTCACGGCAACCTCTGCCTCCCAGGTTCAAACGATTCTCCTGCCTCAGCCTCCTGAGTAGCTGGGACTACAGGCACATGCCACCACACCCAGCTAATTTTTGTATTTTTAGTAGAGATGGGGTTTCACCATGTTGGCCAGGCTGGTCTCGAACTCCTGACCTTGTGATCTGCTGGCCTCAGCCTCCCAAAGTCCTGGGATTACAGGTGAGCCACCACGTGCAGCGTAATGCATGTCTTTTAAAAGGGCATCCACAATGATCCAGTCACTACGTATATGATGAATATGCAGATACAGGAATTATCAGGACTTCCATAATGATGAATATTGTATTGTTGAGGCCATTGTCAGAGGAAATAATCTAAAGGTTTTGTGAATTCCTGTACTCATTCTGGGCTGTTCTCCTCAAGGTCATTCCTGCATTAACAGGAGGAAGATGATAGGGAGAAGGGAGATCTCAGTTCAGTGATGTGGCCTTTGTGACCAGCCAGCCACTTAATCAGGTGGAAATGGCCTTAGTGCCACATCAATATTTGCTACCGTGGAGGCTAGTTTTCCCACTTAGGGCATGAGAAGAATTGGTGTAGTCAGTATAGAGTTGCCAAACCTGTTTTCCAAAAATAATGGTAAATCTATATTTTTCTTTTGAACTGCATTTTTTTAATTATTATTATTATTTATTTTGAGACGGAGTCTTGCTCTGTTGCCCAGGCTGGATGGAGTGCAGTGGCACGATCTCGGCTCACTGCAAGCTCTGCCTCCTGGGTTCACACCATTCTTCTGCCTCAGCCTCCCAAGTAGCTGGGACTACAGGTGCCCGCCACCATACCCAGCTAATTTTTTGTATCTTTACTAGAGATGGGGTTTCACCATGTTAACTAGGATGGTCTCGATCTCCTGACCTCGTGATCCGCCTGCCTTGGCCTCCCAAAGTGCTGGGATTATAGGCATGAGCCACCGTGCCCAACCTTTTTTTTTTTTTTTTGAGACAGAGTCTCACTGTCAGCCAGGCTGGAGTGCAGTGGCATGACCTTGGCTCATTGCAACCTCTACCTCCTAGGTTCAAGCAATTCTCCTGGCTCAGCCTCCCATGTAGGTGGGACTGGAAGCATGTGCCACCATGCCCGGCCAAGTTTTGTATTTTTAGTAGAGACGGAGTTTTGCCATGTTGGCCAGGCTGATCTTGGACTCCTGACCTCAGGTGATATGCCTGCCTCAGCCTCCCAGAGTGGTGGGAATACAGGTGTGAGCCACTGCTGCCAGTCTGAAGTATATTTTAAAGCTGTGATGAGTTATAAATGACATTCAGTAAGCTATGCATATTTAAGCTGTAGCATGTGATAAATCTTGAGTTTCATATAATCCCATGAAACCATTAACATAGTCACAATAATGAACTTAACACCTTTATATTTACTTGGAACCTTTTTATAAAGGCTTTCTTTCTGTTCTCCAGACAACCAATGATTTACTTTGCTGTACAGTAGAGTACTTTCCATTTTCTGGAATGTTAGATGAGTGATGTAATAAAGTGTTTCCTCTTATAATCCCTGGGTGCTCTCTCGTATCATTTTTTTTTTGTTTTTTAATGACCAAAATGTTTTCTTTTTGTCTTTTTTTTTTTTTTTTTTTTGAGATGGAGTCTTGCTCTGTGCCCAGCCTGGAGTGCAGTGGTGCAATCTCAGCTCACTGCAAGCTCCACCTCCCGGGTTCATGCCATTCTCCTGCCTCAGCCTCCCGAGCAGCTGGGACTATAGGCACCCGCCACCACGCCCGGCTAATTTTTTTGTATTTTTAGTAGAGACGAGGTTTCACCGTGTTAGGCAGGATGGTCTCGATCTCCTGACCTCACGATTCGCCTGCCTCGGCCTCCCAAAGTGCTGGGATTATAGGCTAGAGGCACCACACCCAGCCCAAAATGTATGTATTTAATATTCATCACAAGGGCTCCACCAAGGTTTAAATTAAAAGACAAAAGAAAAATAGTACCACAGCTCAAGATACAGAGTTCTACACAGAAATCACGGAAAGGGCAGACCATCTAAGGGAAAATTAAAAAGACAACACAAGGATAGGCTGGGCAGCCTGGGTCAGAGCTCCTGGCTGGTGACCTACTTTGAGTAGCTTTCTTGCAGGTACTTCCTTATTTTTATTTTTATTTTATTTTATTTTTTTTTGAGGCAGAGTTTCACTCTTGTTGCCCAGGCTGGAGTGCAATAGCGAGATCTCGGCTCACTGCAACCTCCACCTCCCAGGTTCAAGTGATTCTCCTGCCTCAGCCTCCCGAGTAGCTGGGATTACAGGCATGCGCCACCACACTTGGCTAATTTTTTTATTTTTTTAAATAGGGATGACATTTCTCCATGTTTGTCAGGCCTTGGACTCTCTACGTCAGGTGATCCATCCACCCACCTCGGCCTCCCAAAGTGCTGGGATTACAGGTGTGAGCCACTGCGCCTGACCCTTGCAGGTACTTCTTAAAGCTATGGGGTTTTCCCAGAGCTTGGTAGCATGTGTGTTCAAAGGGCTATCAATGTTGAGTTGTCCTAGCAGGCACTGGATAGAGAGCAGGATGGTCCTGATATCATACGGGGCAGACCACTTCTCCTTCAGGATGTCCAGGCATATGTTACCCTGGGTGTCCACGTTAGGGTGGTAGCAGGGTGTGAGGAACTTCACTGTGGGTGCATCGTAAAGGTGGGTAGTCATTGAGGAACTCCAGCAAGAGCTTATACCTCAGATCTTCATACACTGTGCCAGCTGCTTCATGGATGGTGTCCATTTGATAAGGCTTTCAGGGTAGGCAGAAATTCTTTTGTCACCAGGCATCATGAGGGTCATCAGCTCCTGCTGTAGCCTTTTGGCTACAGGGCCCCAGGCAGTGCCCCTGCTGGGCTCAGCTCCTTTATGGGCGGTGGCGACACTAACAGTGGCTGGGTCAAAGTTTTGTGAGGCTATCTGGGTGGCACTGGCAGAGAGACAAGAACTCAGAAAATGTGACTGCATCTGTGATCATCATGTTTATTTTTTATTTTTATTTATTTATTTTGAGACGGAGTCTTGCTCTTGTCACCCAGGCTGGAGTGCAGTGCTGTGATCTCGGCTCACCACAACCTCTGCCTCCTGAGTTCAAGCCATCCTCTTGCCTCAGCCTCCCGAGTAGCTGGGATTACAGGCACGTGCCACCACGCCCGGCTAGGTTTTTGCATTTTTAGTAGAGACGGTTTCTTCAAAGTTGATCGGGCTGGTCTCAAACTCCCAACTTCAGGTGATCCACCCACCTTGGCCTCCCAAAGTGCGGGGTTACAGGTGTGAGCCACTGCACCTGGCTGAAAAATAATGCGGTGGCTCTGGCCAACATGGTGAAACCCTGTCTCTACTAAAAATACAAAAATGAGCTGGGCTTAGTGGCACACACCTGTAATCCCAGCTACTTGGGAGGCTGAGGCAAGAGAATCACTTGAACCCAGGAGACGGAGGTTGCAGTGAGCCGAGATCACGCCACTGCACTCCAGCCTGGGCGACAAAGTGAGGCTCCATCTCAAAAAAAAAAAAAAAAGGAAATAGTTTTAAGTTCTCCCATCCAAGTAGTAACCAGGCCCGACCCTGCTTAGCTTCCGAGATCAGACGAGATCAGGCGCGTTCAGGGTGGTATGGCCATAGACGGAAATAGTTTTAAGTTCTCAATCAACTTCAACTGAATGGTTAGTGGTCAGTTTTGTAATCACAATGACATTCTTGCAAACAAATACAATGTGTGGCATCTCTCTTTGATATACTGGATAGTTAAAAATTGTTTTAAAGTTTTGCCTAATATTTTGCGATTTATCTCAATGTAATCTGTATAAGTAGTAAAATTATAGATGACTCCTTTCCTTTTTTTTTTTTTTAAGACAAGGATCTAGCTCTGTTGCCTAGGCTGGAGGGCAATGGCATGATCACAGCTTACTGCAACCTCTGCTCCTGCATTCAAGCGATTCTCATGCCTCAGCCTCCCGAACATCTGGGATTACAGGTGCATGATACCACATCCGGCTAATTTTTGGATTTTTAGTAGAGACTGTTTCACGGTATTGGCCTGACTGGTCTCGAACTCCTGTCCTCAAGTGACCCACCTGTCTTGGCCTCCCAAAGTGGGATTACAGGCATGAACCACTGCACCCAGCCTAAATGACTACCTTTTATGTTGCACATTTTAAGTAACTTTTGTCATTTCCATCTTGGGTTGTTGCTTTTTTGTTTTTTGAGACAGAATCTCGCTCTGTCGCCCAGGCTGGAGTGCAGTGGCCTGATCTTGGCTCACTGCAAACTCCGCCTCCTGGGTTCATGCCATTCTCCTGCCTCAGCCTCCTGAGTAGCTGGGACAACAGGTGCGTGCCACCACACCTGGCTAACTTTCGGT
Organism: Homo sapiens; assembly: GCF_000001405.40. Taxonomy (NCBI): domain Eukaryota; kingdom Metazoa; phylum Chordata; class Mammalia; order Primates; family Hominidae; genus Homo; species Homo sapiens. Next base: position 57,866,525 of record NC_000019.10, on the reverse strand, counting down.
ATTTTTAGTAGAGATGGGGTTTCACTGTGTTAGCCAGGATGGTCTCGATCTCCTGACCTTGTGATCCGCCCACCTCATCCTCTCAAAGTGCTGGGATTACAGGTGTGAGTCACTGTGCCCGGCCGTGTTGTCACTTTTAATGTGCTTTGGTTTTAATTTTCTGTAGAAAAGTAAAACAAATTTTTCCCTTTAAATTTAATCCTTGCTTTTAATGACTTGTGCACCCCAATTTACTAAGAAAATAAACCATTTAAAAAATAATCTTGAGTTGGGCATAGTAGTTTATTCCTGTAATCCCAACACATTGGGAGGCAGAGGCAGGCTGTTGACTTGAGCCGAGGAGATTGAGACCAGCCTGGGCAACATGGCAAAACCCTGTGTCCACAAAAAATGCAAAAATTAGCCAGGCAGGGTGCCTGTCTGTAGTCCCAGCTACCCAGCAGGCTGAGGTGGCACGATCACTTGAACCCTGGGGGTGGTCAAGGCTGCAGTGAGCCATGATCATGCTACTGCATTCCAGCCTGGGCAGCAGAGCAAGATTCTCTCCAAAAATAACATAAAAAGTATGTGTGTGTGTGTGTATATGTACACACATATATACGTATATATGTGTGTACATATACACACACACACACATATATGTATATATATAAAAAATGCCTTTATGTGTAGGCTTGATTTAATTTTCAATTTTATGTGAAGCATAAATTGAGCAGTTTTTCTATCTCAATTTTTAATCTATTTTAACATTGTATTACATTATCTATTATTTTCTCTCCAAATTGATAAGCAATGTACACCCCTCAGACATGGACTGTGATTTCTTTTTTTTTTTTTTGAGACAGAGTCTTGCTCTGTTGCCCATGCTGTAGTGCAGTGCCACGATCTTAACTCACTGCAACCTCTGCCTGCCAGGTTCAAGCAATTCTATGCCTCAGCCTCCTGAGTAGCTGGGATTACAGGTGCTAATTTTTGCATTTTTAGTAAAGACATGGTTTAACCATGTTGGTCAGGCTGGTCTGGAACTCCTGACCTCGTGATCCACCCACCTCGGCCTCCTGAAGTGCTGGGATTACAGGCATGAGCCACCACACCCAGCCAGGAAAGTTCCTTATAGATTCTTTCTAGCTATTGAAAAGAGAATTATAATCATCTAAAGAGGATTAATTCAACACTTAGGGAAAGTAGAGGTTAGCAAGAGGAAGTTACTTCTCTTAGAGTATGTGATTCAAAGGAAAAAATGTGCCACATCAAATATACATGGACTGGCTAAACATTTCTAGGTACATGTAGATTTATAAGCCACTGTAAGATTCAACACAATGAGGAAATTACTGGTGTAATAAAAATAAACATTAGATTGATGAAACACAGTAAAATAATTTCAAACAGGAAAGAGGTATGAATCTTTTGTACAAAAAAAGTTTGACATATATTTAATTCACATACAAGCAGGAAGATTAACTTCATAAGAGAATTAACAAAAGTTGTATTAATTCAAGACAAGAGACTGCAGAGACTAAAATTGCTTAGTACTGAAACTTTTGCTTATATAAACTGTAGTTTATGGAGAAAATAAAGAATTTTTTTGTTTTTTTTGAGGCAGGATCTCACTCTATTCCCCAGGCTAGAGTGCGATGGCACCATCTCGGCTGATTGCAACCTCCATTTTCCAGGAAGGCTCTTTAATTCCCCCTGATTACAAAGGTTTTGTGTGAACATAATTTGGTGTAATAAAAAAAAATTTACACCACAAGAGACAAACATACTCTTCAGTGTGTGTGGTCATAATTTGTTTGAACGAGCCCTTTTAAACTTCTAGATATCATTGAAACTCCTATGTTGATTAAAAATCATCAAAGATCTTTCCAGTGAGAAGGATGAAGATATTACTGAGAATGAAGTATCACTATTTCATGTATGTGCCTGTATGTGCTTATATAACATGCTGTAATACAAGGTGACATTTAGGGGCTGAGACTGTTAACATCTGACTGTACCTTGCTATTTGTAACTTACAATCTTATTCACATTTCTCAAGTGCCATGCCTTTAGGTGCCTATACATCATGCTATCATAGGATTTCTAGGGATAAGCCGAGTGCGGTGGCAGATGCCTGTAATCCCAGCACTTTAGGAGGCCGAGGGGGGTGGATCATGAGGTCAGGAGTTTGAGACCAGCCTGGCTAACGTAGTGAAAGCCCATCTCTACTAAAAATACAAAAATTAGCTGGGCGTGGTGGAGGGAACCTATAGGCCCAGCTACTCGGGAGGCTGAGGCAAGAGAATCACTTGAACCTGGGAGGCGGAGGTTGCAGTGAGCCGAGACCATGCCATTGCACTTCAGCCTGGGTGACAGAGTGAGACTCTGTCTCAAAAAAAAAAAAAAAAAAAAAAATTTAGGGATAATATCTAAGCCCATATAACATGCTGTTATAAAGTTATAAAGTATAACATTTATGGATTGAGTTTTTTTTTTTTTTTTGAGATGATGTGTCTCTCTGTCACCAGGTTGGAGTGCACTGGTGTGATATTGGCTCAGTGCACCTTCCACCTCCCAGGTTCAACCGATTTTCTGGCCTCAGCCTCCCGAGTAGCTGGGACTACAGGCACCCGCCACCATGCCCGACTAATTTTTGTATTTTTAGTAGAGACAGGAATTCACAATATTGGCCAGGGTGGTCTTGAACTCCTGACCTTGTGATCCGCCCACCTCAGCCTCCCAAAGTGGTGGGATTACAGGCCTCAGCCACCACACCTGGCCAAGATTCTTCATATAGCTGATTATCTTGCCATTTCTAACTTACAATCTTTTATCCACATTTCTTAACTTTCTTTTGTTACACTAAACGGGACAGGAAGTCTTAACTCTTGTATCCACCAAGCATGTTAGGAAAATAACAGAGATTCCATTAGCAAATTAAGCTCCCCAAAAAACACAAATACATATCTAAAAAATGTTGCAAAGACAAGAAGTGGCCAGGGCGTGTTGGCTCACGCCTATAATCCCAGCACTTTGGGAGGCTAAGGCGGGCGGATCACGAGGTCTGGAGATCGAGACCATCCTGGCAAATACAGTAAAACCCCGTCTCTACTAAAGAAAAGAATACAGGCCAGGTGCAGTGGCTCACGCCTGTAATTCCAGCACTTTGGGAGGCCGAGGTGGGTGGATCACGAGGTCAGGAGTTTGAGACCAGCCTGACCAACATGGTGAAACCTGGTCTCTGCTAAAAATACAAAAATTAGCTGGGTGTGGTGGCACGCACCTGTAATCCCAGCTAAAGAGGTGGCTGAGGCAAGGAGAAGTGCTTGAATCCAGGAGGTAGAAGTTGCAGTGAGCTGAGATTGCGACACGGCACTCCAACCTGGGCAAGAGAGCAAGACTCTGTCTCAAGAAACAAAACAAAAAAATTAAGCTGACGTGGTGGGCGCTTGTGGTCCCAGCTACTCAGGAGGCTGAGGCAAGAGAATGGCGTGAACCCGGGAGGTGGAGTTGCAGTGAGCCGAGATCGTGCCACTGCACTCCAGCCTGGGTGAAAGAGTGAGACTTCTCAAAAAAAACACAAAGTGTCCACTCAATAACTTTGCTTGAAACTGTCTTCATGTTCTTCACTTCACAAATATAAAGCTGTTACAGTGGACTTTGTGAGGTTCCATGTTTTTGGTCAGCCATAAGAGGAAGAATAATTCAGAGTGAGAGGAAACAGATTCTAGGCAGCCCTCAGGGAAGTTGAGGAGGTGGCACCCTGCCTCCGGGTCCCTCAGAATGTCCCATCTCCCTGTCAGTATCAGTGTCCCAGATAATCTTCTTCTGATTGGGACATTTCCCTGGGAACAGTGGTTACTTGCCAAATTCACATTTACGGCCAAAACTGTGGCTGCAGTGTCGACATTCATGCAAGTGGGGAAATGGGCATGTGACCCCTGAAAAAAGATTCTGGATTCCATAATCTCACCTTGCTGAGAAGAAACTGCCATTTCAGCAGAAAGTGCAATGACAGTTTCTGCACAGGGACTGGAGATTATCTCTAGAAAAGAGCTTGGAGTGAGGAAATTAGTTAATGTGGATGAATGACGTTACCCATGGAGAATGAAGTAAGTAGCTAGAAGACAAAAGCCTCAGAACACATAAATCTCAATGGGTATTGAGTAGAGGACTCAGAGCTCTGAGATAATTGGAGCTCATGGCTATCCTAGAACTTGGATAACATAAAGTTCTTGTTTCTACAAAGTGTGTATCCTTTCCATATGTGAGAACTGTGAGGAAGTACAAACTTGGAACAAAAGAAATAGTAAGGTAATCTTAGAAAGATGTTGAAAAGAAAGCTATGGTGGCATCTTAACTGTTTCACTGCCTGGCAATCTATATGTATTGTCACTTTGGGACGCTTATGATTCCACATGAAGTGGATAACCAGCTCATAGTTCTTGTGGTACTGAAAACCAAGTATTCAGCCAGGTACAGTGGCTGACACCTGTAATCCCAGCACTTTGGGAGGCCGAGGCAGGTGGATCACTTGAGCTCAGAAGGTAGAGAGCAGCCTGGGTAACATGGTGAAACCCCATCTCTACTAAAATAAATAAATAAAATTAGCCAGGTATAATGGCACATGCCTGTAGTCCCAGCTACTCAGGAGGCTGAGGCAGAATCGCTTGAACACAGGAGGTGGAGGTTGCAGTGGGCCGAGATCATGCCACTTCACTGTAGCTTAGGAGACAGAGCTAGACTCCATCTGGAAAAAAAAAAAAAAAAGAAAACCAAATATTCCTTGCAGCAAAGTGACATCACTGAAGAATGAATGAAGTCCAACATACGTCTTTGTTATTTCATTATTTTTAAATATATTAATGAAATGGGAAATAGATAAAATTCATTTTAAAAAACAAGCCTACAGGTGAGGCCAGGCAGGGTGCCTCACCCCTGTAGACCAAGCACTTTTGGAGCCTAGGCAAGTGGATCGCCTGAGCCCAGGAGTTCGCGATCAGACTGGGCAAAAAGGTAAAACCCTCTCTACAGAAAATACAAAAGTTATCCAGTTGTGGTGGTGCATACCTGTATTTCCAGCTACTCTGGAGGCTGAGGTGGGCAGAGTGCTTGAGCCCAGGAAGCAGAGGTTGCAATGAGCTGAGATTGTGCCACGGTACTCTAGCCTGGGAGACAGAGCGAGACTTTGTCTCAAAACAAAAAAAATGCAAAACATAAACCACTGACTCAAAAGTTATAACCACTTATTAAAATAATAAACAATTTCAAATACTAACCATACTCCCTCTTGGTAAGATAGAACAGAAATTCTTGGACACTGATGGTAGATAGATATACAAATGAGCAATAATTTCATTCTTAAGTCATAGTTTGGCATTGCTTAAAAAGTTGTACATTAGGCCAAGCACAGTAGGTCACACCTGAGAAGCTGAGGCAGGCAGATCACTTGAGGTCAGTTCATAACAAGCCTGGCCAGCATGGTGAAACCCCATTGCTAATAGAAATAAAAAAAAAAGTTATCCAGGCATGGTGGTGCACACCGGTAATCCCTGCTACTCGGGAGGCTGAGGCAGAAGAATCAGTTGAACTTGGGAGGCAGAGGTTGCAGTGAGCCGAAATCATGCCACCTAACTCCCGCCTGGGTGACAGAGTGAGACTCTGTCTCAAAAAAGAGTTGTACTTTAATCTATCACGTGACTCAGGCACTGCACACCACCATATTACCATAGTGAAACATACCTACATGAACAACTGCATTCAAATATAGCAGTTTCATTTATAACAGACAAAAACAAGAAGCATGTCATTCTTTTTTCTTTTTGTAGAGAGGAGGTCTGGCTATGTTGCCCAGGCTGATCTCTAACTCCTGGCCTCCAATGAACCACCTTGTCCTCCCAAAGCATCAGGTTTACAAGCATGAGCCACCATGCCTGGTTCAGCATGTCATATTCTAAGCAATACGAAAAGAATGAAGGCCAGGTGCAGAGGCTCATGCCTGTAATTTCAGCACTTTGGGAGTCAAGGTGGGTGGATCACTTGAGGTCAGGAGTTTGAGACCAGCCTGGCCAACATGGTAAAACCCCATCTCCACTAAAAACACAAAAATTAGCTGGGCGTGGTGGTGTGTACTCATAATCCCAGCTACTCAGGAGGCTGAGGTAGGAGGATTGCATGAACCCAGGAGGCCCAAGTTGCAGCGAGCCAAGACTGCACCACTGCACTCCAGCCTGGGTGACAGAACAAGACTCCATCTCAACACGAAGTCGCTTAAGACCGAGGACAGCAGACATTCTGATGTTTTCCACATTGACAGCACTCATAAGGCCTTTCTCCAGTATGAACTCTCCTGTGTTTAACGAGACGGGATGCTTCAGCAAACGATTTCCCATATTCACTGCACTCATAAGGCCTTTCTCCTGTGTGAACTCTGATGATGAAGGAGGGTAGAGCTTCGCTGAAATGTTTTTCCACATTTGGTGCATTCATAAGGCCTTTCTCCAGTGTGAATTCTCCTGTGTTTAATGAGACTGGAACATTCAGAAAAGGATTTTCCACATTCACTGCACTTATAAGGCTTTTGTCCAGAATGAACTCTTTTATGAACATGAAGCGCAGAGCTGGAAAGAAATGATTTCCCACATTCACTGCATTCATACGGCCTTTCTCCAGTGTGAATCCTCTGATGTATAGTCACGCTGTGCTTATTGCCAAATAATTTCCCACATACCTCACACGCATATGGCCTTTCTCCAGTGTGAACTCTCTCATGAACCAGAAGATGATACTTCCTGTTAAATAATTTCCCACATTCCCTACAATTGTAAGGTCTTTCCCCAGTGTGAAGTCTCTGGTGTTCAGTGAGGTGGGATCTGTACCTAAATGATTTCCCACATTCCTTGCACTCATAGGGCCTTTCTCCAGTATGACCTCGCTGATGGTGAACGAGGTTGCCCTTTTGACCAAAAGATTTCCCACATTCTCCACACTTGTAAGGCCTTTCTCCAGTGTGAACACGCTGATGGTTAATAAAGCAGAACTTCTGACGAAAAGATTTCCCACATTCCCCACAGTGATAAGCTCTCTCTCCAGTGTGACCTTGCTGATGTTGAATGAGGTTACCCTTTTGACCAAAAGATTTCCCACATTCTCTACACTCATAAGGCCCTTCTCCAGTGTGAACAAGCTGATGGCTAATAAGGCTGCCCTTCTGACTAAAAGATTTCCCGCACTCCTCACAGGGATAAGCTGTCTGTCCAGTGTGGACTCGCTGATGTTGAATAAGGCTGCTCTTTCGACTATAAGATTTCCCACACTCTCCACAATCATAAGGTCCTTTTGCAGTGTGATCTCGCTGATGATTACTGAAGCTGACATATCTGCTAAAGGATTTTCCACAATCACTGCACACATAACATCCATCTCTAGTGAAAAGTTTCTGGTGTGGAATAACTGAGTGTTTGGTGCTGAAGGCTTTTGTGCGTTTTCCACAACTGTAATTAGTTTTTCCCTCCTGAAAGGGTGGGCCATGCATAGTTTCACTGTCTGTCTTCTCTACAGCAGCTTCTTCTTGGCACAATCCTGAACTGGGCAGAACGTCCTTCCCAAACTCGCGGAAGACAAATGGCTCCTGTGACACCCTGAGCTTACGTTTCTTTACAAACGATGCTTCTCTGACACTCTTTCTGTAGAATTTCTCTCCAATATGCTGCTTCTGGTGCTGATGAAGGTATGCAGTGTCATCCAAGTTTTTTCCACATGCTCCACTCCTGTTCAGCTTCTGCTTGTGATGAGTTTCCTGGTGGTCAGCAAAGTGAAAAACATCCTCCAAGATGAGGCCACACATTTCACAGGGGTGAGCCTTCTTAGGAGAAACACCTGCCCTAGGAGTCCTGCTCTGAGACTCTCTTTGTACAGAAATTCTCTGCTTACAAGGTGCCTCCTCATCTTTTGATCCACACCAACAACCTGAAAGCAAGAAAATGCTGGTCAAGTGCAAAGTACCTCCGGCGGGAAGGCACAGCCCACCCACAAGTACGTCTCACAAATTGAGGAATTAATCTATAGAAATATTTGCAGGAACACAATGTTGGCTTCAAGTTGAAGATGGGGCTGCTGGCTGGGCATGGTGGCTCACACCTGTAATCCCAGCACTTTGGGAGGCTGAGGCGGGTGGATCACCTGAGGTCAGAAGTTCAAGACCAGCATGAACAACATGGTGAAACCCCATCTCTACTAAAAATACAAAAATTAGCTGGATGTGGTTGTGGACACCTGTAATCCCAGCTACTCGGGAGGCTAAAGCAGGAGAATCATTTGAACCCAGAAGGCAGAGGTTTGTAGTGAGCAGTGATTACGCCACTGCACCCCAGCCTGGACAACAGAGTGAGACTCAATCACAAAAAAAAAAAAAAAAAAAAAGATGGGGCTTCTTAGAATTCCTGGGCTATAAAGGTCACAGAATCCAGGAGGCTTCATGATGTAAAGAGCACAAGCATATATGCAACACAGGGAGTAGAGGCAGGGTCTACAGCTCCTTCCTCTACAAACAAGTTGTGTACAGGACCTTATCTCCTGATGACATGTGAGTGCTATATAGAAGAATATGGGCCGGGCACGGTGGCTCACTCCTGTAATCCCAGCACTTTGCAAGGCCGAGGCGGGCAGATCACCTGACGTCAGGAGTTCGAGACCAGCCTGGCTAATATAGTGAAACCCTGTATCTACTAAAAATACAAAAAGTCAGTCAGGCATGGTGGCATGTGCCTGTAATCCCAGCTACTTGGGAGGCTGAGGCAGGAGAATCGCTTGAACCCAGGAGGCAGAGGTTACACTGAGCCGAGATCATACCATTGCACTCCAGCTTGGGCAACAAGAGCAAAACTCTCTCTCAAAAATATACATATACACACACACATATATATATATACACATACACACATATATATACATCTATATATATATAGAAACATGTGAAGACCAAGAAAACATGAGTACAACACAGCAGGGGTGGTCATAGATGGTTTAACCATGGGCATACACTTCCTAATACGTAATCAATACACCAATATCAGAGACAACTGCAGATGAAAGCAAAAGAAAAATGGGTGAGATGTGGAGTCCAGAAATGTGAGTATTAGTGCTGGGGTGGATATCACTGCAGAAATGAAAAGGTACAGAACTAACACATGTGAAACTCTCAACAATGGGGAGAAAAAGACAAATAGTGTGTGCCTACTCATATTGCCCCAAAAATACTTGGCAAATGTAAATGGTTTCTGGTATGATTTGGATAAACCCCTGAAGTCATGCCCTCCCCCAGCATGGCACTCCTGAGGGACAGGCTCCCTTTGAGCCTATCGTGATGAGCCTGAATTGAACCACATCTTGTCAAACATGGAGGACTCTCCATCTCACACCCAGTACATAGGACCCGACGATGTAACTATGAAAGGAGAGATAGCAGAGATGAACAGCCAACACTAGCTCAGGACAACTAAGCACCTGACAGCCCACAGGAGAGTAAGGTAAGTATTACAAAAGAATTCCTAAGCAGGGTCTTGCAAGAAGAGTCTATGGTCTATGGTCTATGTAGGTAGTGACAATGTCAATGAAGGCAATTCTTGGCACAGGGAGGCACAAAGCATTGTCAGATAGAGGAAGGAAGTGTTAATAGAACCTGGGCACACAAGAGCTACCGATTTGGACAGTCACCTGACAGCCAGAGGCAGGCAAAGTGGATACATTAAGGTGCCTATAAGACTCCTGACTCTGACTCCTTCCCTGGGAGCCTGGAGCAAAGCAGGTGTTGGAGCTGCTTAAGGAGAGGAAAAGGTGGCTGGGCGTGGTGGCTCACGCCTATAATCCCAGCACTTTGGGAGGCCAAGGCAGGTGGATCACGAGGTCAGGAGATCAAGACCATCCTGGCTAACACGGTGAAACCTCGTCTCTACTAAAAAACAAAAAAAATTAGCCAGGCGTGGTGGTAGTCGCCTGTAGTCCCAGCTACTTGAGAGGCTGAGGCAGGAGAACGGCATGAACCCGGGAGGTGGAGCTTGCAGTGAGCCGAGATGGCGCCGCTGTACTCCAGCCTGGGTGACAGAGCGAGACACTGTCTCAGAAAAAAAAAAAAAACAGGAGAGGAAAAGGCAATACACACACCTTACTCCTACGAACCACACAACTTACACAGAGAAGTGCAGAAGGAACCTGTGTCCAGGCTCCTTAGGTGAGAAAGACAGTCCTGTCAATGAAAAACAGGGGAACAGTAACACTAGCTCAGGTCACAAAGGTGAGCGTGAGCAACTTACCCAGCGAGGATATGAGAGCCAGGTTCTCTAGCATCACATCACGGTACAAGCACCTCTGAGCCTCACTAAGAAGACACCACTCCTCCTGGGAAAAGTTCACAGCCACATCTTCAAAGGTCACAGTGCCCTGCTATGATAGTGACAGATGAAACCACAAGCAGCCCCTCTGCTGAGGTACCACAACCCACCTCTCCCACACACCCACCCTTGCCCATCCTCCTCCCAAGGTCCCCAACACGGAGTTGAAACCACATCCACTGGTGCCTTTGTCTCTTCATGGGCCTGCTGGTCAAATGCCATCAGCAACAAGAAGTAGGTGGACAAATAGGTATCCATGCTGAGGTCCTGACATAAAAAGGTCCACTCCCTTCTGGGCTGGGTGCGGTGGCTCACGCCTGTAATCCCAGCACTTTGGGACACTGATTCGGGCAGATCTTGCAGTCAGGGGATAGAGACTATGCTGGTTAACATGGTGAAACCCTGTCTCTACTAAAAATACAAAAAATTAGCCGGGCATGGTGGTGGGCACCTGTAGTCCCAGCTACTCGGGAGGCTGAGGCCGGAGAATGGCGTGAACCCAGGAGGCGGGGTTTGTAGTGAGCCGAGATCACACCACTGCACTCCACCCTGGCCAACAGAGCGAGACACCATCTCAAAAAAAAAAAAAACAAAAAAAGCCCACACCCCCTTCTGAACAGCGATATCCAAGGTCACGTAAAGCCCAAGGCAGCTGCCTGAGTCCATCAGACAACCTCGCTCTCATTAAATATATATCATTCTTTATACTGTACAGACACATGCCCATGGCCACCCCCACCAGAGTTTCCCCAACCTTCAGCCCCTCTCTGGCATCCCCAGAAGTAAAAGTTTATTTTTGGGGGATTTTTTTGAGACATAGTCTAGCTCTGCCACCCAGGCTGGAGTGCAGGAACACAATCATGGCTCACTGCAGCCTCCGCCTCCCAGGTTCAAGTGATTCTTGTGCCTCAGCCTCCCAAGTAGCTGGGATTACAGCCATGTACCACTACACTCGGCTAATTTTTTTTTTTTGAGACGGAGTCTTGCTGTGTCCCCCAGGCTGGAGGGCAGTAGCATGATCTCAGCTCAGTGCAAGCTCTGCCTCCCAGGTTCAGGCCATTCTCCTGCCTCAGCCTCCCGAGTAGCTGGGACTACAGGTGCCCACCACCACAGCTGGCTAATTTTTTGTATTTTTTTTTTTTTAGTAGAGACGGGGTTTCACTGTGTTAGCCAGGATGGTCTCGATCTCCATACTTCCTGATCCACCCACCTCAGCATCCCAAAGTGCTGGGATTCCAGGCTTGAGCCACCATGCCTGGCCTGTATTTTTTTTTTTTAGTAGAGACGGGGTTTCACCATGTTGGCCAGGCTGGTCTTGAATTTCTGGTCTCAAGTGATCCACCAGCCTTGGCCTCTGAAAGTGAGGAGATTATAGGGGTGAGCCACCACACCCAGCGCCTACAAATAAAATTATTTCACAAGATGAAGAGGGTATAACGGCCCATGATTCCCTTGGGAATATGCAATGGTTTGTTTCCATAACTCTGCTGGTAGGGATGGAATTGAAACCCACCACAAAATATAACAACCTGGAACCCTGCCTTATCACCTTGATAAAACGGGCTGTTAGGCTAGGATACATTATTCAAGAGAGCAGAGTGGGAATGAGATTTGTACTCACACCTTTTAAGGTTGTCCCACTTTCACAAGATGTCAAAGTGACACATCATATTGGGCCTTCAATTCTGGCCTTATACCAAAATGTGGATAAGCATCCAGACTATGCTTGACAAATACAAATAGCATCCAATATTAACACAGAATTTCCATGGTTTACAATAGCAGTGGTAATCCCAAATCATCCTGTGAACGTCTCCTGGAATGACTCCATAGCCACACAGAACCACATATGGCTTCAGATAGCCATGGCCCTATTTCACTTTTGTGCTGCACCAGCTGAGACCTCAGCTGTAGCAACCCTCCTCTGTCCACCTAATGCCGTTTAAAGCCCAGCCCCTGGATTTGTGAACCAAACCACATCTACTATCACAGATGAGCATATTTTTCACTGCCCATATGCACCAGGCTGAATGAAACTCCCCAGGCACTCCCAAAGTCATCTCAAAATGTTTATGAGTCCAGACAGTGATAAATAGTTACAACTGGCCAGGCACAGTGGCTCACGCCTGCAATTCCAGCACTTTGAGGCCGAGGCAGGCAGATCACCCGGTCAGGAGTTCAAGACTAGCCTGGTCAGCATGGTGAAACCCTGTCTCTACCGAAAATACAAAAATTAGCCTGCTGTGGTGGCAGGTGCCTGTAATACTAGCTACTTGGGAGGCTGAGGCAGGAGAATTGCTTGAACCCAGGAGGTGGAGGTTGCAGTGAGCCGAGATGGCACCATTGCACTCCAGCTTGGGCAACAAGAGCGAAACTCCATCTGAAAAAAAAAAAAAAACAAAAAAGTTACAACTTTGGCACCAACTCAGGCCTAAGTGTCATCTTCCCTGAATTACTCCTGTGCTTCTGCATGCATCTATCTCTTCTCTATTATCTCTTTGGATGTCTATGTCCCCTTCCAAACTCTACTGTATTAAATGTCCTGTTATGATGGTCACTCACACCCTCTCAGGTGTTTAGGAAGCCCAATAACATCAATTGAGGACGTAAGTAAGAGATCCAGTCCTCAGCCTGTAATCACACCTTTCTGCCCCCTGAAAAGATTTACCACCATAATCTGAAGCATGTCCTCCTAAATGGACCCATAACTAATCATAGTTCACTCATTAGCTTTCATATATTGGATGTCTCCAGTATCAACACCCTCCCAGATACCCCATCCAGTATGTCTAGTTATCGATTTGATGCCACCACTTATTGGTCTCTGATTCTTCATATGGCCAAAACAACCCTCTGGATATCCACAGTGAATATTATGTCAATACCAACGTCATCTCAGCTGAAGCAGTGTGCATGGTTACAGCTGCTAAGATCAAAAACCTTGGGCTCATGCCCGATTCCTCTTTCATGCTCCTATCATCCACATTAGAAAATCTAGCTGTCTGCAAGGCATGGTGGCTCGTGCCTATAATCCCAGCACTTGGGGAGGCAGAGGCCAGCGAATCTCCTGAGGTCAGGAGTTTGAGACTAGCCTGGCCAACATGGTGAAACCCCGACTTTACTAAAAATAGAAAAATTAGCCGAGTGTGGTGGTACATGCCTGTAATCCCAGCTACTCAGGAGGCTGAGGCAGGAGAATCACTTGAGCCCAGGAGGTGAAGGTTGCAGTGGGCTGAGATTGTGCCACTAGACTCCAGGCTGGACAAGAGAGTGAAACTCCGTCTCAAAAAAAAAAAAAAAAAAAAAAAAAAAAAAGCCTAGCTGTCTCGGCTGGGCGCATTGGTCCATGCCTATAATCCCAGCACTTTGGGAGGCCGAGATGTGACGATCACTTGAGGTCAGGAGTTCGAGACCAGCCTGGCCAACATGGTAAAACCTCGTCTCTACTAAAAATACAAAAATTAGCTGGGCATGATGGTGGGTGCCTGTAATGCCAGCTACCTTGAATGCTGAGGCAGGAGAATTGCTTGAACCTGGGAGGCAGAGGCTCCAGTGAGCCCAAGATTGCGCCATTGCACTCCAGCCTGGGCAACAAGACTGAAATTCCACGTTAAGAAAAAAAAAAGAAAACCTAGCTGTCTCTTTACAAAAAGTGAATCCTGAATCCAGACCCATGTGATTTACCACTTATCTGATCCATTAACCCTCACCTGGATTATGGCAGGAGCCTTATCTCTGACCTTTCTTCCTCTTCCCTCAACCCACAGTCTATGCAACAAGGTCCAGCCAGATGAAGCCTGTAGCCAGGTAGAACTGTGGTAATATCACCTCCTGACTTTGATCCGTTTTATCTCTAAGCATTTCACAACCTGGTAGCAAATCCTGGGTTAATCTTACAAGGGTGTTTACATTGGTTGACAGAAATGGGAATACCTCCATATAACCTGTCATGGACTTGGTATCCTGGCTTCAGAGATTCTCCAGGGTCCTCGGATCAAAGGACTGAAAAAAATGGCACTTAAGAGTCCCAGGACACCACAAGCTAGAGAACCTGTAGATGGCGTCAGGACCAATGAGGGAATGGAACACCCTCCACTTCCCTGTGTGGGTTCCCTAAGTGCTTCTGCAGCCAGGAGTGCCTGAGGGGAAAGGCAGACATTACAAACATGTCACAGGATTTGATAAGCTCAGGACTCCCTGAACCCTTTCTTGTCCCTGGAACCAGGTAACCCTAAGGCTGGTTGTCTGACCTGCTTTTCTCAGTGCAAAATGTCATCTCTACCATCTATGTGATCTACAAAACGGATTCAACCTCCCAAGGCCCCAAAGTCCTCATCCTCTCTCTCTATGATGTTCTTCCTTTGATTGGCCTTTGGGAAACTTCTTAAAAGCCTGGATTTGGATCATGTCCCTCCTTTCTTCAAAACTCTCCATGGCTTCTAGAATCCTCATGATGAATGCACAGCCCCTGGCCTGCTTGCTCTACCAGGAAGAGCTCCATCTCACACGTTGTTCCTGACAGATGCCTGTGAACCCCAGGTTCCATCCTTCCAGCTCTGTCCATCTGCAGGCCATTGCCTGCACCCCTACCTGTGCCTGTCACTCTCCCCACTGCATCCCACTGGTGTCAGAAACAGGTGAAACCGACTTTGCAAAATTATAACTGACGAAATTATGACAGTGAAAGAAATCAGACCTAACCGACTCCATCTTGCTTCCAACCTTTCAGCCGTCTTTTTTCATTCCTGGGCATAGGCTGAATTAACTTTGGAAAAGAATTCAGTTCATGGTTTCACTCTGAAACAAAATTGATAATAGCCCTTTCCTGAAAAGACCCCTTTCTTGCCTGGGGACCAGCCTGTCTTTGCAGGACTAACAAATTAGCTACAAGAATAGAAATTACGGTTTAGGGGTCATGCAGCTTCTGGCTCCAAGAGTCTGAACCTCCCCAAGTTGCTCCTGAAGATAACCTTACTATTGTAAAACCTAATGTGAGTTTCTGGGGTGCTAGTTGAGTTGGTCTCCCCTGTGTGAGACACCCATGGGAAGCCATGGGCGGCCTCTGAGGAGAAAAGTCTCCTTATTGCCTTCATGTCTTTATGCCCCGAGAGCATAACTCTTCAGCAGCATTCCATGGGTTGCTCAGGGAGATCACACTCCCTTGAAGCAGTGGAGCATAATCAAACATCTTGGCTCCTCCTGAAACCCGCAGCCACCCGTTTCAGTTAAGTTAAAGATCTTAAGTAGTTTAGACACACGCCTTTGTTCAAGGAAATTCACAGAAACGGCCAGTGCTTTACATCTTATGGAATGACTCACGAGTTCTCCTTTACTGATTAATCCTTTTCCTGATCGCTTCCTCCCCCTCCAATCAGCCATAAGAACAAAGAGCTTGTAAACCAATAAACTGGGTGGAGCCCAAGAGCTCTGGGCCGCCAGGAAGCCTCCAATGCTCTGGCCACCTGGACCCGCCTTTTAAATGCGTATTCTGTCTCTTTCTAACTCCTTTGTCTCCGCAGGACTCGGGGTATCTGCTGGGTGGTGTGGGGCTGGTTTCCCCAATATCTAAGATCAGTGCTTGGGGCATTTTGCAGATCCTGCACTGGATGGATCAGCGGACAACACACAGACCGGTAATCTGGGTCAATCAGTTCTGCCATCCCACCCAGAACAGAAAACAGCATGAAAAACTCACTTTAACCCCCTATGAATCCATCTCCAACCAGACTGATCAGCACTCCCCACTTCCCAAGCCCCTACCCGCCAAATTTTGAAAACTCTGATCCCAGAATGCTCAGGGAGACTGATTTGAATAATAAAACTCCTGTCTCCCGAACAGCAGGACGGCTCTGCGTGAATTACTATTTCTCCATCGCAATTCCCCAGTCTTCATAAATCGGCTCTGTCTAGGCAGCTGGCAACGTGAACCCACTGGACGGTTACAAGGAGAGGCCTCCTGTGAGCGCCTCAGTGTTCCTACGCCGGGTACCGGCTACAGACCCACGAGCAGGAGCCGCTCCCTCGCTGGTTTAGGACCTGGGTGACGATGGGGTGACCTGAGGGCACAGAAGGCACCACAATTACCTGAGTTGGGCGCCTCGGCACAGCCGCTGCCATCGGACTACTTGGGGAAGCACGGCCCGGGAGCAGTGGTCGCCGTCACGGGGCTGCAGAGCCGCCTCTGGGCACCGAGGACGATTCCTCTCCACCTTCTAGGTTCAGTCACCGCGGTCCCACCCAGCACTCAGGGGCCACAAACTGGGGAAACACCCGCATCGCCGATACACAGCCGCTACTAGAGACCCCGGAAGTCTCGGCCTTACGTTACGTGCACACGTGGAAATGCCTTCTTTCCGAGTGCTCACTGGCTCTGACCGGCTGTCGTTTAAAGCAGAGCTTTCTGGGTAATGTAGTTCCCCACTTTCCATGACACAACATGGTTACCAGGTTCTGAAATGTTCATGGCTCAGATGCACCTCCAAGCCTTTGTACCTATTGGTTCCTCTACCTGTATTACTCTAGCTGGGGTGAAGCCTGTAATACACAGCATTTACCTGAGCTAGGTCCCTCAGTGTGGCTGCTGCCATCAACTGTGGGTGGAGCAGGCATCACCCCAGCCAGTGCCTATGAGCCTCAGACCTGCCACTTGGGAGCAGAGATGACTACTCCTCTTGTGCCTTCTCAGTCCCAACCCAGTACTCCCTGGCCTGACAAGCATGCCCAGAAATCCCTCATCCTGGGCCTTGCAACTAGCGCCTTCTGGGTAAAGTACTTCCCAGAGCTCTCAGCCAACAATGGTGGTATCCTCCAAGAGCAAACCGAATGCAGACCATGTTACATTCTGAGGGCTGCTGGAAAGCCCTGCTCACACCTCAAAGGAGGAAGATTATTGATTCTTTGTAAAAGCATCAAATAGGTATCACATCAGACTCTAGGAAGCTCATCCTGCACCCAGAGAATAAAAATACTATTTGAGATGCTCCCAAACTTTACTTATCTAAGTGGCCATATCATTGGCATCATTCAGACTTACAATGTGTGCACTCAGAGCTGAGAACATTAAGTATTGATTGCTCTTTAAATTCACGTAGACTGAATCATTACAGTCAGTTTTGCGAGTTTCATTGTTTTGTTGGGAACAAAAGAAAATTCTCCATAAGACATGATGACAGGATGGGTACAAAAAACAGTGAGCAAAAATGAATAAGACCTAATATTTGCTACCATAACAGGGTGGCTATAGTCAAAATAATTTAATTATATATTTAAAAATAACTAAAAGAGTATAACTGGACTGTTTATAATACAGAGGATAAATGTTGAGGTGACTGAGACCCCATTTACCCTATGTGATTATCACATATGGCATGGCTACATCAAAATATCTAATGTAATCTACAAATATATACACTACTATATACCCACAAAAAATAAAAATAAAGGCCAGACATGGTGGCTCACACCTGTAATCCCAGCACTTTGGGAGGCCAAGGCAGGTGGATCACCTGAGGTCGGGAGTTCGAGACCAGCCTGGCCAACATGGAGAAACCGTGTCTCTACTGAAAGTACAAAATTTTCCAGGCATGGTGCTGCATGCCTCCAATTCCAGCTACTCGGGAGGCTGAGGTAGGAGAATTACTTGAACCCTGGAGGTGGAGGTTGCGATGAGTCGAGATCATGCCATTGCACTCCAGCCTGGGCAACAGGAGTGAGACTCTGTCTCAAAAAAAATAAAAAATAAAAAATAAATAAATTGCTGGGTGCAGTGGCTCATGCCTATAATCCCAACACTTTGGGAGGCTGAGTCAGGTGGATCATGAGGTCAGGAGTTCGAGACCAGCCTGACCA
The DNA here is from genome assembly GCF_000001405.40 of Homo sapiens. NCBI lineage: Eukaryota > Metazoa > Chordata > Mammalia > Primates > Hominidae > Homo > Homo sapiens. The sequence goes on along the minus strand of NC_000019.10, from coordinate 57,848,307 downwards.
ATATGGTGAAACCCCATCTCTAATAAAAATAAAAAAATTAGCCGGGCACGGTTGCTCACGCCTGTAATCCCAGCACTTTGGGAGGCCGAGGTGGACAGATCATGAAGTCAGGAGATCAAGACCATCCTGGCTAACACAGCAAAACCCATGTTAAAAAAATTGCTGGGCATGGTGGCAGACACCTGTAGTCCCAGCTACTCGGGAGGCTGAGGCAGGAGAATCGCCTGAACTCTGGAGGCAGAGGTTGCAATGAGCTGAGATCGCATGACTGCACTCCAGCCTGGCGACAGAGCTAGACTCCGTCTCAAAAAAATAAAATAATAATAAAGATCTAATGACAGGGAAATAGACGGATGTTGGTACACCCTGAAGCAGGTAGTGAAGCTGGCAGTTGGCCACTGGTTCCCACAGAAAATTGCTCTAGTGATGCTAGCAAATCCCAAAATTGGGGCTCAATCCAGGAGGGTTCCTGGCTTCATAAAGGAAATAATTCAAGAGCAAGCCAAGAGTGTAAAGTGAAGGCAAAGCAAGTTTATGAGAGCAAGAGAACAGGAAAATGGCTGCTCCACAGACAGAGCAGGGCTACTCCACAGGCAAAGTAGCACCCGTGGATTGTTGGCTAGCTATATTTATAGCTACTCCTTAATTATGTGCTAAATAAGAGGTGGGTTATTCATGAATTTTCTAGAAAAAGAGTGGGGAGTTCCCAGAACCAGGGGTTCCTTCTCTTTTAAACTACATGAGGTAGCTTCTGGGCATTGCCATAGCATTTGTAAACGGCCATGGTGCTGGTGGGAGTGTCTTTTAGCATGCTAATACATTATAATGAGCATATAATGAGCAGTGAGGCAATGAGGGTAACTAGAGTTCATATTCTTGCCATCTTAGTTTTACTGCTTTCAGCTGGTTTCTTTAGTGCATCCTGTTTTGACCAGATCCTGTTTCATCATGAGCAGGGTCATGACCAGTGCTCAGAACACAAGTCCTGCTGATCTATGTCACTATGAGGATCACTATGTCAATATGTTTCTTAATTCATATGCTAAGGTGTACTCAATTTCTTTAATCACATTGACATCTATCTCAAAGGACGAGCAACTTAGCCAATGCCATTGTGGTACACACATCAGTCGCTACAACTTTCACCATTAAAGCACAGGTTAAAAAGGCCATCTGAATAACAATATAAACACGGCATCTGAGCTCCAAAATTTCATCTCCTTACAAGAAAGTGGTTATTATTTTCCAGTGACTGCAGGAATAGTTTCACACTGGGAACTGGGATTATCTCAGAATAAATTTTTTTTTTTCTTTTTTGAAACAGAGTCTCACTCTGTTGCGCAGGCTGGAGTGCAGTGGTGTGATCTCAGCTCACTGTAACCTCTGCCTCCTGGGTTCAAGTGATTCTCCTGCCTCAGCCTCCTGAGTGAGTAGCTGGGATTACAGGCATGCGCCACCATGCCTGGCTAATTTCTGTATTTTTAGTACAGATGGGGATTCACCATGTTGGCCAGCCTGGTCTCAAACTCCTGACCTCAAGTGATCCACCCACCTGCGCTTCCCAAAGTGCTGGGATTATAGGCGTGAGCCATCGTGCCTGGCCTCAGAATCAATTACAGGTGCGGTGGCTCATGGCTCAGGCCTGTAATCTGAGCACTTTTGTAGGCCAATGCAGGCAGATCACTTGAGGCCCAGAGTTTGAGATGAACCCGGTAACACAGTGAAACCCCATCTCTACTAAAAATACAAAAAACAGCTGGGCATGATGGCTTACGCATGTAATCCCAGCTACGTGGGAGGCTGAGGTGGGAGACTCACTTGAACCTGGGAGGTGGAGGTTGCAATGAGCCAAAATCACACCACTGCACTCCAACCTGGTAGAGAGTCTTGAAAAAAAAAAAAAAAAAAAGTATGCAGCAACTAAAATATCCATAAATGGATGGATGAATGAATGAATATACAATGACATTTCACGGCAGACTATACTTCTCAGCAACATAAAACGAATGAACAACTCATATATCTACAATGACATCAAAATAAGCATGATGCAGGAGAGCACCCAGGGATTATAAGAGGAAACACTTTATTACATCAGTCAGAAAATTCCAGAAAATGGAAAGTACTCCATCATACAGCAAAGTAAATCAATGGTTGTTTGAAGAGCAGAGAGAAAAACTTTATAAAGGCTCCAAGTAAATACAAAGGTGATAGATTAGATAAATTCATTATGGTGACTCTGATGATGGTTTCACGGGATTATAATAAAATTCAAGACTTATCCTACAGCTCAAATATGTGTACTTTATTGGATGTCATTTATATCTTTATTTTATTTTTAAGATGGGGTCTCACTCTATCACCCAGGCTGGACTGCAGCGTTGCAATCTTAGCTCACTGCAACTTCTGCCTCCCAGGCTCAAGCAATCCTCCCACATCACTAAGACTAAGGTACATGCCACCATACCTGGCTATTTTTCCTAGAGACAAGGTTTTGCCATGTTCCCCACACTGGTCTCAAGGAATCTGGCCTCCCAAAGTGCTGGGAATACAGGCATGAGCCATGATGCTCAGCCTATACCTTATTACAGCTTTTATAACACGGTTTAAGAGAAAAATACAGATTTGCCATCATTTTTGGTGACAGGTTTGGCAATTTTATGTTGACTTTACCAATTCTTCTCATGCCCTAAGTGGGGAAACTAGCCTCCATAGAAGCAAATATTGATGTAGCAGGAAGGTCATTTCTACCTGATTGAACTGGATCACTGGCTGGTCACAAAGCTACATCACTGAACTGAGATCTTTTTCCCTATTCTGTTCCTCCTGTTAATACAGGAGTTACCTTAAGGTGAGCAGCCCAAAAGGTTACATGAATTCACAAAACCTTTAGATTATTTCCTCTGACCAAAGCTTAGCTACACAACATTCATTATTATGGAAGTCTTGAGAATTTCTGTATCTGCTTATCCATCACAGACACAGTGACTGGATAACTGTGGACACTCCTTTAAAAGACATACATTTCAGCCAAACACAGCGGCCCACACCTGTAGTCCCAGCACTTTGGAAGGCGGAGGTGAGCAGATCACCTGAGCTCAAGAGTTGAATTCAAGACCAGTCTGTGCAACACGGTGAAACCCGTCTCTACTAAAACCACAAAACATTAGTGGTGTGGTGGCATGCACCTGTAATTCTAGCTACTTGGGTGACTGAGGTGGGAGAATCGCTTGAACCCAGAAGGCACAGGTTGCAGTGAGCCGAGATGGTGCAACAGCACTCTAGCCTGGGTGACAGAGTGAGACTGTGTCTCAAAAAAAAAAAAAAGATATATTTCAAAAACTTTATTGCTGTCCCCTCTGCTGACTATAAATGCAGTAACTAAGTAACCATAAAATTATAATTTCATCCTATAGCCTTACAACCTGTGATGTTGCCTTACAGAATTCTGGATATCATGGCACATGTGTGCCTTGTAAGATCTGCTGAACAGAGTTCCCTCAACAGTACCGAGCACAGTGCAATATACCTCATAAGAGAGAATTTTGTCTGGTTCAAAAAAAATCACCAATCTTTCAGTGTGATATTGACACTAAAATAAAAAACCCACCAGAGGTTGTTATAAAAACTGCCCTGTACCCAGCTGACCTATGAACCCACAATCTGTAGTATCCATGCTACAGATGAAGACCACAAAGCCATGAAGTCGTCCACTGGAGGCCTTGGGCAGCTATGCAAATAGGCCACAAGTGAAGAAAGCTATATTCTGCATTCATGCTGTCCCTTGGGCCACGCAGTTTAGCTATGCTGTCCTTCAAGGTAGCAGGACCCAGGCTGGAGTGCAGTGGCATGATCTCAGCTCACTGCAACCTCTACCTCCCGGGGTTCAAGCAATTTTCCTGCCTCAGCCTCCTGAGTAGCTGCGGCTACAGGTGCGCCACCATGCCCGGCTAATTTTTATATTTTTAGAAGAGACAGGATTTCACTATATTGCCCAGGCTGGTCTTGAACTCCTTCCTGTCCTTGTGATCCACCCACCTCGGCCTCCCAAAGTGTTGGGATTACAGGCATGAGCCACCATGCTTAGCCAAAATAGTCCATCTTTTCAAGTCAGCACAAGAGTCCTCTGGGACAAAAATGGGGAAGGTCCATGGTGTAACTTATCAGAAAGAAATGAAAAAGCAAGAAGTGCTGAGGCTACTCAACAAATCCTTCTGTGACCAGATCTGGAATTAAAAATTAAAGAAATAAAAAAGTCCCAGCATGGTGACTTATGCCACGCCTATAATCCCAACATTCTGGGAAGCCAGGCAGAAGGATCACTCGAGACCAGCAGTTTGAGACCAGACTGTGCAACACAGCAAGACCCTGTCTCTACAAAAAATATAAATTTAAAAAATTTTTAAAAAGGCCAGAAGCAGAGGCTCACACTGTAATCCCAGCACTTTGGGAGGCCAAGGCAGGTGGATCACGAGGTTAGGAGTTCAAGATCAGTTTGACCAACATAGTGAAACCCCATCTCTACTAAAAGTACAAAAATTACCTGGGTGTGGTGGCAGGCACCTGTAATCCCAGCTACTCAGGAGGCTGAGAAAGGAGAATTGCTTGAACTCAGGAGGCAGAGGTTGCAATGAACCAGGATCACACCACTGCACTCCAGTATCGGTGACAGTGAAACTTTGTCTCCAAAAAAAAAAAAAAAAAAAACAAAAAAAAACAACCAACCAACCAACCAACCAACCAAACAAAAAACTTAAAAAAAAAATCTCTCGTGAATGGGAGACAACCAAAATATACTTCTAGAATACGAAATAGGTGAATGATGCAATGTGGGTACCTACCAAGTAGCTGAGATGTAATGGCTTTTGCCAGATAAGTGGCAGTCACATAAGTCTAGCAAGATAACAGGGCATAGTAAAAAATATAATACAGATGCCACATGCCTGGAGTTTTTTCAATTTGGGCACATGGTGCCCTCAAAGGATCTCCTCCCATGTTACACAGAAAAACATAATTGGCTGAGCACAGTGACTCAAACCTACAATCTCAGCACTTTGGGAGGCTGAGGTGTACAGATTGCTTGAGCTCAGGAGTTCGATACCAGCCTGGAAACATGGTAAAACCCTATATCTACTAATATGAGAAAATAGCCAGGCATGGTGGTGCATGCCTGTGGACCCAGCTACATGGAGGCTAAGGTGGGAAGATCACTTGAGCCTAGGGGGCGGAGGATGCAGTGAGCTACGATCGCAGCACTGCACACCAGCATGGGTGATGGAGTGAGACCGTCTCTCCAAAAAAAGGAAAAAATAATAACATTCCCTATATATCTAACCTATACATCTACAGTGTTTTTCTCATCTCAGTGTTCTAGGATTCAATGACAGAAGGCACAGTGCTTTTTTGCAAACATTACATTCAAAAGGCATTTCCGTAGTGACAGCTCTCCTGTGAGTTTTGAAGCCAGACTTCTGGATAAATAGCCTATATTTGCCACACTAGTAAGGCCTTCATTCAGTGTTAAATATAATCCTGAAGGAATACAGAGGTGTGGCTACAAAACTGCCAAATTTATTTTACTTGTAAGGACTTTTCTCTGGTGTGAACTCTCCAATGTCCAAGGAGAGCAGACTTCTTTTGGGTAAACATTTTCCACATTTGCTGCAATCACAAGATCTTACTCAGGTGTGTGCTCTCCTGTATTTAATGAGACTGGACTCATTCTCTGCACTCATAAGGCCTTTCTTTCATGAACTCTCTGATGGTAACGAAGTGAAGAGCTTTTCCTAAATTTTTTTTCACATTCACTACACCCATAAGGCTTTTCTCCAGTGTGAACTCTCCTGTGATTAGTGAGACTGGAGATTCCAGCAAAAGATTTCCCACATTCACTGCACTCATAAGGCTTCTGACCAGTGTGAACTCTCCTGTGACTAGTGAGATAGGAGCTTGCAGCAAAAGATTTCCCACATTCACTGCACTCATAAGGCTTCTGACCAGTGTGAACTCTCTTATGAACAATGAATGCACAGCTGTGGGTAAATGACTTCCCACAATCACTGCATTCATATGGCCTTTCTCCAGTGTGAACTCTCTGGTGTGCAGTGAGGTGGCACTTGTGCCTAAAAAATTTCTGACAAGCCTCACAAGCATATGGCTTCTCTCCACTGTGAATTCTCTGGTGTACAAGGAGGTGAGACTTCTTCTTAAATAATTTTCCACATTCCCAACACATATAAGGCCTTTTTCTAGTATGGCCATGCTGGTGTAGAATGAGGTTACCCTTGTGACTAAAACATTTCCCACATTCCCCACACTTATAAGGTCTTTCTGTAGTGTGAACTCGCTGATGACTCCTAAGGTGTCCTTTTTCATTAAAAGATTTCCCACAGTCTCCACACTTGTAAGGTCTTTCTCCAGTGTGCATGCGCTGATGGATCCTAAGGTGCCCCTTTGAAATATAAGATTTCCCACATTCTCCACACTTGTAAGGTCTTACTTCAGTGTGAATGCGCTGATGGTAACTAAGGCTGGGCTTCCGACTAAAAGATTTCTCACATTCTCCACACTTGTAAGGTCTCTCTCCAGTGTGAATGCGCTGATGACTCTTAAGGTTCACGTTTGAACTAAAAGATTTCCCACATTCTCCACACTCATAAGGCCCTTTTCCAGCGTGAACTTTTTGATGGCGCCTAAGATATCCTTCTAAGCTAAAATATTTCCCACATTCTTCACACCCATAAGGTTTTCCTCCAGTGTGAAATTGCTGATGTTGAATGAGGCTGCTCTTTTGACTAAAAGATTTCTCACATTCTCCACATTCATAAGGTCTTTTTCCACTGTGAACTCTCTGATGATTACTGAAGCTAACATATTTGCTAAAGGATTTCCCACATTCACAGCACACATAACATTCTTCTCGAGGGAGAAGTCTCTGGTGCTGACTGAGTATATGTTTGGTGCTAAAATGTTTCATGGAATCTCCATGGCTATAGTGAGCTCCCCCACACTGAAAGGGAGACACACACTCAGTTTTGCTGTTTGACTTCTCCCCAGTGTGACTGGCCTCCTGCTGGAGTAATCCTGACCTGGGCAAAAAGTCCTTCCCACTCTCACTGAAGACAGATGACTCCCCTGACACATGCAACTTACACCTCTTCACAAACAACGCCTCCTCAACACTCCCTCTGTAGGGTTTCTCTCCAATGTGCTCATTCTGGTGCTGATGAAAGTTTCCACTGTCATACAATTTATTCCCCCAGGCCTCACACCTGTGCAGTTTCTGCTTGTGATGTGTTCCCTGATGATCTGCCACATGCAAAATGTCTCCCAAGATCGGGCCACACATCTCACAGGGGTGGGCCTTCTTGGGAGACACACCTGTCACAGGAGTCCTGACCTGAGTCTCTCTTTGTATATAAATACTCTGCTTAGAAGGTGCCGCCTCATCTTCCACTCCACACCAACAACCTGAAAGCAAGAAAATGCTGGTGAAGTGCATGTTAACTCTGGTGGGAAGGCACAGACCACCCACAAGTGTATGTGAAAAACTGAGGAATTACTCCAAGGAACTACTTGGAGGAACAGGATGTTGGCTTCAGATGGAAGATGGTGCTATGTATTATTACTGGACTATAACGGTCACAGAATGTAGGAGGCCTCATAAGTTAAAGGACACAACCATGTATGTAACACAGGGAGTAGAGGCAGGGTCTACAATCCCTGCATCTGCAAACCACTCATCTGCAGAATTTATGTCCTCATGACATGTGAGTGCTGTAGAGAGGGATTTGTCCAGGCCAAGGAAAACACAAGCACAACACAGCAGCTTCTGCTTGAGGACAGTTTGTAACAAAGCGTATATACTTGCTAACACAAATCTCTATGCAAATACTGGAGAACACGCAAATGGTGACATATGTAAAATGGATGAGATTTGGGGTCCAGAGATGTGAAGATTAGATAGGAGAATGGATATTAGGGTACGAGTTCATGTACAAGTAGGTCAAAGCTTAAAAAAAGGAGTAGAAATGATAAGATAGACAAGTGACAAGTGTGATGTTCTCAAGAATGAGGAAGAAAAGACAAATTATGTGTGCCTACTTCTCTTGCCACAAAAATGCTACTAAAGTAGAATAGGTTCCTGGTATGCTTTCAATAAAGCCCTGACTCCATGACCTCCTCCAGGGTGCTGCTTTTTTTTTTTTTTTTTTTTTTTTTTTTTTTTTTTTTGGAGACAGAGTCTCGCTCTGTTGCCCAGGCTGGAGTGCAGTGGCGTGATCTGGGCTCACCACCTCTGCCTCCTGGGTTCAAGCAGTTCTCTGCCTCAGCCTCCTGAGTCGCTGGGACTACAGGCACATGCCATCATGCTCGAGTGATTTTTTTATATTTAGTAGAGACAGGGTTTCACCATCTTGGCCAGGCTGGTCTTGAACTCCTGACCTTATGATCCACCTGCCAGGGCCTCCCAAAGTGCTGGGATTACAGGAGCGAGCCACCATCCCCAGCCCAGGGTGCCACTCTTTAGGGACTCACTCCTTCTGAGCCTATTATGCTGAGGCTGAATTCATTTGCATCTTCTGGATCAAATGGAGGACTGTGCCTCCCACCACAATGATGACCAAATACATGGGACATGAATGATGCACAGACTAAGGGAAAGACAGAACAAGGGAACAGCCAACATTGTCTCAGAACAACTCAGCCCATGAGAGAAAAAAACTGAGTATTTGAAGGAGAATTTCTAAAGAAGATCTTGCAAGAACAGCCTCTGGTCTATATAGGCAGTGATGTAGTCTGTGAAGGCAATTCCTGCCACAGGAAGGCATAAGAAAATAGCAGCTAGAGAAAGGAAGTAGACTGTGGGTACACAGGAACCTGAAATCTGGACAAGGACACCCAAACATCCACAGGACTAACAAGGTGGGCTTCTGACTGGGAATCCCTCCCTGGGAGCCTGCAGTAAAGCAGGTGCTGGGGCTGCTCCAAGAAAGGAGTAGGGCAGTATGTACACCTCAGTCCTACAACCAAGAACCTACCCATAGAACTGAAGCAGGAAGCTGTGTCCATGCTCCTGACATGAGAAAGTCTTGCCAATGGGGAAAGACAGGGGAAAACAGAGACTAGCTCAAGTCACAGGGTGAGTGTGAGCAACTTACCCAGGGAGGACATAAGTGCCAGGTTCTCCAGAGTCACATCACGGTACAGGCATCTCTGAGCCTCACTAAGGAGATTCCATTCCTCCTGGGTAAATTTCACAGCCACGTCTTCAAAAGTCACTGTGCCCTGTTATGATGTTGACAGATGAAACCACAAACCACCCCTATGCTGAGGTATCACAATCCATCTCTCCCACACATCTACTCTCGCACATCCTCCTCTCAAGGTCCTCAAACATAGGAGAAACTAGGCCCACTGGTCATGGGGTACAGCCACCAACAATAGTTAGTTGAACAAATAGGTATCTGTGCAGTGGCTGTGACATAAAGTCCACCCACTCCTGACAGGCACTTTCCCTAGTATGGCCGAGGTCATGGGAAGCCCAATGTGGCACCTTCAGCACAGCAGAGATACCCTCTCTGAACGCACCTCATTCTTTAGACTTCCAGGTACATTCCATGTCCATCCCCAGCTGACTGCCACACACCACTGGCCTCTCTCTGGCCTTTAAACAACTTAAAGTATCTTTTTTTGTTTGTTTGTTTGTTTGAGATGGAGTCTCCCTCTGCTGCCAGGCTGGAGTGCAGTGGCACAATCTCGGCTCACTGCAACCTCTGCCTCCTGGGTTCCAGCAATTCTTCTGCCTCAGCCTCCTAAGTAGCTGGGGCTACAGGCACCCGCCACCACATCTGGCTAATTTTTATATTTTTAGTAGAGACGGGGTTTCATCATGTTGGCCAGGATGGTCTTGATCTCTTAACCTCATGATCCATCTGCCTCGGCCTCCCAAAGTACTGGGATTACAGGCTTGAGCCACTGTGCCCGGCCACAATTTAAAGTATCTTTTTTTTTTTATTTTTTTTTGAGACGGAGTGCAATGACACGATCTAGACTCACTGCAACCTCTGCCTCCTGGGTTCTCCTGAGGATTCTCCTGCCTCAGCCTCCTGAACAGCTGGGATTACAGGTGTGCACCACCACACCTGGCTAATTTATGTATTTTTAGTAGAGATAGGATTTCACCATGTTGGCCAGGCTGGTCTCGAACTCCTGACTTTGTGATCCACCCACCTCAGCTTCCCAAAGTGCTGGGACTACAGGCATGAGGCACTGTGTCCAGCCAACTTAAAGTATCTTAATTTCCTCCTTTGTCTTCTACTAGTGTGGGTTGAAATCTCCCCCTAGGGTTACATTTTTGGTAAAACAAATGACATCTGATATTCTACAGATGTCGTCAAGAGCAGTTTCCAAATCAAATGTATTGAGCCAGGCGTGGTGGCTCGCACCTGTAGTACCAGTGCTTTAGGAGGCTGAGCCGGGTGGATCGCCTGAGGTCAGGAGTTTGAGACCAGCCTGGCCAATATAGTGAAACTGCGTCTCTACTAAAAATACAAAAAAACTAGGCCGGGGGCGTGGCTCATGCCTGTAATCCCAGCACTTTGGGAGGCTGAGACGGGCAGATGACGAGGTCAGGAGATCGAGACCATCCTGCCTAACACGGTGAAACCCCGTCTCTACTAAAAATACAAAAAATTAGCTGGGTGTTGTGGCGGGCACCTGTAGTCCCAGATACTTGGGAGGCTGAGGCAGGAGAATGGCGTGAACCTGGGAGGCGGAGCTTGCAGTGAGCCGAAATAGCACCACTGCACTCCAGCCTGGGCTACAGAGCGAGACTCCATCTCAAACAAAACCAAACCAAAAAAAAAAAACAAAACAAAAAAAAAACTAGCTGAGCGTGGTGGTGGGCACCTGTGATCCCAGCTACTCAGGAGGTTGAGGCAGGAGAATCACTTGAACCAGGGAGGCGAAGGTTGCAGTGAGTCAAGATCGCGCCATTGCACTCCAGCCTGGGCAACAAAAGCAAAATTGTGCCTCAAAAAAAAAAAAGGTATCACATATATTAACAGCCTGATAAGAGGGACACCACTCACCACAAAGAGCCACATGGGGGTTGGATTGTGGATAAAAGAGAGCAACCACGGCCATGGCATGCAAGCTTTGTAAGATGAAGAGAGTGTAATGGCCTGATTCCCTCAGGAGGATGCCATTGACTTATTTGAATAACTCTGGAGATAAAAATGGAATTGAAACTCACTACAAACTATAACAGGAACTCTGCCTGGTCCCATTCATTGATCGAAAGGCTTCAGAGGCTAGGATACATTCCTTTTTTTTTTTTTTTTTTTTTATGACGGAGTCTCACTGTCACCCAGGCTGGAGCGGGGTGGTGCAATCTCAGCTCACTGCAACCTCCGCCTCCTGGGTTCAAGCAATTCTCTTGCCTCAGCTCCTCAGTAGCTGGGATTACATGAGTGTACCACCATGCCTGGTTAATTTTTGTATTTTTAGTAGAGATGGTCTTTCACCATATTGGGCAGGCTGGTTTCAAACTCCTGATGTCAAATGATCCACCCATCTCGGCCTCCTAAAGTGCTAGGATTATAGGCATGAGGCACTGCACCCGTTCAGATATATTACTTAAGAGAGTGAAGTGGCCAGTCATGGTGTCTCACACCTGTAATCCCAGCACTCTGAGAGGTCGAAGTGGAAGCACTGCTTGATCGTAGGAGTTCAAGAACAGCCTGGACGACAAGGCAAGACCATGTTTCTACATACATACACGAGAGAAAAAATTTTAAATATATAAAAAGAGAGTTAAATGGGAAAGAAACTTGCACTCAGCCATTTGTGGTCATACCAATATGACCAGGCATCCAGGTGGCAAATCACACTGGGCCTTAATTTTTGGCCTTACACTACATCGTAGCTGACACCATCCAGAGTGTATGGCCCATTCAAACCGATCCAATATTACCACAGAATTGCAATTCTATTGGATCCTAAAAGGAGCGGTGGTCTCAAGTAATTCTGTGAGGACCTCCTTGCATGGCTCCACAGAAACACAGAACCATGTGTGGCTTCAGCTATCCATGACCCTATTCTACTTCTGTGCTACACTTGCCAGCCCCTCAGCAATGATGACCTTTCCCTCAATTACTTCTGTACTTCTGCCTGCATCTCATCTCTATTATCTCCATGGAAGTCTGCCCCACGACAAGCTATGCCCTCTGATACACCCTACATTCATTGTCACTTACCTCCCTCTCCTGTGTGAATGCATAACACAGGTTATGAATGCCAATAATGTCCGCCAGGGACCCAGGCAAAACATCTAGTCCTCAGCCTCCAATCAGTCCTTTCTGGTTCCCTAAAAGATTTACTACCTTATTATGAAGTGTGCCCTCCAAAATGGGACCCATGGCTAACGCACCTTAGTCCACACATTAGCTATCATATACTGGATGTCTCCAATATCAATTCCTTCCCAGATATCCCGACCTATGTGGACAAGCATCTCAGGGTCTGAGCATGGTGAAAACAACCCTCCTTATATTCCCAGTGACTGTATTATGCCTACTCCCAACTTGCTCATCTCAGCTGATACAGCTTCTATCACTGCTGCTGCTAAGGCCAAAACCCCTAGGGTTGCCAGGCACGGTGGCTCGAGTCTGTAATCCCAGCACTTTGGAAGGCTGAGGTGGGTGGATCACCTGAGGTCAGGAGTTCAAGACCAGCCTGACCAATACGGTGAAAAACTCTGTCTCTACTAAAATTACAAAAATTAGCCGGGCGTGATGCCGTGTGCCTCCTGTGGTCCCAGCTACTCAGGAGGCTGAGGCAGGAGAATTGCTTGAACCTGGGAGGCAGAGGTTGCAGTGAGCAGAGATCATGCTACTGCACTCCAGCCTGGTGACAGAACAAGACTCCACCTAAAAAAAAAAAAAAAGCAAAAACAAAAAACCCCCAGCGTCATACCTGAAACCCTCTTGCATGTCCTTACCGACCGCATTAGAAAATCTAGCTGCTCCTTTACCAAATGTAAATCACAATTCTAGCGACATCTCCTTGGCCAACAATCATCCATTAAACCTCACCTGGATGACAGAATGAGCCTCAACGCTGTCTTCCTTCCTCCTCCCTTAACCCCATGTTCCTTTCTCCAATGTGGAGCCAGGCAGAGAAGTAACATCACCTCCCCACTCTGATCAGTTTTATCTCTGAGCATTTCACATACTGCTACCAAATCCAAGGCTGACCTTCTAAGTGTTTACACAGTTTCACTGAAATGGGAATACCTCCATACCACCTGCGTTATGGACTTAGGGCCTAGGCTTTAGGGTTTCTCTAGTGTTTCCGGTTGAAAGGACTGAGCTCGAGAGGTGCAACAGAGCAGGATGGTGGAATAGAAAGCTGCACCCATCATACCCTTAACAGAACACCTTTTTTTTTTCTTTTTTTTTTTTAAGAGAGAGTCTCGCTCTGTCACCAGGGCTGGAGTCCAGTAGTGCTACCTTGGCTCACTGCAACCTCTGCCTCCGGGGTTCAAGCAATTCTCCCTAATTCTCCCTGCCTCAGCCTCCCAAGTAGCTGGGATTACAGGCACCTGCCACCACACTCGACTAATTTTTGTATTTTTAGTAGAGACACGGTTTTGCCATGTTGGCCAGGCTGGTCTCAAATTCCTGACTTCAGTTGATCCGCCTGCCTCAGCCTCCCAAAGTGCTGGGATTACAGGCGTGAGCCACCACACCCGGCCCAGAACACCAAATTTAAACACTATCAACACAGAAAAAAATCACCTTTGTAAGAACCAAAAATCAAATGAGCACTCACAGTACCTGGATTTAATTTTGTATTACTGGAAATGGCACTAAAAGGGGCTGTAGAGTCTTGAGTTGCCAATGCCACTCCTCCCCATCCCCCAGCAGTGCCTGCCTGTTGTGGAGAATCTGTGCTCCTGGGAAGGGAAAGCGCAGTGACTGTCAGACGTTGCACAGAACTCAGTGCTTCCCTGTCATAGCAGAAAGCAAAACTGGGCTGAACTCAACGGACGCCTACCCAGGGAGTAAGCATAGCGACCAGCCCAGCCAGAGGGGAATCGCCCACCCCAATGGTCAGGACTTGAGATCTGGCAAGCCTTGCCACTGTGGGCTGGAGGGCTCTGAAGTCCTAAATAAACTTGAAAGGCGGTCGAGGCCACAAGGACTGCAACCCCTAGGCATGTGCTGTGCTGAGCTGGGCTCCGAGCCAGGGGACCTGGTTGGGTTGGGGGAGCACAACCTACTGAGACACCAGTTGAGGTAGCTAAGGGTGTGCTTGTGCCACCCCTCATGCAACCCCAGGCTACGTGGCTCCTTCCTTCCACTCGAGGAGAGGAGAGGGAACAGCAAAAAGAACTTTGTCTTGCATTTTGGATGTCACCTCAGCCACAGGATAGGGCACTGGGCAGGGTTGTGAGGACCCATTCCAGGCCCACCCAGATAATATTTCTAGACACACTCTGGACCAAAACAGAACCTGCTGCCTTGAAGGGAAGAATTCAGTCATGGGAGGACCCATCACCTTCTGACTAAACAACCCTTGGACCCTGAATAACTAGCAGCAGTACCCAGGTAGTATGCGATGGCACTGGGTGAGACTCTGAGACATGCCAGCTTCAGATGTAACACAGCACACTGCCAGCTGTGGTGGTTACGGTCAGAGACCCCACCTGCTTGAGAATAACAGAGGAAAAAGTAAAGGGGACCTTGTCTTGCACCTCAGCTGCCAGCTCAACCACAGAGGGATAGAGCACCAAGAAGCCTCTTGGGGTCCCTGATTCCAGGCCTTGGCTCGTGGATGACATTGCTGGACCTGCCCTGGGTGAGTCTTGAAGAGTCAGCCTCAGACCAGGCAACATTCACCACAAGCTGACTGAAGAGCTCTTAGCCCTTAATGGAACCTCAGTGGTAGTCTGACAGCACTCCCTGTGGGCCCGTGCTGGTGGTGGCCACAGAGTGAGGCTGCTCTGCCTGTGGAAAGGGGATGGAAGAGTGGGAAGGGCTCTAGCTTGTAGTTTGAGTGCCAGCTCAGCTGCAGTGCAAAGGAACACCAGGTAGATTTCTAAGGATTTTTACTCCAATCCCTGGCTCATGGATGGCATCTGTATACCAACCTGAGGCCTGGGGAACTCACCGTCCTAAGGAGAAGGACATAAGCCTGTCTGGCTTTGCCACCTGCTGACTGTACAGGGCTAGGGCCTTGAGGGAACACAGGCGATAGCCATGTAGTGGTCACAGGAGCCTTGGGTGAAACCCAGTGCTGTGCTGGCTTCAGCTCTCACCCAGCACAGTCCCAGTGGTGGTAGCTAAAGGGGTGCTTCTGTCCCAACCCCCAGTTTCAGGCACTTCAGCACTGACAGAGACATGCTGGGACAAAGTGAGGGAAGACCCAACAAGAGTCTCTACCTGTTATGTTAATCAAGGGAAATCTTTCAGATCTTATTCAAGACCACAAAGGTGGTACAGCTCTCTGAGTCTGCAAGAGTCACAGCATTACTGAGTGTGGGGTTCCCGCTAAAGTAGATTCAGCTTAGATCACAACACCCGGGTCCTTTCAAATACCTGGAAACTCTTCCTAAGAAGGACAGGTACAAATGAGCCCAGACTGTGAAGACCACAATAAACACCTAACTGTTTAATGCCCAGACACTGACGAATATCTACAAGCATCAACACCATCCAGGAAAACGTGACCTCACCAAACAAACTAAATAAAGCACCAAAGACGAATCCTGGAGAAACAGAGATACGTGACCTTTCAGACAGATAATTCAAGATAGCTATTTTGAGGAAATTCAAAGAAATTCAAGACAAACACGGAGAAAAAATTCAGAATTCTATCAGATAAATTCAGCAAAGAAATTAAAATAATTAAATAGAATTGGCCGGGCACAGTGGCTCACGCCTGTAATCCCAACACTTTGGGAGGCCAAGGCGGGCGGATCACAATGTCAAGAGATTGAGACCATTCTGGCCAACATGGCGGAACCCCGTCTCTACTACAAATGCAAAAATAAGCCGGGCATAGTAGTGCATGCCTGTAGTCCCAGCTACTCGGGAGGCTGAGGCAGGAGAATGGCATGAACCCGGGAGGTGGAGCTTGCAGTGAGCCGAGATCGTGCCACTGCGCTCCAGTCTGGGCGATAGAGCGAGACTCTGTCTCAAAAAAAAACAAAAAGAAAAAGACAATTTGTATTTCACAGGGCACTCTGCTATAAAGGGTAAGATGTTTTGTTTAGTAAACAAATAAAAAAATAAAGACAGCCAGGCACGGTGGCTCACGTCTGTAATCCCAGCACTTTCGGAGGCCGAGGCGAGCGTATTGCCTGAGCTCGGGAGTTCGAAACCAGGCTAGGCAACATGGCGAAACCCCGTCTCTACTAAAAATACAAAAAATTAGCCGGGCATGGTGGCGGGTGTCTGTAATCCCAGCTACTTGGGAGGCTGAAGCAGGAGAATCGCTTGAACCCGGCAGGCGGAGGTTGCAGTGAGCCGAGATCACGCCACTGTACTCCAGGCTGGGTGACAGACTGAGACTCTGTCTCAAAAAAAAAAAAAATAAATAAATAAAATAAGCTGGGCTCGGTGGCTCGCGCCTGTAACCCCAGCACTTTGGGAGGCCGAGGCAGGTGAATCACCTGAGATCAGGTGTTCGAGACCAGCCTGACCTACATGGAGAAACTCCATCTCTACTAAACATACAAAAAATTAGCCAGGTGCAGTGGCGCATGCCTGTAATGACACCTACTCGGGAGGCTGAGGCAGGAGAATCGCTTGAACCCAGGAGGCGGAGATTGCGGTGAGCCGAGATCACGCCATTGCATCCAGCCTGGGCAACAAGAGTGAAACTCCGTCTCAAAAAAATAAAAAATAAAGACTGCATCTAACGAGGTAAGGTCACCAACGAGCACACTGTTCCACTATCAGTTCTCACTAGAGGATTCTGTGATGTAATGCCCAACCTTGTTTTTACTAACCCTGTTTTTAGATTCTCCCTTTCCTTTAATCACCTAGACTTGTTTCCACCTGAATTGACTCTCCCTTACATAAGAGAGCCAGACAGACTCCATCTTGGCTCTTTCACTGGCAGCCCCTTCCTCAAGGACTTAACTTGTGCAAGCTGACTCCCAGCACATCCAAGAATGCAATTAACTGATAAGATACTGTGGCGAGCTATATCCGCAGTTCCCAGGAATTCGTCTGATTGATAACGCCCAAAGCCCCCCATCTATCACCTTCTAATAGTCTTAAAGCCCCTGCACCTGGAACTGTTTACTTTCCTGTAACCATTTATCCTTTTAACTTTTCTTGCCTACTTTACTTCTGTAAAATTGTTTTAACTAGACCCCCCCTCCCCTTTCTAAACCAAAGTATAAAAGAAAATCTAGCCCCTTCTTTGGGGCCGCGAGAACTTTGAGCGTTACCCATCTCTTGGCCGCCGGCTAAATAAACGGATTTTTTTTTAAATAAACGGACTCTTAATTCGTCTCAAAGTGTGGCGTTTTCTCTAACTCGCTCAGGTACAGTGACTATAAAAGATTAGGCCTTCAGCAGCTCAAAAGGGCTGTCCTGACAGTCACTCCTAATAAAAACTCAGCATCTGCTGCCTATGGCTCTGCCACCTTAAAGACTCTTCCTTGCAAGACTACAGGCTTTTGGGTGATGATGAGGTGACCTGAGGGCATGGAAGGCACCACAATTACCTGAGCAGAGAGCCTCAGCGTGGCCACCACCGCCATCGAACCACGTGGTTTAAAGCAGGGTTGGGAGGAGAGGGTGACCAGCCAGGAGATATGGGCATGACGGTCCCTATCCTGGCCCAGGGGTGGGTCACGCTTGGCGCCGTCACAGAGCTCCAGAGTCGCCTCTGTGCAGCAGAGGACAACTGTTCTCCGCCTTCTGGGTTCAGTCACCGCAGTGCCGACCTAGCGCTCAGGAGCCTCTCCGACAAATAAACCCAACACCAATCAAAATGGCCGCCACCAGAGGGCGCCGGAAGTCCGGACCCATTGTCACGTGCACACAGGAAATGCCTTTATTCTGAGCCCCCATGGCTCTTCCACTCTGTCATTCCATGCGGAGTTTTCTGGGTAATGTAGTTCCCTAGGTAACAAGGAGGGTAAAGGGCACAATTCCCAGAGGCGGTTCTGCAGGAAAAGCCCAGCTCCACCTCAGGAGTATCCTTAAGATATGCGCCCTGACTGGTATGGTGGCTAGCTCCTGTAATTCCACCAGTTTGGGAGGCCAAGTCAGAAGGATCATTTGAGGCCAAGAGTTAGAGATTAGCCTGAGCAACAAAGCAAAATCCTGTTTGAAGGGGGCCTGCCCCTCCATACCTATGGGTATCTCTCATCAGGTGGAGACGAGAGACTGAGAAAAGAAATTAGACACAGAGAAAAAGTATAGAGAAAGAATAGTGGGCCCAGGGGACTGGCACATTCAGCATGTGAGGACCTTCACCGGCGCCGGTCTCTGAGTTCCCTCAGTATTTATTGATCATTATTTTTACTCTCTTGGTGAGGGGAGTGTGGCAGGGCAACAGGGTGATGGTGGGGAGAAGGTCAGCAGGGAAACACGTGAGCAAAGGAATCTGTATCATGAATAAGTTCAATGAAAGGTACTGTGCGTGGATGTGCACATAGGCCAGATTTATGTTTCACTTTAAACAAACATCTCAGTGTAGCAAAGAGCAACAGAGCAGTATTGCTGCCAGCATATCTCGCTTCTAGCCACAGGGTAGTTTTCTCCTATTTCAGAATACAACGAATGGGAATGGTTGGCTTTACACCATGACATTCCATTCCCAGGAATGAGCAGGAGACAGAAGCCTTACTCTTATCTCAACTGCAAAGAGGCCTCCCTCTTTCACTCCTCCTCCTCAGCACAGACCCTTTAAGGGTGTCCGGCTGGGGGATGTAAGGTCTTTCCTTTCCCATGAGGCCATATCTCAGGCTGTCTCAGTGGGGGAAACCTTGGACAATACCCAGGCTTTCTCAGGCAGAGGTCCCTGCAGCTTTCCGCAGTGCATTGTGTCCCTGGTTAATAGAGAATGGAGAATGGCGATGACTTTTACCAAGCATACTGCCTGCAAACATATTGTTAACAAGGCACATGCTGCACAGCCCTAAATCCATTAAACCTTGATTCAATACAGTACGTTTCTGTGAGCACAGGGTTGGGGCTAAAGTTACAGATTAACAGCATCTCAAAGCAGAACAATTTTTCTTAATACAGATCAAAATGGAGTTTCTTATGGCTTCCTTTTCTACATAGACACAGTAACAATCTGATTTCTTTTCCCCATATCCTGTCTCTGCAAAAAATAAAAAATATTAGTGGGGTGAGGTCAGGCAGGCCAGTGGTCCCAGCTGCCCCAAGGTTGGGGTTAGGGTTAGGGAGCCTGAAGGAGGGAGAATCGCTTGAGCTCAGGAGTTTGAAGCTGCGGTAAGCCGAGATCGTGCCACTGCACTCCAGCCTGGGCAACAGAGCAAGACCTCTTCTCTAAAAAATAAAAATAAGGGCTGGGTGTGGGTGGCTCACGCCTGTAATCCCAGCACTTTGGGAGGCTGAGGCGGGTGGATCACCTGAGGTCAGGAGTTCAAGTCCAGTCTGGCCAACATGGTGAAACCCCGCCTCTACTAAAAATACAAAAATTAGCTTGGCATGATGGCATATGCATATAATCCCAGCTACTCAGGAGGCTGAGGCAGGAGAATCTCCTGAACCCAGGAGTCAGAGGTTGCGGTGAGCTGAGATTGTGCCACTGCACTCTAGCCTGGGCGACAGAGCAAGACTCTGTATTGGAAAAAAATAAAATTAAATAAATAAATAAATAAAAGATTGCAGATCTTTCTACTGGGCAGAGGATCATCCTGCCTTTCCTTAAAACTCCTATTGAGATTTCTTGCAATTATTAGCTGTAGCTGATTACCCTAGTGTATGGAAAAATATTATTTCAGAGTTAGTGTAGGTGCTCCCAAAGGCTATAGATCTAAATTCACCTATCATTTCAAGTGGTCCTTTGATGCAAAATTCTTCCACTGGAAGCAGAGATTAATGCAAAGGTTAATAACCATTATTGTATTGTTAAAATGAATGTGTAAACACCCAGCGGGTTCATTTTGCCCACTGCCCAGATAGAGCCAATTTATCAGGACAGGAGAATTGTAAAAGAAAGAGTTTGATTCACACAGAGTTGGATGAACAGCAGACTGGAGTCTTATTAATATTACTCAAATCAGTCTTCCTGAAAACTTGGAGACTGGGTTTTTTTGTTGTTGTTTATTTGTTTGTTTGTTTTTTTGAGATGGAGTTTTGCTCCTGTTGCCCAGGCTGGAGTGCAAGGTCATGATCTCGGTTCACTGCAACCTCCACCTCATGAGACTGGGGTTTTTTAAGGATAATTTGGTAGATAGGGGGCCATGAAGTGGGCAGTCCTGATTGGTTGGGTTGGAGATGAAATCGTAGGTATAGCAGGACAAGCTGCAGACTAAACCCCTCAGACACCGAGTTAAAGAAGGAAGGGCTTTATTCAGCTGGGAGCTTCGGCAAGACTCACATCTCCAACAACTGAGCTCCCCAGGTGAGCAATTCTCGTACCTTTTACGGGCTCACAACTCTAAGGGGGTCTGTGTGAGAGGGTCGTGATCGATTGAGCAAGCAGGGGGTACATGACTGGGGGCTGCATGCACTGGTAATTAGAACGGAACAGAACAGGACAGGGATTTTCACAATGCTTTTCTATATAATGTTTGTAATCTGTATAACATTACTGATTAGGTCAGGGGTCGATTTTTCTTTTTTTTGATTTGAGTCTTGCTCTGTCGCCCAGGCTGGAGTGCAGTGGCATGATCTCGGCTCACTGCAAGCTCCACCTCCTGGGTTCACGCCATTCTCCTGCCTCACCCTCCCGAGTAGCTGGGACTACAGGTGCCCGCCACCACGCCCGGCTAATTTTTTGTATTTTTAGTAGAGACAGGGTTTCACCATGTTAGTCAGGATGGTCTCGATCTCCTGACCTCGTGATCCGCCCGCCTCGCCCTCCCAAAGTGCTGGGATTACAGGTGTGAGCCACCGCGCCTGGCCAAAAAAAAAAAAAAAGTCCGGGCCCAGTGGCTCACGCCTGTAACCCCAGCACTCTGGGCAGAGGTGAGGGGATCACGAGGTTAAGAGCTACAGACTATCCTGGCCAACATGGTGAAACCCCGTCTCTACTAAAAATACAAAAATTAGCTGGGCATGAATCCCAGCTACTGGGGAGGCTGAGGCAGGAGAATCGCTTGAATCCGGGAGGCAGAGGTTGCTGTGAGCCAAGATCGTGCCACTGCACTCCAGCCTGGGTGACAAAGAGAGGCTCTGTATCAAAAAATAAATAAATAAATAAATAAATAAAAGCCAAGGGTCTAGCCAGAGCTGTGGAACCGCCGCCAGGTCGCTGTTGGTCCACACCGCCCGTCGCGCTACCCGCCCACCCAGCATCGGCCGCCGCCATGGGAGTGCAGGTGGAAACCATCTCCCCAGGAGAGGAGTGCACCTTCCCGAGGCACGGCCAGACCTGCGTGGTGCACTACACCGGGATGCTTGAAGATGGAAAGAAATTTGATTCCTCCCGGGACAGAAACAAGCCCCTTAATTTTTAGCAGGAGGTGATCCGAGGCTGGGAAGAAAGGGTTGCTTAGATGAGTGTGGGTCAGACAGCCCAACTGACTATATCTCCAGATTCTGCCTACGGTGCCACTGGGCACCCAGGCATCATCCCACCACACGCCACTCTCGTCTTCGATGTGGAGCTCCTAAAACTGGAATGAAGGGAATGGCCTTCTCCCTCAGCTCCCTGTTCTTGGATCTGCCATGGAGGGATCTGGTGCCTCCAGACGCGTGCGCATGAATCCATATGAAGCTTTTCCTGAGGTTCCACTACACTCTGTATAGACATCTGCCCTGACTGAATGTGTTCTGTCACTCAGCTTTGCTTCCGACACCTTCCATTTCCTCTTCCCCCTTCTCCTTGTGTGTGTGTTTACCTAAACTATATGCCATAAACCTCAAGTTACTCATTTTATTTTGTTTTCATTTTGGGGTGAAGATTCAGTTTCAGTCTTTTGCATCTAGGTTTCCAATTAAGTACATGGTCAAGTATCAACAGCACAAGTGATAGATTCACTTTAGAATAGGAATTGGTGTTGGGGGGGTGTTGCAAGAATATTTTAATTTTTTCGATGAAATTTTTATCTATTAGATACTAAACATTCTTTCTGCTGCGCTGCAAAGTCATAGCAGATATGAGGTGCTGTTGAGGGATTAATTATTGTCCAAGTTGAGAGATGTCCTTCAGTTAAATTAAAATCCCTACCTAAAACCAAGGTGGTGATGGGGAGAGCCTTTGCTTCCACCAGTTCCCCCCCTTCCCTCGCTTTAAGCCCCTGCCTTTGAAAGTAGATCATGTTCACTGAGATGCTGGACACTGCAGGTATCTCTCCCTGGGCCAGCAGGGACCTCTGAAGCTTTGTTGCCTGGCTTATTTTTTTTTCCATCCTGTGGTTTTTCTAATGGACTTTCCGGAATTTTGTAATCTCATAACTTTCCAAGCTCCATCATTTCCTAAATCTTAAGAACTTTAACTGACAGTTTAAATTGAAGATGCTGTTTGTAGACTTCACACCCAATGAAAGCCCAGCCATTGCCGGGCACGGTGGCTCACGCCTGTAATCTCAGCACTTTGGGAAGCCAAGGTGGGTGGATCACCTGAGGTTGGGCGTTCGTGACTAGCCTGATCAACATGGAGAAACCTGGTCTCTACTAAAAATACAAAATTAGCCGGGCATGATTGTGCATGCCTGTAATCCCAGCTACTCGGGAGGCTGAGGCAGAATTGCTTGAACTGGGAGGCAGAGGTTGTGGTGGGCCGAGATCGTGCCATTGATTGCACTCCAGCCTGGGCAACAGGAGCGAAACTCCATCTCAAATTAAAAAAAAAAAAAAAAAAAAAGGAAGCCAAGCCATAAAAAGATTCCTCGAATATTCTCTGAAGAAAATGATGCTGGGGGCCGGACACACTGGCTCATGCCTGTAATCCCAGCACTTTGGGAGGCCTAGGCAGGTGGATCACCTGAGGTCAGGAGTTCAAGACCAGCCTGACCAACACGGTGAAACCCTGTCTCTACTAAAAATATTAAAAAGTAGCCAGGTGTGGTGGCAGGCACCTGTAATCCCAGCTACTCCGGAGGCTGAGGCAGGATAATCACTGGAACCCGGGAGGCGGAGGTTGCAGTGAGCTGAGACTTCACCATTGCACTCCAGATGGGGCAATGAGAGCGAAACTCCATCTCACACTTGATCTTAGCCAAAAGGTGGAGAAGCGTTGAACCAAAGCCACTGTGCCCGGGTGGGAAAGTTCTTTATAGATTTATAGTGCTTCTTTATAGATTAGTTCTTGCTAAGTGTTGAAAAGAGAATTGTAATTATCTAAAGAGGATTAATTCATCACTTAGGAAAAGCAGAGGTTAGTAAGAGGAAGTTACTTCTTTTAGAGTATGTGATTCAAAGGAAAAAATGTGATACATCAAATATACATGAACTGGCTAAACATTTCTAGGTACATATCGATTTATAAGCCACTGTAAGATTCAACACAATGAGGAAATTACTGGTGTAATAAAAATAACTGAGAGAGTGAAGGGGTGGCCTGCCCCTCCACACCTGTGGGCATTTCTCATCAGGTGGGATGAGAGGCTGAGAAAAGAAATAAGAGACAGAGACAAAGTATAGAGAAAGAAAAGTGGGCCCAGGGGACCGGGGCTCAGTATACGGAGGAACCCTGATGGCACTGGTCTCTGAGTTCCCTCGGTATTTATTGATCATTATCTCTACCATCTCGGAGAGGGGGATGTGGCAGGACAACAGGGTAATAGAGGCAAGAGGGTCAGCAGGAAAACCTGTGAACAAATGTCTCTGCATCATAAACAAGGTAAAGAAAAAAGTGCTGTGCTTTTGATGTGCAGATA
This sequence comes from Homo sapiens, assembly GCF_000001405.40. Classification (NCBI taxonomy): domain Eukaryota; kingdom Metazoa; phylum Chordata; class Mammalia; order Primates; family Hominidae; genus Homo; species Homo sapiens. The sequence goes on along the minus strand of NC_000019.10, from coordinate 57,824,264 downwards.
CATAAACATCTCAATGCATTAAAGAGCAGTATTGCCTCCAGCATGTCTCACCTCCAGCCCTAAGGCGGTTTTCTCCTATCTCAGTAGATGGAATATACAATTGGGTTTTACACTGAGACATTCTGTTGCCCAGGGATGAGCAGGAGACAGGTGCCTTCCCTTATCTCAACTGCAAAGAGGCCTTCCTCTTTCACTAATCCTCCTCAGCACAGACCCTTTACAGGTGTCAGGCTGGGGGAACAGTAAGATCTTTCCTTTCCCATGAGGCCACATCTCAGGCTGTCTCAGTTGGGGGAGACCTTGGACAATACCCAGGCTTTCTCAGGCAGAGGTCCCTGCGGCCTTCCGCAGTGCATTGTGTCCCTGGGTACCCGAGACTGGAGAATGGCGATGACTTTTACCAAGCATACTGCCTGCAAACACATGTTTACAAAGGCACATCCTGCACAGCCCTAACTCCATTAAACCTTGAGTCAATACAGCACATTTCTGTGAGCACAGGGTTGGGGCTAGGGTTACAGATTAACAGCATCTCAAGGCAGAATAATTTTTCTTAGTACAGGTCAAAATGGAGTTTCTTATGTCTTCCTTTTTCTACATAGACACAGTAACAGTCTGATCTCTCTTTCTTTCCCCCAGAGGAACCCTGCCTCATTGCCTTGATAAAAAGGGTTGTTAGGCTAGGATACATTATTCAAGAGAGCAGAGTGGGAATGAGATGAGATTTGTGCTCACACCTTTTAAGGTTGTCCCACTATCACAAGATGTCAAAGTGACACATCATATTGGGCCTTCAATTCTGGCCTTATACCAAAATGTGGATAAACATCCAGACTATGCTTGACAAATACAAATAGCATCCAATATTAACACAGAATTTCCATGGTTTACAATAGCAGTGGTAATCCCAAATCATCCTGTGAATGTCTCCCGGAATGACTCCATAGCCACACAGAACCACATATGGCTTTAGATATCCATGGCCCTATTCCACTTCTGTGCTGCACCAGCTGAGACCTCAGCTGTAGCAACCCTCCTCTGTCCACCTAATGCCGTTTAAAGCCCAGCCCCTGGATTTGTGAACCAAACCACATCTACTATCACAGATGAGCATATTTTTCACTGCCCATATGCACCAGGCTGAATGAAACTCCCCAGGCACTCCCAAAGTCATCTCAAAACGTTTGTGAGTCCAGACAGTGATAAATAGTTACAACTTTGGCACCAACTCAGGCCTAAGTGTCATCTTCCCTGAATTACTCCTATGCTTCTGCATGCATCTATCTCGTCTATTCTCTCCTCGGATGTCTATGTCCCCTTCCAAACTCTACTGTCTGATACATCCTGCCATGATGGTCACTCACACCCTCTCAGGTGTTTAGGAAGCCCAATAACATCACTCAGGGACGTAAGTAAGAGATCCACTCCTCAGCCTGTAGTCACACCTTCCTGGCCCCTGAAAAGATTTACCACCAAAATCTGAAGCATGTCCTCCTAAATGGACCCATAACTAACTTACTGTAGTTCGCTCATTAGCTTTCATATATTGGATGTCTCCATTATCAACACCCTCCCAGATATCCCATCCTGTATGTCTAGTTATCCATTTGATGCCACCACTTATTGGTCTCTGATTCTTCATATGGCCAAAACAACCCTCTTGCTATCCACAGTGAATATTGTTGTCAATACCAACTTCATGTCAGCAGATGCAGCGTCCATGGTTACAGCTGCAAAGATCAAAAACCTTGGGCTCATGCCCAATTCCTCTTTCATGCTCTTATCACCCACATTAGAAAACCTAGCTGTCGGCCGGGCACGGTGGCTCACACCTGTAATCCCAGCACTTTGGGAGGCTGAGGCGTGCGGATCACCTGAGGTCGGGAGTTCAAGACCAGCCTAACCAACATGGAGAAACCCCATCTCTACTAAAAATACAAAATTAGCCAGGGTGGTGGTGCATGCCTGTAATCCCAGCTACTGGGGAGGCTGAGGCAGGAGAATCACTTGAACCTGGGTGACGGAAGTTGCGGTGAGCTGAGATCACGCCATTGCACTCCAGCCTGGGCAACAAAAGCAAACTCCGTCTCAAAAAAAAAAAAAAAAGAGAGAGAGAGAAAACCTAGCTGTCTGCCAGGTACGGTGTCTCATGCCTGTAATCCCAGCACTTTGGGAGGCCGAGGCAGGTGAATCACCTGAGGTCAGGAGTTCGAGACCAGCCTGGCCGACATGGTGAAACCTCGTCTCTACTAAAAATACAAAAATTAGCCAAGTGTGGTGGTTCATGCCTGGAATCCCAACTGCTCGGAAGGCTGAGGCAAGAGAATCACTTGAACCCGGGAGGCGGAGGTTCCAGTGAGCAGAGATCATGCCATTGCACTCCAGCCTGGGTGACAAGACCGAAACTGCGTCTCAAAAAAAAAGAAAGAAAGAAAGAAAGAAAACCTAGCTGTCTTTTTACAAAAAGTGAATCCTGAATCCAGACCCATGTGATTTACCACATATCTGATCCATTAAGCCTCACCTAGATTATGGCAGGAGCCTTATCTCTGACCTTTCTTCCTCTTCCCTCAACCCACAGTCTATGCAACAAGGTCCAACCAGATGAAGCCTGTAGCCAGGTAGAACTGTGGTAATATCACCTCCTGACTTTGATCCGTTTTATCTCTAAGCATTTCACAACCTGGTAGCAAATCCTGGGTTAATCTTACAAGGGTGTTTACATTGGTTGACAGAAATGGGAATACCTCCATATAACCTGTCATGGACTTGGTATCCTGGCTTCAGAGATTCTCCAGGGTCCTCGGATCAAAGGACTGAAAAAAATGGCACTTAAGAGTCCCAGGACACCACAAGCTAGAGAACCTGTAGATGGCGTCAGGACCAATGAGGGGATTGAACACCCTCCACTTTCCTGTGTGGGTTCCCTAAGTGCTTCTGCAGCCAGGAGTGCCTGAGGGGAGAGGCAGACATTACAAACATGTCACGGGATTTGATAAGCTCAGGCCTCCCTGAACCCTTTCTTGTCCCTGGAGCCAGGTGGCACTCAGGCTGGTTGTCTGACCTGCTTGTCTCAGTGCAAAATGTCATCTCTACCACCTATGTGAGCTACAAAAAGGATTCAACCTCCCAAGGCCCCAAAGTCCTCATCCTCTCTCTCTACAATGTTCTTCCTTTGATTGGCCTTTGGGAAATCTTAAAAGCCTGGATTTGGATCATGTCCCTCCTTTCTTCAAAACTCTCCATGGCTTCTAGTGTCCTCATGATGAATGCACAGCCCTCAGCCTGTGTGCTCTTCCAGGAGTAGCTCTGCCTCAAACTTTGTTCCCGACAGGTGCCTGTGGACCCCAGGTTCCATCCTCCCAGCTGCCTCCATCTCCAGACCATCGCCTAGGCCCCTCCCTGTGCCTGTTGCTCTCCCCACCGCATCGCACTGATGTCAAACACAGGTGAAACCGTCTTTGCAAAATTATAACTGAGGAAATTATGACAGTGAAAGAAATCAGACCTAACCGACTCCATCTTGCTTTTAACCTTTAAGCTGTCCTTGTTCATTCCTGGGCACAGGCTGAATTAACTTAGGGAAGGAATTCAGTTCATGGTTTCACTCTGAAACAAAATTGATAACAGCCCTTTCCTGAAAAGACTCCCTTCTTGCCTGGGGACCAGCCTGCCTTTGCAGGACTAACAGTTTAGCTATAAGATTAGAAATTACCGTTTAGGGGTCATGTAGCTTCTGGCTCCAAGAGTCTGAACCTCGCCAAGTTGCTCCTGAAGATAACATAACAATTGTAAAAGCTAAGATCAGTGCTTGAGGTATTTTGGAGATCCTACACTGGATGGATCAGCTGACAACACACAGACCGGTAATCTGGGTCAATCAGTTCTGCCATCCCACCCACAACAGAAAACAGCATGAAAAACTCACTTCAACCCTCTATAAATCCATCTCCAACCTGACCGTTCAGCACTCCCCACTTCCCAAGCCCCTACCCGCCAAATTAACTTTGAAAACTCTGATCCAGAAATGCTCGGGGAGACTGATTTGAATAATAATAAAACTCCTGTCTCCCGAACAGCCGGCTCTGCGTGAATTACTATTTCTCCTTACAATTCCCCTGTCTTCACAAATCGGCTCTCTCTAGGCAGCTGGCAAGGTGAATCCACTGGACGTTTACACAGGGACCCCTCCTGCCAGCGCCTCAGTGTCCCTACGCCGGGTACCGGCTACAGACCCGTGAGCAGGAGCCTCTCCCTCGCTGGTTTAGGACCTGGGTGACGATGAGGTGACCTGAGGGCACAGAAAACGCCACAATTACCTGAGTAGGGCGCCTCGGCGCAGCCGCAGCCATCGGACTACTTGGGGAAAGCACTGCCCGGGAGCAGCAGGCGCCCTCACCGGGCTGCAGAGCCGCCTCTGTGCACCGAGAACGGTTCCTCTCCACCTTCTGGGTTCATTCACCGCAGTCCCACGTAGCAGTCCGGGGCCACTCACTGGGCAAACACGCGTATCGCAGATCAACGTGGCCGCTACAAGAGGACCCCGGAAGTCTCGGCCCTACATTAGGCGCACACACGGAAATGCTTCTTTCCGAGCCCTCATTGGCTCTGACGGCATTCATTCAACGCAGAGCTTTCTGAGTAATGTAGTTGACCAGGTTTCAAGGCTGTAAAGAGGGCGCTACCCAGAGGTGCATCTGCAGGAAAAGCCCACCGTCATGTCAGGAACTCTCCTTAAAAGCGCGCCCTGAGGCCGGGCGCGGTGGCTCACGCCAGTAATCCCAGCACTTTTGGAGGCTGAGGCGGGCGGATCGCGAGGTCAGGAGATCGAGACCATCCTGGCTAACACGGTGAAACCCCGTGTCTACTAAAAATTCAAAAAAAAAAAGTTAGCTGGGCGTGGTGGCGGGCGCCTATAGTCACAGCTACTCTGGAGGCTGAGGCTGGAGGAGAATGGCGTGAACCTCCTTGCAGTGAGCTGGGATCGCGCCACTGCCCTCCAGCCTGCGCGACAGAGCAAGACTCTGTCTCAAAAAAAAAAAAAAAAAAAAAAAAAAGGCGCCTTTCTAGGGCAGAGGAGGGGTCTCACCTAGCCTTAGAAGCCGTATTGAGATTCCTGGAGACTAGTGTCTGTAACTAATCACTCAAGAATTTGGAAAAATACTACTTCAGATTTCGGGGAGCTCAAGGTAAATAATAGGGAGCTCAAGCTGAAACTATTATTTAGGATTCTCCCAAAGGCTAAAAATCCAAATTACCACACCGTTTGAAACAGTCGTTCAGTCGCAAAATACCTGCACTGGAAGCAGAAGCTGATAAGCGTTGTTGTGTTATAATGTGTCTGAAGGCCCTCAGAAGCCTTAGAGTGCCTAAGGCAAATGAAGGAAGTTAGGGATGTGCTCCCCTACAGCAGGAGTGCAAAGCTGAATCTCTGTGATTCCTACAGAAAACAACTCTCCTGCTGATAGAATCTGTGAAAGGAAAATCTTGTGGCCTCAAAATTACTAAGCTAAAGGGAAAAGTCAATCTGGGAACTGCTCAGGGCAAACTTGCCTCCCATTCTATTCAGTCATTGCTCTCCTCACTGAGATAGGTGCATAGTCTGATTGCCTCCTTTGGAAACACTTATCAGAAACTAAAAAGAATCCAACTATTTGTCTCTCACCTACATGTGACCTGGAAGTCCCCTCCCTGCTTGGAGTTGTCCCCGCCTTTCTGGTCAGAACCGATGTAATTCTTACAAATATTCACTGATGTCTCATGCCCCCCTAAAATGTATTAAACCAGCCGGCGCGGTGGCTCAGGCCTGTAATCCCAGCACTTTGGCAGGCGGAGGTGGGCAGATCATGAGGTCAGGAGATCCAGACCGTCCTGGCTAACAGGGTGAAACCCCGTCTCTGGTAAAAATACAAAAAAAAATTAGCCATCCTGGTGGTGGGCGCCTGTAGTCCCAGCTACTAGAGAGGCTGAGGCAGGAGAATGGCATGAGCCCAGAAGTCGGAGCTTTCAGTGAGCAGAGATCGCGCTACTCCACTCCAGCATGGTCGACAGAGCAAGACTCCGTCTCAAACAAAACAAAACAAAACATACAATCTGTGCCCCAACCACCTTGGGCACGTGCCGTCAGGACTTCCTGAAGCTGTGTCACGGGCATGCATCCTCACCTTTGGCAAAATAAACTTTTTTTTTTTTTTAGATTGAGTCTCCCTCAGTCGCCAGGCTGAAGTGCAGTGGCGAGATCTTGGCTCACTGCAACCTCCGTCTCCCAGGTTCAATCGATTTTCCTGCCTTAGCCTCCCGAGTAACTGGGCCTACAAGCGCGCAGCACCTTGCCCAGCTAATTATTATATTTTTAGTGGTTTCACCTTGTTGGCCAGGATGGTCTCAATCTCTTGACCTCGTGATCCGCCTGCCTCGGCCTCCCAAAATGCTGGGATTACAGGAGTCAGCCACTACGCCTGGCCGGCAAAATAAATTTTTCAAATGAACTGAGACCTGTCTCACATTTGGGGGGTTCACAAATCAATTGTAGCATTCAATTAATTGCACCACACTTTTACCCACTTAGTATCCTTTACTTGATATTCTAACTTATATTCAACTCCTTTTAGGAATTTGAAGTCAGTTTTATATATATAAACAACAATAAAGGATTTGGTAGCTTGATAGTGGTAATAGCTACAGTCCTTAAAGGTAGTGCTCTCCATCTGGTCATACTGGGCATTTGTTAAATCCATGAGTTCATGTCATTGATGGGAAGTGATTATCATTGATTTATCTTAAGAGAGCAGGGAGTGTTCTGCATGAAAAATTAAAATTACATGAGAGAAACAGTTGTAAAATGCAAGATACGAAAGCCTATTAATACTGACTAGATAGGCCAGGCATGGTGGCTCATGCCTGTAATCTCAGCATTTTGGGAGGCCGAGGCGGGTGGATCACCAGGTGAGGAGTTTGAGACCACCCTGGCCAATATGGTGACACCTCGTCTCTACTAAAAGTACAAAATTAGTTGGGCGTGGCGGCACGCACCTGTCATCCCAACTACTCAGGAGGCTGAGGCAGAAGAATCACTTGAACCCAGGAGGCAGAGGTTACAGTGAGCCAAGATTGAGCCGTTGCACTGTAGCCTGGGCGACAGAGCGAGACTCTGTGTGAAAAAAAAAAACAAAAAACACTGACTAGGTAATTATTCAACAGTTCTGACAGAAGTAGTTCTGAGGAAACATCAGTAGATGGTGAAAAAACTTAGGGCCTCAGAGAAATGTTAGCACTGATGTCTAAGAGATGGAATTATGCTCAGCACATAATTGGAATGGTCACTCTGATGGTTTTGGCTTCAAAATGAGATTCTTCTTTTTTTTTTTTTTTTTTTTTTTGAGGTGGAGTCTCACTCTGTCGCTGTATAAAATGGACCAATCAGCAGGATGTGGGTGGGGTCAAATAAGGGAATAAAAGCTGGCCAGCCAGTAGCAGCAACCCGCCCAGGTCCCCTTCCACACTGTGGAAACTTTGTTCTTTCGCTCTTCGCAATAAATCTTGCTGTTGCTCACTCTTTGGGCCCGCACTGCCTTTATGAGCTGTAACACTCACCGCGAAGGTCTGCCACTTCACTCCTGAAGCCAGCGAGACCACGAACCCACCAGAAGGAAGAAACTCTAGACACATCTGAACACCTGAAGGAACAAACTCCAGACATACCATCTTTAAGAACTTTAACACTGCCCGTGAGGGTCTGCGGCTTCATTCTTGAAGTCAGCGAGACCAAGAACCCACCGGAAGGAACCAATTCTGGACACAATACCTTTCAAACAAGGGACCTGTCCAGGCTTCCTTCTGATGACCAACCCACCTCTAATGCTGGCCAGTCTATTTCACACAAAGTTCTAAGTTTTCCTGGTGTCATAGTAACACTGTAATCTCCCTTAAATCCTTTCTTGAAATGTTTCAACATAGTTCCTAGTGAAGTGGGCTTACTTTGTGCCTGACCCATGCTTCTTTGAGACAAAACACCACGCTCACACCACACGCACACCACAAAACAAAGAACAGGTAAAAAGGGCACACATACACTTTTACCGTTTACACCAAACCAGAATCAAAATCCAAATCAGAGTATCCAGAAATCCAAGCCAGGTCAAAACCAAAACGAAAGTATCAAGCAATCCAAATCAAGTCAAAAACAAAAACCAAAGTGCCGGTACAGGCATGCCGTGGGTGATCAGGCCACCCTTCCACTCAAATGGAGTGGGCAAGTTCCAAAGACTAGTCTTACCAAGTTTCAGATGTCCGGACTCCAAGTGCCTGTTCCTTCCCAGTGTTCAGCCGCTGCATTGATCCTCTGTGGGGGCCTGCCACACGCCACTCTGGCGAGGTGTTCCACTGGGGCAATTGCCTACCCGGGAGTGCTCTCAGGTTCTGCGTCCCTCAAGCTGGCCAGAGTCCCCTGTAGGGATGCTCCACAGGGCAGGCCTAAGCTGCCTAAGGGGCTGCCTCGACTATCTGTTAATCACCTGGCTTCCCAGTCAGGGAACCAAGAAATGTAGCAGGACAAGCCGCAGGGCTGTATTCAGCCTGGAGCTTTGGCAAGACTCACATCTCCAACTACCAAGCTCCCCAAGTGAGGAATTCCTGTCCCTTTTAAGGGCTTACAACTCTAAGGGGGTCCACATGAGAGGTTTGTGATCGATTGAGCAAGCAGGGGGTACACGACTGGGGGCTGCATGCAGTGGTAATCAGAACGGAACAGAACAGGACAGGGATTTTCACAATGCTTTTCCATACAATGTCTGGAATCCATAGATAACATAACCGGTTTGGTCAGGGGTCGATCTTTAACCAGGCCCAGGGTTGGCACCTGGCTGTCTGCCTGTGGATTTCATTTCTGCCTTTTAGTTTTTACTTGTTTCTTTGGAGGCAGAAATTGGGCATAAAACAATATGAGAGGTGGTCTCCTCCCTTAACAGCACAAACGCTTAATTAACATTTCTTTTTCTTTTGAGACAGGTTCTGTCGCCCAGGCTGGAGTGCAGTGGTGCAGTCATAGCTCAGTGCAGCCTGGACCACCTGGGCTCAAGCAGTCCTGACACCTCAGCCTCTCAAAATTTGGGATTACAGGCGCGCGCCACCGTGCGGGTCAGGAGGCTTCCCTGAGGGCCCCGGAGGTGGAGCTGGGCTTTTCCTTCCGAAGCGCCCCTGGGAATCTCTCTCTTTACGGCCTTGGAACCTGGGAAACTACATTACCCAGAAAGCTCTGCGTCAAATGACAGCACGGCAGAGCCAGTGAGAGTTCACATTGAAGGCGTTTCCGTGTGCGCAAGTAAGGTAGAGGCGGGACTCCCGGCGCCCTTTAGTAGCGACCATTTCCATTGGCGTTAGGGAGTCCTTGGAGCGCTGTGTTGGGACCGTGGTGGTGACTGGATCCAGGAGGTCGAGAGTCGTTCTTCTCTTTGCACAGACGTGACTCTGCAGCTCTTTAACGGCGCCCGCTGCTCTCAACCCAGCTTACCCCACGTGGTCCCATGGCGGCGGCCGCGCTAAGGTTCCCCGTTCAGGTAATTGTGGCGCCTTCCGTGCTCTCCGGTCACCTCCTAGTCACACAAGTCCTAAAGCAGCGAGGGAGCGGCACCTGTTTACGGCTCTGCAACCCGGACCCGGCGTCGGGACACTGAGGCGCTCTCGGGAGGGATCCCTGTTTCAGACACCCGTGGGATGCGGTGGGGAGAGCGACAGGTACAGGGAGGGGCGCGGGCAATGGCCTGGAGATGGACGGATCCGGGAGGATGGAACCTGGGGTCCACAGGCGCCTGTAGGGAACAACCTGTGAGGCGGAACTCCTCCTGGAAAAGCAAGGAGGCTGGGGGCTGTGAAATCATTGCGAGGACACTAGAAATAGGAGAATTTCCAAGAAAGAAGGGACTGGATCAAAGTCCAGGCTTTTAAAGTTTCCTAAAGGCCAAATAAATAACAGAGTAGAGAGGGGATGACGTTGGGGCCCTTTGAGATTGAATCCTTGTAGATCATATAGGTGGTAGAGATGACACTTTGTGCTGAGACACGCAGGTTAGACAATAGTCCAAGGTCACCTGGCTCCGTGGACACAAAAGCGTTCAGGGAGGCCTGAGCTTACCAGATCCTATCAGGGACACAGTCCTGTAAAGTCAGCCTCTTCCCTCAGGCCTTTATGGCTGTAGAAGCATTTAAGGAACGCATACAAGAAAGTGGAGGGTGGGGCCGGGTGCAGTGGCTCACTCCTGTAATCCCAGCACTTTGGGAGGCCTAGGCGGGTTGGTCCGGAGGTAGAGACCAGCCTGACCAACCATGGAGAAACCCTGTCTCTACTAAAAATACAAAATTAGCCAGGCGTGGTGGCGCATGCCTGTAATCCCAGCTACTTGGGAAACTGAGGCAGCAGACTCGCTTGAACCCGGGAGGCGGAGGTTGCGTGAGCCGAGATCGCGCCATTGCACTCCACCCTGGGTGACAGAGCGAGACTCCGTATCAAAAAAAAAAAAAAAAAAAAAAAAAAAAGAATGAGGTGCGTTCAGAGAGGGTATCTCTGCTGTGCTGAAGGTGCCACATTGGGCTTTCCATGACCTCGGCCATACTAGGGGAAGTGCCTGTCAGGAGGGGGTGGACTCTTATATCACAGCCACCGCACAGATACCTATTTGTTCAACTAACTATTGTTGTTGGTGGCTGTACCCCATGACCAGTGGGCCTAGTTTCTCCTATGTTTGAGGACCTTGAGAGGAGGATGTGCGAGAGTAGATGTGTGGGAGAGATGGATTGTGATACCTCAGCATAGGGGTGGTTTGTGGTTTCATCTGTCAACATCATAACAGGGCACAGTGACTTTTGAAGACGTGGCTGTGAAATTTACCCAGGAGGAATGGAATCTCCTTAGTGAGGCTCAGAGATGCCTGTACCGTGATGTGACGCTGGAGAACCTGGCACTTATGTCCTCCCTGGGTAAGTTGCCCACACTCACCCCTGTGACCTGAGCTAGTCTCTGTCTTTCCCCCTCTTTTTCTATTGGCAAGACTTTCTCATGTCAGGAGCATGGACACAGCTTCCTACTTCAGTTCTTGGTTGGTAGGACTGAGGTATGCATACTGCCCTCTCCATTCTTGGAGCAGCCCCAACACCTGCTATTGAGCTCCCAGGGAAGAATTCAGAGTCAGAAGTCTTACAGGCAACTTAATGCAGGCTACCTTGTTTGTCCTGTGGATGTTTGTGTGATTTCATCCAGATTTCAGGTTCGGGATCTAATTCATTCCTCTACCTGTTATTTCTTCATGCCTCCCTGTGCCAGGAATTGTCTTCATTGACATTGTCACTGCCTACATAGACTATAGACTGTTCTTGTAATACCGTCCTTAGAAATTCTCTTCATAGGTCTGGTGCAGTGGCTCATGCCTATAATTTCTGCACTCAGGGAGGCCAAGGTAGGTGGATTACTTGAGGCCAGGAGTTCGAGAACAGCCTGGCCGACATGGTGAAACCCCATCTCTACTGAAAATATAAAAATTAGCCAGGTGTGGTGGCACACGCTTTTAATCCTGGCTACTTGGGAGGCTAAGGTGGGAGGATAGCTTGAACCCAGGAGGCAGGGGTTGCAGTGAGCTGAGATTGTGCCACTGCGCTCCAGCCTGAGCAACAGAGCAAGACTCCGTCTCAAAAAACAGAAATTCTTTTTGTAATATTGTTTCCTGTCTGCTGTCATGTGCTGAGTTGTTCTAAGCCAGTGTTGGCTGTTTCCTTGTTCTGTCTTTCCCTTTGTTCTTACATCATGTATGTCTCATGTACTTGGTTATCTTGGTGGTGGGATCATCTTCTGTGGTCAGAAGATGCAAATGAATCTGGCCTCAGCATTATGGGTTCTGAGTCCCTGAAAAATAGCATCCTAGGACAGTGGTGCATGATGTCAAGAGTTTTATTCAAATCATGACAGAAACCTCTTCTATTTCAGTAGTATTTTTGGGGCCAGACAAGTAAGCACACATGATTTCTGTATCGTCTTTTCTCCTTCATTCTTGTTTTTGGTTTTGTTTGTTTGTTTTTTGAGAAAGGGTCTTGTTCTGTTGCCCAGGCTGGAGTGCAGTAGCTTGATCTCTGCTCACTGCAACCTCTGCCTCCTGGGCTGAAGCACTTCTCCTGCTTCAGCCTCCTGAGAAGCTGGGAATACAGGTGCATGCCATTATGCCCAGCTAATTTTTTTTTTTTTTTTTTTTTTTGAGACAGAGTCTCACTTTGTTGCCCAGGCTGGAGTGTAGTGGTGCGATCTTGGCTCACTGCAACCTCCACCTCCCAGGTTCAAGCAATTCTTCTGCCTCAGCCTCCCAAGTAGCTGGGACTACAGGCGTGCACCACCACGCCTGGCTATGTTTTGTATTTTTAGTAGAGATGGGGTTTCACCATATTGGCCAGGCTGGTCTCAAACTCCTGACTTCATGATCCGCCTGCCTTTGCCTCCCACAGTGCTGGGATTACAGGCATGATCCACTGCACCTGGCCTTCTCCATTGTTTTTTTTTTTTTTTTTTTTTTTGAGATGGAGTTTCGCTCTTGTTGTCCAGGCTGGAGCGCAATGGTGCGATCTGGCTCACCGCAACCTCTGTCTCCCAGGCCCAAGCAATTCTGCCCTCAGCCTCCTGAGTAGCTGGGATTACAGGCATGTGCCACCATGCCCGGCTAATGAAGGGTGGCCTGCCTCTCCACACCTGTGGGTGTTTCTCGTCAGGTGGAATGAGAGACTTGAGAAAAGAAAGAGACACAGATCCAAAATATAGAGAAAGAAAAGTGGGCTGGGTGCGGTGGCTCATGCTTGTAATCCCAGAACTTTGGGAGGCCGAGGCAGGCGGATCACGAGGTCAGGAGATTGAGACCACGGTGAAACCCTGTCTCTACTAAAAATACAAAAAAATTAGCCAGGCGTGGTGGCGGGCGCCTGTAGTCCCAGCTACTCGGAGAGGCTGAGGCAGGAGAATGGCGTGAACCCGGCAGGCGGAGCTTGCAGTGAGCCGCGATTGTGCCACCGCACTCCAGCCTGAGCAACAGAGCGAGACTCCGTCTCAATAAAGAATAAAAAATAAAAAAAAAAAAGAAAAGTGGGCCCAGGGGACTGGCGCTCAGCATACGGAGGAACCCTGCCTTCCCCCTGCCGCCACCAGTCTCCGAGTTCCTTCAGTATTTACTGATCATTATCTCTACCATGTGGCAGGTCAATAGGGTAATAGTGGGGAGAGGTTCAGCAGGAAAACATGTGAACAAATGTCTCTGCATCATAAACAAGGTAAAGAAAAAAGTGCTGTGCTTTTGATGTGCATATACATAAACATCTCAATGCCTTAAAGAGCAGTATTGCCTCCAGCATGTCTCACCTCCAGCCCTAAGGCGGTTTTCTCCTATCTCAGTATATGGAATATACAATTGGGTTTTAACACCCAGACATTCCATTGCCCAGGGATGAGCGGGAGACAGATGCCCTCCTCTTATCTCAACTGCAAAGAGGCCTTCCTCTTTTACTAATCCTCAGCACAGCCCCTTTACTGGCGTCGGGCTGTCAGGTCTTTCCCTTCCCATGAGGCCATATCTCAGGCTATCACATGGGGAGAAACCTTGGGCAATACCTGGCTTTCCTAGGCAGTGTTTTGTGTCCCTGGGTCCTTGAGAGTAGGGAGTAGTGATGACTTTTAACAAGCATGCTGCCTTGAAGCACTTGTTTAACAAAGCACGTCCTGCATAGCCCAAAATCCATTTAACCTTGAGTTGACACAGCACATGTTTCTGGAGCACAGGGTTGGGAGTAGGGTTACAGATTAACAGCATCTCAAGGCAGAATAATTTTTCTTAGTACTGAACAAAATGGAGTCTCTTATGTCTGCTTCTTTCTACATCGACACAGTAACAGTCTGATCTCTCTTTCTTTTCCCCAAAGGCTAATATTTTGTATTTTTAGTAGAGACAGTGTTTCTCCATGTTGGTCAGGCTGGTCTCAAACTCCTGACGTCAGGTGATCCGCCCAGCTCTGCCTCCCAAAGTGCTGGGATTACAGGCATGACCCACGACACCTGGCCCTTTTCTTCTCTCTTCTCTTTCCTCTTCCCTCTTCTCCCTTTCCCTCCCCTCTCCTCTCCTCTTCTCTTTTCTTTTTTGAGACAGGTTCTCACACTGTCATTTTTGTTACCTGGAGTGCAGTGGTGTGAATATAGTTCACACAGCCTCAACCTCCTGGGCTCAAGTGATCCTCCAGCCTCAGTCTCCTGAGTAGCTAGGACTGCAGGTGCACACCATCACACCTGGCTAATGTTTGTAGAGAGGTTTTGCTGTGTTGCTCAGGCTGGTCTTGATCTCCTGGGCCTGAGTGATCCCTTTGCCTTAGCCTCCCAAAGTGCTGGGATTGTAGGCATGAGTCACCATGCTTGGCCATTTTAAAAATAATTTCTGTAGAGACAGGGTCTCACCATGTTTCCCAGGCTGGTCTTGGATTTCTGGGCTCAGGTGATCTTCCTACATTGGGTTTACAGCTGTGAGCCACTGGTACTGGCCTCTTCCCCATTGTTAAGAACCTCAGAATTGTCAGTTGTACTCCTTGTCAGTTGTACTTTTTTTTTTTTTAAATCCTTTAACTGATTTGTACATGAGCTTGTAGTCTGATATTTATTCCCCTGAATAATCTTCACATCTCTGGACCTCACATCTTAATTTTATTCACATCTTCATCTGCAGTGGTTTCCAGTATTAGCATACAGGTTTTGTGTTAGCAAATGTGTACACTTTGTTAAACTGTCCTCAAGCAGAAGCTGCTGTGTTGTGCTTGTGTTTTCCTTGGCCTGGACAAATCCCTCTCTACAGCACTCGCATGTCATGAGGACATAAATTCTGCAGATGAGTGGTTTGCAGATGCAGGGATTGTAGACCCTGCCTCTACTCCCTGTGTTACATACATGGTTGTGTCCTTTATGTTATGAGGCCTCCTACATTCTGTGACCATTATAGTCCAGTAATAATACATAGCACCATCTTCCACCTGAAGCCAACATCCTGTTCCTCCAAGTACTTCCTTGGAGTAATTCCTCAGTTTTTCAGATACACTTGTGGGTGGTCTGTGCCTTCCCACCAGAGTTAACATGCACTTCACCAGCATTTTCTTGCTTTCAGGTTGTTGGTGTGGAGTGGAAGATGAGGCGGCACCTTCTAAGCAGAGTATTTATATACAAAGAGAGACTCAGGTCAGGACTCCTATGGCAGGTGTGTCTCCCAAGAAGGCCCACCCCTGTGAGATGTGTGGCCCGATCTTGGGAGACATTTTGCATGTGGCAGATCATCAGGGAACACATCACAAGCAGAAACTGCACAGGTGTGAGGCCTGGGGGAATAAATTGTATGACAGTGGAAACTTTCATCAGCACCAGAATGAGCACATTGGAGAGAAACCCTACAGAGGGAGTGTTGAGGAGGCGTTGTTTGCGAAGAGGTGTAAGTTGCATGTGTCAGGGGAGTCATCTGTCTTCAGTGAGAGTGGGAAAGACTTTTTGCTCAGGTCAGGATTACTCCAGCAAGAGGCCACTCACACTGGGAAGTCAAACAGCAAAACTGAGTGTGTGTCTCTGTTTCATGGGGGAAAAAGCCATTACAGCTGTGGAGGATGCATGAAACATTTTAGCACCAAAGATATACTCAGTCAGCACGAGAGACTGCTCCCTACAGAAGAACCTTCTGTGTGGTGTGAATGTGGGAAATCCTCTAGCAAATATGACAGCTTCAGTAATCATCAAGGAGTTCACACTAGAGAAAAACCTTATACGTGTGGGATATGTGGGAAATTATTTAACAGTAAGTCCCACCTCCTTGTACACCAGAGAATTCACACTGGAGAGAAGCCATATGAGTGTGAGGTTTGTCAGAAATTTTTTAGGCACAAGTACCACCTCATTGCACACCAGAGAGTTCACACTGGAGAAAGGCCATATGAATGCAGTGATTGTGGGAAGTCATTTACCCACAGCTCTACATTCCGTGTTCATAAGAGAGTTCACACTGGTCAGAAGCCTTATGAGTGCAGTGAATGTGGGAAATCTTTTGCCGAAAGCTCCAGTCTCACTAAACACAGGAGAGTTCACACTGGAGAAAAGCCTTACGGGTGCAGTGAATGTGAAAAAAAATTTAGGCAAATCTCTTCACTTCGTCATCATCAGAGAGTTCACAAAAGAAAGGGCTTATGAGTGCAGTGAGTCCAGTCTCATTAAATATTGGAGAATACACACCTGAGTAAGATCCTGTGATTGCAGCAAATGTGGAAAATGTTTACCCAAAGGTCTGCTCTCCTTGGATATTGGAGAGTTCACACTAGAGAAGAGTCCTTACAAGTAAAATAAATTTGGGCAGTTTTGTAGCCACACCTCTGTATTCCTTCAGGATTATAGTTAACACTGAATGAAGGCCTTACTAGTGTGACAAATACAGGATATTTATCCAGAAGTCTGGCTGCATAACTCACAGGAGAGCTGTCATGTGGGAGGATTGCTACATGGGAGGATTTGCTTGAGCCTGGGAGGCAGAGGTTGCAGTGAGCCGAGATTGCAACACTGCAGTCCAGTCTGGACCACAGAGTGAGACCCTGTTTCAAAAATAAAATATATAAATGACATCCAATAAAGTATGCATATTTGAGCTGTAGGATAAGTCTTGAATTTTCTTTTTCTTTTTTTTGAGACAGCCTCGCTCTGTCACCCAGGCTGGAGTACAGTGGCATAATCTCGGCTCACTGCAAGCCCTGCCTCCTGGGTTCATGCCATTCTCCTGCCTCAGCCTCCCTAATAGCTGGGACTACAGGCAACCACCACCACTCCTACCTTTTTTGTATTTTTAGTAGAGATGGGGTTTCACCCTGTTAGCCAGGAAGTTCTCAATCTCCTGACCTCGTGATCTGCCCGCCTTGGCCTCTCAAAGTGTTGGGATTGCAGGCGTGAGCCACTGCTCCTGGCTTGAATTTTCTTATAATCCCATGAAACCATCATCAGAGTCACAATAATGAATTTATCTAATCTATCACCTTTGTATTCACCTGGAGCCTTTATAAAGTTTTTCTCTATGCAGACAACCATTGATTTACTCTGCTGTATAATACTTTCCATTTTCTAGAATTTTCTGACTGATGTAATAAAGTGTTTCCTCTTATAATCCCTGGGTGCTCTCCTGCATCATGCTTATTTTGATATCAATGTAGACATGAGTTAATTTGTTGTATATTGCTGAGAAGTATAGTCTGCCATGAAATGTCATTATATATTCATTCATCCGTTTATGGATATTTGAGTTGCTGCTTGTGTTTTTTTGTGTTTTTTTTTTTGAGGTGGAGTCTCACTCTGTCCCCCAGGCTGGAGTGCAGTGGGGCAATCTCAGGTCACTGCAAGCTCTGCCTTCCGGGTTCACGCCATTGTCCTGCCTCAGCCAGTCCTGTGGACTACAGGCGCCCGCAAACACGCCTGGCTAATTTTTTGTATTTTTAGTAGAGACAGGGTTTCACTGTGTTAGCCAGGATCGTCTCGATCTCCTGACCTTGTGATCCGCCCATCTCGGCCTCCCATAGTGCTAGCATTACAGGCATGAGCCATCGCGTGCGGCTGCTTTTTTTTTTTTTTTAAAGACTGTCGACCAGGTTGGAGTGCAGTGGCGTGATTTTGGCTCATTGCAACCTCTACCTCCCAGGTTCAAGCGATTCTCCCACCTGAGCCTCCCACATAGCTGGGATTACATGCATGAGCCACCATGCTGGCTGTTTTTTGATTTTTAGAAGAGATGGGGTTTTGCCGTGTTACCAGGTTCATCTCAGACTCCTGGCCTCAAATGATCTGCCTGCCTTGGACTCCCAAAGTGCTGGGATTACAGGCCTGAGTCGTGAGCCACTGCGCCTGTAATTGATTCTGAGGCCAGGCGTGGTGGCTCACGCCTGTAATCCCAGCACTTTGGGAGGCCAAGGTGGGTGGATCACTTGAGGTCAGGAGTTTGAGACCAGCCTGGCCAACATAGTGAAACGCCATCTCTACTAAAAATACAAAAATTAGCCAGGCGTGGTGGCACATGCCTGTAATCCCAGCTACTCAGGAGGCTGAGGCAGGAGAATCACTTGAACCCAGGCAACAGAGGTTACAGTGAGCTGAGATCACACCACTGCACTCCAGCCTAGGCGACAGTTAGACGCTGTCTCAAAAAAAATAAAACAAAAACATTTATTCTGAGATAATGCCAGTACCCAGTGTGAAACTATTCCTGCAGTCACTGGAAAATAACCACTTTCTTGTAAGGAGATGAAATTTTGGAGCTCAGATGCCATGTTTATGCTGTTATTCAGATGCCTTTTTTATCTGTGCTGTAATTGTGAAAGTTGTAGCCACTGATGTGTACCACAAAGGCATTGGTTAAGTTGCTCTTCCTTTGAGATAGATGTCAATGTGAAAAAAGAAATTGAGGGCAGGGCGTGGTGGCTCACGCCTGTAAACCCAGCACTTTGGGAGGCCGAGGCAGGTGGATCACGACGTCGGGAGATCGAGATCATCCTGACTAACATGGTGAAACGCCTTCTATAGGGAAAATACAAAAAATTAGCCAGGCGTGGTGGTGGGTGCCTGTAGTTTCAGCTACTCCAGAGGCTGAGGCAGGAGAATGGCGTGAACCCAGGAGGCAGAGCTTGCATTGAGCGGCAATTGGCGATCGCACCACTGCACTCCAGCCTGGGCGACAGAGCGAGACTCCGTCTCAAAAAAAAAAAAAAATTGAGTGCACTTTAGCATATGAATTAAGAAACATTGATATAGTGATCCTCATAGTAACTAAAAAGTAAAGTAGAGGTTCCTTTTCAAAGACTTTCCTCCCTAATTAGGAATAAATGGTAACTTCTCTTATAAGCAAAATTTATTCAAAGACCTGTGCTAACATTCTTAAATATCTGCTAGCCGTCATAAAGAAATCAACGTACTTTATGTTCTTAGCTCCCACAATTTAGCCTAAATATTTGCCTTGGCATGCTTATACTGGTCCAAGCAAGCATTAGGTCATAGCCTGTTCCTCTTCCTTATTTAAAAGTGTTTTCACCTTTCTCAGCATTCCACAAGTTACTTCCTCCTTCCTTTGTTCTCATCTACCTTTGCTTCTTTTAAAAGGTTCTAAATTGGCTGGGCGGTGGTGGGGGGTGGTGGCTCACGCCTGTAATCCCAGCACTTTGGGAGGCCAAAGCGGGCGGGTAACGAGGTCAGGATATCAAGACCATGTGGCTAACACATGAAACCCCGTCTCTAGGAAAAATACAAAAAATTAGCCAGGCATAGTGGCGGGAGCCTGTAGTCCCAGCTACTTGGGAGGCTGAAGCAGAAGAATGGCGTGAACCCGGGAGGTGGAGCTTGCAGTAAGCTGAGAACCTGCCACTGCACTCCAGCCTGGGCGACAGAGTGAGACTCCATCAAAAAAAAAAAAAAAATTCTAAGTTGCTCGCCAATCGGGACAAATACAGAATGTGAGGCCCCATCCCAGCCAGTGGAAACCGGACATAGCAGTAGGGTGGACGCGTCAGGTTATAAATGACCCTATCTCCTTAGTTGTGTACTCTCGTGCCAAAACTGCTGGCTGAGTGTACCCTTTCTGCAGGAAGTAAAAATGGCCTTACTAAATAAATTTATGTTCAAGTGCTATTTCTTTATGGCACCGGAGAACAAGCATTTCAAACAATTTGGTGGCAATCCGTACGGGGATACATTCTTCTCTAGGGGCGGTCTCCAGTCCTCTCTCATGGGGTAGCGCTCCCCTACTTCATTGCAAGGTCCTCATAGGTAAGAAATTGAGACCCACCCGGTGTGACGAATAAACCTGGGCTCTCAGCAATGGGGGCAAAAAAAAAAAAAACTGGCCAGCAACCTAGCTTAAAGATCCTCATGTAATGGAATGACAACTGTGCACAGACCAAGGAAGGAGAAGCCGCAGGAGCCGGTAAAGTATTTCCTTGGTGGTCGGGACTAAGGAAAAAGCCGGGATGGTAAAGCATTCCTTGGTTAGGACATACCAAAGAGAGAAAAACCGCAGGGGTGGTAAAGTATTCCTTAGGATGTCTTAGAGGTGAGAAATCCCTATTGTTGGGGGGGTTGAACCTCACACAAACCTCCAGTAGTAAGAAAAATATTCAGAACTCCCCTTTTCTTTCTTCTCAGGGAAAGAAACAGTAGCTCCACTCCTGCCGGTCCCTCCCCTAGGGGAGAGGGAAGCAGAGGAGAAAACAGCAGCATAGGTGGCTGGCAAAGACAAAGGAAAGACCAGTAGAAGAGAAAGAAACCAAAAACAGCAAGCGCAGAGCCAAACAGCCAGGCAGGCAGGCCAAAGGTTAAGTCCCTCTCCCCAGCCCTGCGGTTTGTGAAAAAGAGGGTGGGCACCGGCTCCGGGAGGAGAGCAGAGGAGGTGAAAAGGCGTAATTCTTGCAATTTGCGGCAGGCATATCTGCCAAGCCTCTAGGCTAGTGACTGCCCGGGGCCCAGACTGCAGCCACGCAAATCCCACTCAGCCCAAGAAACTAAGTGTAAAAAGAAAAGGAAAAAAAAAAAAGTAAGAGGGGAAATCAGGGGGAAAAAAAAGAAAAACAGCAGCGCGGGGTCGGGGGCGGGGCCTGTGCGGTGGCCCAGCCCTGCTTGCGGCAGGAGCGGGAGAAGTCCGGAGAAGAAAGGGAAACGGGATGAGAGAGCGGAAAATAGAGTGCAAATGAGAGAAAGAAATAGAAGGAAAGAGTAAGAGAGAAACTGGAAGAGACAGAAATCAAAAGAAGACAAAGGAGGTGAAACTAGGAAAAAAATAGTGTAAAAGGAAGGCAGAAAGTTAAGACATGTTGAAGATTGTGAAAGTCGTAAGAAAAGCTATAAAAGGGAATGTATGCAATAAATACTGTATAATTTAAAAGTAATTAGGCCTCCTGGATATAAAATTATTATTAAACAGTTTACAAGGTATGTAAGAAAAATAAAATATACTTTTAATAAGATTACAAGGAGGCATAAGAATATGGATTTTTACCTACACTAAAGGTTAAGACAATTTTTTTGTTTTAAAGGTTTAAGCAAGTTTTAAAATGTTAATTGTCAAGGAAATTCTGTGTGTAAACATACTGGCTAAAGTTAAGAGGGTATCAAATTCTGTGTGTAAACATATTGGCTAAAGTTAAAAGGGTGTCATCCAGTTTTTCTGTGAACTGGACGTTAAAATTAAAGCACGATAGATTTTTCTTAAAGCACCAACGTGCTCTTTAACAAAAATTATAAAAACAGTCTGTAAAAGTCTTGCCTTATAGTCAGACATTAAAATTAGATAATGTCTATAAGATCTTACTAAAATTAAGTTTAATATTAGTAGCATATTAATATAAAGATAAATTTATTTATTTATTTACTTTTTAGTTTTAGTAGAGGCGGGGTTTCACCATGTTGGCCAGGCTTGTCTCGAACTCCTGACATCAGGAGATCCACCCACCTCAGCCTCCCAAAGTGCTGGGATTACAGACGTGAGCCACCGCGCCTGGCCACTAAAGATAAAATTTAACTTATTTGATATAAAATCATACAAAAAAATTGACAAATATACAATGGTATTTAGCTTTCTTAAGGCCCTAAGATGGCCAGGTAAGTCACAAGGCCCCTCATCCTGAAGGCCACAGTGAGCAAGGGTGGTGAAGGCCACAAGAAGGCCAAGACATTAAGAAGGGGCAGGGCTGCAGCCTCCCCTGGGTGGCGCTGAACAAGAATGGAGCAGGAGGTGACACCATGACGCCTAAGGCCCCAGAATATGCAGCAAAAATCCTATACTTAATTTATCTTCCACTTTCACTTCCCTCGGACCTAAAAGTCTTTTAGCACAGGTACCACCCCTAGAATTTCCAGTACACCAGCACCAGCCTGAAAACCACGTCCTCATCAAAAGCTAGAAAGAAAAAACTCAAACCAGCCTGGGAAGAACCCTATTTTACGCTGTTAACCCCTGAGACTGCCGTCCACACAGCTGAGGAAAAAAAAAAATGGACCCACCACACTCAAGTCAAGAAAACATCTTCCTCTCAGAATCATGGGTTACTGTACTAGGATCAAGCCCTACTAAGTTAAAGAAAGATTAATTTTCATATACCTTCTATACTGCTTCCTTTTCTTATTCTGTTATTAGCTCCTTTGTTATTAATGTAACTAAGTCTGACTCACTCAGACTATTGCCTTTAATGCTTGCTTTGTCATACCTTGTAGAAATGTAAAAGATCAACAGCAGCTAGCCTTTTCACACAAATATTTATATCCCAGCCCTTTAATTGACACAGTTATTCCTAGCACTCATTGTTGTAATGACCTGCAGCCAAGACACCAATTTTCTGCTCCTACTGCCTGGCAACATTGTAGTAAATAGGACTGCATCACTCAAACTACCCAATAGCAAAGTTAGACTTCCACAAAAAGGTTTGTGCAGACCTAAAACCCCTCATCTATTTCACTAAAAGGACTACCCCTTCTTACTGTCAGCCTTGTCAATATAACCCTGTCTTTCTCTTTATCACCACCTCCACCTTAAGGAACTCTAGACACGCCCTTAGTCGCTTCTATGGTATAAAAATTAACATAAGTAGGCTGGGCGTGGTGGCTCATGACTGTAATCCCAGCACTTTGGGAGGCCGAGGCTGGTGGATCACCTGAGGTCAGGAGTTTGAGACCAGCCTGGGCAAGATGGTGAAACCCCATCTCTACTAAAAATACAAAAATTAGCCGGGCGCGGAGGTGGGTGCCTGTAATCCTAGCTACTTGGGAGGCGGAAGCAGGAGAATTGCTTGAACCCGGGAGGCGGAGGTTGCAGTGAGCTGACATCGCGCCACTGCACTGTAGCCTGGGTGACGGAGCTAGACTCCGTCTCAAAAAAAAAAAAAAAATTAACATAAATAAAAAAGACCCCCCAGTTATTTTAAAAATACACATTATTCCCTCATCTTTCCCTTCTTAAGCTGCCTCAGATCTAGATCCCACACCAGTTGCTCCTACATCTGGTAAAACTAAGGTGTCTTGTAAAAATAAGAGATCTAAGACAGACAGACCTTCGCTGTCAAGACAAAATATCAAGATGCAAATGCCTGGCTGAAATGGATTAAATAATCCATTAGCACTTCAAATAAAAGCGATTATTACACTTGTACGCACAGTAGGCCAGAATCCCAGATTATCCCCTTTCCACTCAGATAAGGACTGTATGGTGGCTCTTTTTCAAAATCCCATTGCTTGGGATAATCCAACATACTGAGCTCTCTCTGCTATTTCCTGAAATTTAACACCCTGCAGGTCAGCCCCCTATGGCAATCCGGCTTCCACCTCTGAATGCTGAATGCTGAATGCACAAAGTTTACTTTGTGCGTCTCAGGTCAGGAGGAAAATTTAGTGTTCCTTGGAAGCATTAAACGATGATGGAAAGAGCTCAAGCCTTTCCAAGACTTTGCCCATCAGTCCATGCTTAGCCATCCCCAAACAAATGTATAGTGGTAAGTGGAAGACCTTTACTGGACACTCTGCCAAATAATTGGAGCAGTACTTGTGCTGTAATCCAATTGGGTATCCCCTTCATCCTGGCATTTCATCAATCTACAAAGGTAAAAACAAAACACCACAGGCCAAGAAAAACGTATGAGTCCTTTAATCCTCAGGTTTACATAAATGCTATTAAGGTCCTGTGAGAAGTGCCCGATAAGTTTAAAGCACAAAATCAAATAGCTGCAGAATTTAAATCCACATCATTCTGGTAACTATAAAAAAATGTAGACTAAGCTATGTTACAATCACCAACAATTCATAAATTACACTGAGGATACCATCAAACAGATAGCTAAGCAATTAGGATCTACTAGCCAGATGGCGTAGAAAAATAAAATAGCTTTAAATAATTAGCAGAAAAAGGAGATGTTTGTGTCATAATTAAAACTCAGAACCTCTGCAGAAAGAATTGATTCCTCAGCAGTGTCATGAAAGCAAACCAATTAATGTTGGTGAAGCTACAAAATTAATGCCTCAGTTGTAACAGAGTGGTAATGCGTCTAATTCCCCACAAAGACCAATAAATTAAATGTTTTATACAAAACTCAGTATTGTACCTTTGTTCCTAATAATACTGCCCCTGATAGAACTATAACAAAAGCGCTACCAAGGTTAACAGCCCTATCCGATAAATTTGCCAAGAATTGTAAAATAAATAACCCCTTTTCTAAAATAATAAAACATTAGTTCAGTGAATAAAAAGAAATTTTAACTTCAATTCTCACCTTGTTCACTCTTGTTATTAGTGTACTTATTCTTGTAGGCTGTTATAATATTCCCTACCTTCAAAGTTTTATACAAAAACTTGTCTCTGCCACTGTTACAGAGTTAACTGCTAACTCTCCTCCTCCCTATTAAAAAAAAATTACTTCTCTTAGAAGGACAAAAAAAGCAATTAAGTCAAAACATTAAATAAGTTTGAAGAGGAATTATGAAATAAAAAGAGGGGGAATATTGTTAAAAGTAAAGTACAGTTTCCTCTTCAAAGACTTTCCTCCCCATCTAATTAGGAATAAATAGTAACTTCTCTTAAAAGCGAAATTTATTGAAAGACTTGTGCTAGCATTCTTAAATATCTGCTAGCCATAATAAAGAAATCAATGTACTTTATGTTCTTAGCTCTGACAATTTAGCCTAAATATTTGCCCTGACATGCTTATACTGCTCCAAGCAAGCATTAGGTCATAGCCTGTTCCTCTTCCTTATTTAAAAGTGTTTTTACCTTTCTCAGCATTCCACAAGTTACTTCCTCCTTTCTTTGTTCTCCTCTACCTTTGCCTCTTAAAAGGTTCTAAGTTGCTAGCCAATCAGGACACATACAGAATATGAGGTCCTGTTCCAGGCAATGGAAACCGGCAGGAGGGTGAACGCCTCAGGTTATAAATGACCCTGTCTTCTTTGTTCAGTGTGCTCCTGTTGCAAAACTGCTGGCGAGTGCACCCTTTCTGCAGGAAGTAAAAATGGCCTTATGAAATACATCTATGTTCAAGTGCTATTTCTTTCTTTTTTTTGAGACGGAGTCTTGCTCTGTCGCCCAGGCTGGAGTACATTGGCACGATCTCGGCTCACTGCAAGCTCTGCCTCCCGGGTTCATGCCATTCTCCTGCCTCAGCCTCCCCAGTAGCTGGGACTACAGGTGACCGCCACCACGCCCAGCTAATTTTTTGTATTTTTAGTAGAGACGGCGTTTCACCATGTTAGTCAGAATGGTCTTGATCACCTGACCTCGTGATCCGCCGGCCTCGGCCTCCCAAAGTGCGGGATTACAGGCGTGAGCCACCATGCCTGGCCTCAAGTGCTATTTCTTTATGGCACTGAAGAATAAGCATTTCAAACAGTGACATAGGTCAGCAGGACTTGTTTCTGAGCAGTGGTCATGACCCTGCTCATGATGAAACAGGATCTGGTCAAAACAGGATGCACTAAAGAAACCAGCTGAAAGCAGTGAAACTGAGATGGCAATGAACATCAATTCTAGTTGCCCTCATTGCTCATTATATGCTCATTATAATGTATTAGCATGCTAAAAGACACTCCCACCAGCACCATGGCCGTTTACAAATGCTATGGCAATGCCCAGAAGCTACCTCATGTAGTTTAAAAGAGAAGGAACCCCTGGTTCTGGGAACTCTCCAACCTTTTTCTAGAAAGTTCATGAATAACCGACCTCTTATTTAGCACATAATTAAGGAGTAGCTATAAATATAGCTAGCCAACAATCCACGGGTGCTACTTTGCCTGTGGAGTAGCCCTGCTCTGTCTGTGGAGCAGCCATTTTCCTGTTCTCTTGCTCTCATAAACTTGCTTTGCCTTCACTTTACACTCTTGGCTTGCTCTTGAATTATTTCCTTTATGAAGCCAGGAATCCTCCTGGATTGAGCCCCAATTTTGGGATTTGCTAGCATCACTAGAGCAATTTTCTGTGGGAACCAGTGGCCAACTGCCAGCTTCACTACCTGCTTCAGGGTGTATCAACATCTGTCTATTTCCCTGTCATTACATCTTTATTATTTTTTTTTAATTTATTTTATTTTTTTGAGAAGGAGTCTAGCTCTGTTGCTCAGACTGGAGTGCAGTGGCGTGACCTCAGCTCATTGCAACCTCCACCTCCCGGGTTCAAGCAATTCTCCGGCCTCAGCCTCCTGAGTAGCCGGGACTACAAGCACCTACCACTATGCCCGGCTAATTTTTGTATTTTTAGTAGAGACGGGGTTTCACCATATTGGTCAGGCTGGTCTCGAACTCCTGACCTCGTGATGCGCCTGCCCCCAGCCTCCCAAAGTGCTGGGATTACAGGTGTGAGCCACTGTGTCCAGCAATTTATTTTATTTTTTTATTTTATTATTATTTTTTGAGACAGTCTCGCTCTTGTTGCCCAGGCTGGAGTGCAATGGCACGATCTCGGCTCACCGTAGCCTCCACCTCCAGGGTTCAGGCGATTGTCCTGCCTCAGCCTCCCGAGTAGCTGGGATTATAGGCATGTACCACCATGCCCAGCTGATTTTGTATTTTCAGTAGAGACGTGGTTTCTCCATGTTGGCCAGGTTGGTCTCAAACTCCCGACCTCAGGCCTCCTGAAGTGGTGGGATTACAGGTGTGAGCCATGGCACCCAGCCTTTATTTTTATTTTTTGTGGGTATATAATAGTGTATATATTTGTAGATTACATGAGATATTTTGATGTAGTCATGCCATATGTAATAATCACATCAGGGTTAATGGTGTCTCCATCACCTCAAGCATTTATCCTTTGTATTATAAACAATCCAATTATACCCTTTTAGTGATTTTCATATGTATGATTAAATTATTTTGACTACAGCCACCCTGTTATGGTAGCAAATACTCGGTCTTATTCATTTTTTCTAACTGTTTTTTGTACCCATCCTGTCATTATGTCTTATGGACAATTTTCTTTCGTTCCCAACAAAACAATGAAACTCACAAAACTGACTGTAATAATTTGGGTAACATGAATTTAAAGAGCAATCAATACTTAATGTTCTCAGCTCTGAGTGCACACATTGTAAGTCTGAATGATGCCAATGATATGGCCACTTAGATAAGTAAAGTTTGGGAGCATCTCAAATAGTTTTTTTATTCTCTGGGTGCAGGATGAGCTTCCTAGAGTCTTATGTGATACCTATTTGACGCTTTTACAAAGAATCAATAGTCTTCCTCCCTTGAGGTGTGAGCAGGGCTTTCCAGCAGCCCTCAGAGTGTAACATGGTCTGCATTCGGTTTGCTCTTGGAGGATACCACCATTGTTGGCTGAGAGCTCTGAGAAGTACTTTACCCAGAAGGTGCTAGTTGCAAGGCCCAGGATGAGGGATTTCTGGGCATGCTTGTCAGGCCAGGGAGTACTGGGTTGGGACTGAGAAGGCACAAGAGGAGTAGTCATCTCTGCTCCCAAGTGGCAGGTCTGAGGCTCATAGGCACTGGCTGGGGTGATGCCTACTCCACCCACAGTTGATGGCAGCAGCCACACTGAGGGACCTAGCTCAGGTAAATGCTGTGTATTACAGGCTTCACCCCAGGTAGAGTAATACAGGTAGAGGAACCAATAGGTGCAAAGGCTTGGAGGTGCATCTGAGCCATGAACATTTCAGAACCTGGTAACCATGTTGTGTCATGATCACATAAGTCCAGAAGTTTAAGACAGGCTTGGGCAACATAGTGAGACCCCGTCTCTCAAAAAAAAAAAAAGGCCCTAGTAAAAACTGAAGATGAGCCAGAGTCACACCTGTATTGGTTGTCTTAGGGGTTGTGCCTTCAATCTGAGTGTCCTGGGATGTATGGAGATTTGTGAACAGAAGAGGGTCATGTCCTTGGTAGAACTTTAAAAGTTTACAAAAGCCTCTCAGAGAACAGACTGGAATAAGGATGATGAGGACAATGAGGCACTGAGAAGTGGAGTCTTCTTTCTAGGCCATAGGTGGTAAGAAGGAGCACTGAGGATTGAAATCAGTTAATTAGTTAGCCCCAGGGCCCCTGGCTTTACGGTTGTGTAGGGATCAATGGAGGTTTGATCAGCTGGAGCTGGTCACAGTTGCCTTATTTTCATGGGTTCTGAACACTGAAAATGCTTATGGTGCCAACACAGGGAAAGAGAAAGTGTCCCAGTCTCTCCCTGAACCTGACACTACCTGTGTGGTGTCTGAGATTATGGTGTCTTGAGTGTTCACTTGATGTTTTCCCAGTTCTTGGCGTGGAGAACCTGTGGATACACCAAGCTCAGAGTCCTGAGTACCAGCCAAGGATTAATAGAAGTGTTCTTATTTCTGGCAACCAATGGAAACAGGTGTAGAAAGCTATTTTAGGAATTCATACCATTTTGTGCAAATGCTTTGAGGTGTGACTGAGCTGGGACCTATGTACGACAGGCATCTATTCTTTCTCATAGGAACAAGAAGCCGGGTCAAGATTCAGGCCTGTAATGTGGTTGCCTGAAAAGCTGGGCATCTGTTTTGGAGATGCTGGGATGCTTGGATGGGGAAAGAGGTGGTCTAATCCAGATGTTCATAGGATCTATCTGGTTGCACACTGGAGGAGAACAGACTCCTGGATTAATGAGGAGGCAGTTAGCACGGAGGGAAGTTTACCAGCATAATTCAGATGAGTTGATGGACCAGGTGAATGCCGTGCAGATGGGAGAAAAGGAGACATTCTACCTATATTTTTAATAAAGGAACAAGTAGATCTTTGCATGTTGTAGGTGAGGGAGAGAGAGAGAAGGGTCAATGATGTGACCCCTGGTTTTTTTTTGTTTTTTTTTTTTGAGACGGAGTTTTGCTCTTGTTGCTGAGGCTGGAGTACAGTTGTGCCATCTCAGCTCACTGCAAATTCTGTCTCCCAGGTTCAGGTGATTCTCCTGCCTCAGCCTCCCGAGTAGCTGGGATTAGCCCGCCACCATGCCTGGCTAATTTTTGTATTTTTAGTAGAGATGGGGTTTCACCATGTTGGTCAGGCTGGTCTTGAACTCCTGATCTCAGGTGATCTACCCACCTCGACCTCCCAAAGTGCTAGGATTATAGGCGTGAGCCACTGGCCCAACCATATTTTATTTCTTAATGAAAACGGAAATAGGCAAAATACATTTGAGAAGAAGAAAATGAGTTGCCAGACATAGTGCTTTGAGAGGGTGAGGTGAGAGGATTGCTTGAGCCTAGGAGTTTAAGGCCAGCCTGAGCAACATAATGAGATCCTGTCTCTACAAAAAAATTTAAAAATTCGGTGGGTGTGCTGGCATGTGCCTGTAGTCCCAGTTACTCAGGAGGCTGGGGTGGGAGGACGCTTGAGCCCAGGAGGTTGAGGTTGCAGTGAGCTATGATCAAACTACTGCCCTCTTGGCTGGGTGACAGAGCAAGATCTTTTCTCTAAAAATAAATAAGAATTTAAAAAGCAAGCAAAATATATAAATAGACATTTTACTAAAGAAGGAACATCCACTTATAAAAAAGGGTAAAAATTTAAAAGACTATCCATATTCTCTGCTGGGCACGGTGGCTCACACCTGTAATCCCAGAACATTGGGAGGTTGAGGCGGGCAGATCACAATGTCAAGAGATTGAGACCATCCTAGCTAACAGGGTGAAACCCCATTTCTATTAAAAATACAAAAAATTGGCCGGGTGTGGTGGCCCACGCCTGTAATCCTAGCACTTTGGGAGGCTGAGGTAGGTGGATCACGAGATCAAGATCCTCCTGGCTAACATGGTGAAACCCTGTCTCTAATAAAAATACAAAAAAATTAGCCGGGCGTGGTGGCATGCATCTGTAGTCCCAGCTACTAGGGAGGCTGAGACAGAAGAATTGCTCAAACTCAGGAGGCGGAGGTTGCAGTGAGCCGAGATCACGCCACTGCACTCTATCCTGGGCGACAGAGAGAGGCTTTGTCTCAAAAAAAAAAAAAGACTATCCATATTCTGTATCGATAAAAACATGAAAGTGGAATTCATGGACACTGGTGACAGTAACACTAAAGGGAACAACCATATTAATTTTACAGTACACTTTGGTGTTGCCTAAAAAGCTATACATTTGCTGGATGCAGTGGCTCATGCCTATAATCCCAGCACTTTGGGAGGCTGAGGTAGGTAGATCACGAGGTCAGGAGTTCAAGACCAGCGTGGCCAAGATGGTGAAACCTCACCTCTACTAAAAATACAAAAAAATTAGCTGGGCATGGTGGCATGTGCCTGTAGTCCCAGCTACTTCGGAGGGTGAGCCAGGAAAATTGCTTGAACCCACGAGGCAGAGGTTGCAGTGAGCCGAGATTGCATCACTGCACTCCAGCCTGAGTGACAGAGCGAGACTCCATCTCAAAACAGACAAACAAACAAAAAGCTATAGATTTACCTATTCTGATTCAGTTATTGAACCCCCAGATAGTAACACATAAAAAAGAAACATATTTACATAAAGAACTGTACTAAAGTGTCTGTAGTTTTATTTATGGAAGCCAAAAATGAGAAATAGATTAATGATGTATAAACAGATGAATGAATATACAGTGATATTTCATAGCATGTCATCTCAGCAATATAAAAAGGAGTGAACTACTCAAGTATCATCACTGACAAATCTCAAAATAAATATACCGCACGATACCATCCAGGGATAAAGATTAAACACTTCACGACATCAAATCACGTATAAAAATGTAGAAAATGTAAAATAATCTATTATAAAGCAAAGTTATCAATGGTCATCTGGAAGGCAGAGGTAAAGACGTTACCAGACTCCAGGTAAATATGAAGGTGATGGATCATATTACAGGCTTATTAATGTCAAAACTTATCACACTTTACAGTTTAAATATGTGCAGTTTTGGCCAGGCACGGGGGCTCATGCCTGTAATCCCAGCACTTTGGGAGGCCGAGGCAGGCGGATCACATGGCCAGGAGATCGAGACCATCCTGGCTAACACGGTGAAACCCTGTCTCTACTAAAAATAGAAAAATTAGCCGGGCGTGGCTGTGGGCGCCTATAGTCCCAGCTACTCAGGAGGCTGAGGCAGGAGAATGGCATGAACCCAGGAGGCGGAGCTTGCAGTGAGCTGAGATTGTGCTACTGCACTCCAGCCTGGGCGACAGAGCCAGACTCTGTCTCAAATAAATAAATAAATATAAATAAAAATAAATATGTGCAGTTTTTTTGAAAGTCATTTATTTTGGCCAGGCATGGTGGCTAATGCCTGTAATCCCAGGACTTTGGGAGGCCGAGGTGGGCGGATCACCTGAGGCCAGGAGTTTGAGAACAGCCTGGCCAACATGGTGAAACCTCACCTCTACTAAAAATACAAAAAATAGCTGGGCATGGTGGCAGGTGCCTGTAATCCCAGCTACTCGGGAGGCTAAGGCAGGGGAATCGCTTGAACCTGGGAGGCAGAGGTTGCAGTGACCCAAGATCGTGCCACTGAATTCCAGCCTGGGCAACAAGAGCGAGACTCCATCTCAAAGAAAAAAAAAAGTGATTTATTTCTTATTACAGCTTTAAAAATGTAATTTTAAAAATCTGGACTTGATTTTTCCAAGAGGTTTATTAACTATTGCTGTATCATCTCCTCAACCTGAGTGAGGCAACTAGCCTTCATGGTAACAAAAACATGACGAACAATAAAGACCATTTCCAGATGATTCAGAAAGAATGACGGCTGGTCACATGATGGGCCACGTAGTGGTCTAATGGACATCCCTGCTCCCTTTCTTCTTCCTCCTGCCTATGCAGGAATGACCTTTAGGTCAATTAGACTAGAAGGACTACCACAAATAACAAAATCTTTAGGTTATTCTCTCCAGCAGTGACCTTAGCCACATAAGATTCAATTAAGAAGGTCCTGAGAATTTCTGTTTGTATTCATCCTTCACAGCCATGTCTGGATCATAGTAGAAGCCCTTTTAAAATGCAGTAATTCCGAAAAACTTATCATTTCCACTATAACCTCACAACCTGTGAAGGTACCCTCAACAGCACTGAAACATAATGCACCATCCCTTGTGAAGTAGAGAACAATTTCATGTTGCTCTCAGAAGCACCAGAGATTGTGATGAAAACTGCCACCCTTTCAGGTTGACCTATGAACCCCAAAATTATGGTATTTTTGAGATAGTTTCGCTCTTGTTGCTCATCCTGGTATGGGGTGGCATTACCTGAGCTCACTGCAGCCTCCACCTCCCAGGTTAAAGTGATTCTTGTGCCTCAGCCTCCCAAGTAGCTGGGATTATAGGCGAATGCCACGATGCCTGGCTAATTTTGTATTTTTAGTAGAGATGGGGTTTCAGCATGTTGGCCAGGCTGGTCTGGAACTCCTGACCTCAACTGACCCTTCTGCCTCGGCCTCCCAAAGTGCTGGTATCACAGGCATGAGCCACCATGCCCATCTGCAAATCCAGTGTTCAAACAATTCCACACTGTAAATACAGCTCTCAAGATTGAAGGTGTCTTAAGCAGCAGAGTCTTTATTATAATACAAACAAGGGAAATAGGCGGCAGGCAGGCTGTCTGATTTGTGACTGGCAGGCTGGAAAATTCTATCTTAAGAATGCTGTGAGGGCCGGGCACGGTGGCTCACGCCTATAATCCCAGCATTTTGGGAGGCTGAGGCAGGTGGATCACGAGGTCAGGAGATCGAGACCATCCTGGCTAACACAGTGAAACCCCATCTCTACTGAAAATACAAAAAAAAAAAAAAAAAAAAAATTAGCCGGGCGTGGTGGCGGGCACCTGTAGTCCCAGCTACTTGGGAGGCTGAGGCAGGAGAATGGTGTGAACCCGGGAGGTGGAGCTTGCAGTGAGCCGAGATTGCGCCACTGCACTCCAGTATGGGTGACAGAGCGGGACTCCATCTTAAAAAAAAAAAAAAAGAATCCTGTGAGATCCAAGAGATCCCTGAAAAAGGTAGTCCATCTTTTCAAATCACCAGAAGAGTTCTCTGCACCAAAAATTAGTCAGGTCCTTGGCCTACCTCATCAGACACAAAGAATTGAGAATGGAATGAGTACTGAGGATACTAAAAAATCCCCCTGGTGAATGAAAGA
The DNA here is from genome assembly GCF_000001405.40 of Homo sapiens. Lineage (NCBI taxonomy): Eukaryota > Metazoa > Chordata > Mammalia > Primates > Hominidae > Homo > Homo sapiens. The sequence goes on along the minus strand of NC_000019.10, from coordinate 57,791,141 downwards.
AAAAGTTACGTCTGGATCATAATGAGGTAGGGGAGTGATGAAACTGTGAGTACCTGCCAAGTGGTAAAGGTGAAATGCTTTTTGCAAGATAACTGGCAGTCACATAAGTCTGGCAAGGGACACAGGCAGGCTGAAAAATGCAATGGGGGCGGGGCGCGGCGGCTCATGCCTGTAATCCCAGCACTTTGGGAGGCCGAGGCGGGCGGATCACGAGGTCAGGAGATCGAGACCATCCTGGTGAACACGGTGAAATCCCGTCTCTACTAAAAATACAAAAAATTAGCCGGGCGTGGTGGCGGGCGCCTGTAGTCCCAGCTACTCGGGAGGCTGAGGCAGGAGAATGGCATGAACCCGGGAGGCAGAGCTTGCAGTGAGCCGAGACTGCGCCACTGCACTCCAGCCTGGGCGACAGAGCGAGACTCCGTCTCAAAAAAAGAAGTCTTAGATCTGCACAGTCACCCAGAAAGGCAGAAGACAACCAAGGTGGGATGCATTAGGGTGACTTTAAGACTCCTGACCCTAACTCTTTCCCTGGGAGCCTGCAACAAAGCAGACTGGGGCTGCTCAAGGAAAGGAGAGGGCAGTACATGTATCTCAGTACTACCAACCACAGAACTGATCCAGAGAATTGGAGAATGAAGCTGTGCCACAGTCCTGATGTGAGAAAGACGTTATTACCAAGAGGAATAAAGGGGAGGGGCAGAGACTAACTCAGGTCACAGTTAAGTATGAGTACCTTACCCAGGGAGGATATAAGTGTCAAGGTCTCCAGCATCACATCATGGTACAGGCATCCCTGAGCCTCATTAAGAAGACTCCATTCCTCCAGGGAAAAGTTTACAGCCACGTCTTCAAAGGTCACACTGCTCTGTTATGATGGGGATAGATGAAACCATAAATGGCCCCTGTGCTGAAGACCCACAATCCACTTCCCCAACATATCTACCCTTGCCCATCCTCCTTCTCCCAGGATCCCCAACTCAGAGGAGAAACTTTGCCCACTAGTGCCACTGTGTCCTCATGGGACCACTGATCATGACACATAGCCATCAGCAACAAGAGGCAGATAAACAAATAGATATCTATGCTGTGATCCTGAAATAAGGGGTTCCATCCCCTCCTTTCTAGCAATTCCCCTGGTATAGCAAAGGTCACATGAATCCCAATGCAGTGCCTAAGAACCTTCAAACATAATCCCTGTGTACCTATACATCCTTCCCATCTTTGGACACCAAAGACACATGTCAATTGCCACCAACACCTAACTCCCCCACACCATAGACCTCTCTCTGGCCTTGCCAGAAGTTAAAGTATTTTATTCCCCCTTTCTTCTACTGATAAGGGTAGGAGTCTTACCCTAGGGTTATAGTGATGGCCAAACACACAACACCTGATGCTGAACATAAGTCATCAAGAAAGTTAATTAATCAAATATGCTCACAACTTGAGAGAAGAGGACACCACTCACCACAGATAGCCACATGGGGGTTGCACTATGCATAAGAGAGAGCAACCAGGGACTGTGGTATGTAAGCTTTTCTGAATCAAGAAGGTGTGATAGCCCCTGATTCCCTTGAAAGGATGCAACTGGCTTGTTTTTAATTTTTGAGACAGGGTCTCGCTCTGTCACTCCTGCTGGAGCGTAGTGGTGCAATTACAGCTCACTGCAGCCTGAACTTTCCAGGTTTCAGGGATCCTCCTACCTCAGCCTCCCGAGTGGCTGGGACCATAGGTGTGCGACACCACACCCAGCTGTAACTGGCTTGTTTGAATTAACTCTGTGTGTAGAAATGAAATTCAAACTTGCTACAAATAAATAATAAACAGGAACTCTGCTTAGTCCTCTTGATTAAAAGGGTAGTTAGGCTAGGACACATTATACAAAAGAGCAGAGTGGGAAGGGGGATTTGTACTCAGACCATTTGAGGTAATACTAGTATCACCAGATATGAAGGTAGCACATGATATTGACCTTAAATTTAGGGCTCACACCATAATGTGGCTGACATCATCCACAGTAGTCTTGGTGAATTAAAAAGCAATCCAAAATTATCACAGAATTCCAATGGTTCCTAATAGCAGTGGTAGTACCAAGTCATTATACGAAGCCCTCCATGCATAAATCCACAGGAAAAAAGAACGTTAGTGTTTTCAGGTATTCATGGCCCTATTCCACTTCTGTGCTGCATTTGTTATCTTCAGAAATTATGACTTTCTTCTGTCCACCTAACTCCATTCAAAGCCTAGACCCATTGGCCGTCAATCTCGGGCCTAGTGACTCTCACAAGGTGACCTTATTTGCCTCCATATCCACCAGGCTGAATGAAACACCCCAGGCCCCACAAAAGTCATCTCAATATCGTGGTGTGGCCACAGAGTGGCGAATTAGCACAAGGTCCAGGCTGAGTGTCATCTTCCCTCAGCTACTCCTATGCTTCTGCTTGCATCTCATGTCTATTCATTCCTTGGAAGCCTATGTCACCTGCCAAACTAGGCTACCAGATATATTCTCCCTTCATGGCCATTTACCTCCCTCACCTGTTTTCTGAAGTACAATACCATCACCAGGTACACAAGCAGGCAACCCAACCTCCACTTCCTGTCTTCCTAGTAGTGTCACCACCATAATCTGAAGGTTGCCCCTTCCAAATGTGATCCATGACTCACTCATCTTGCTCCACACAGTGGCTACCATATATTGGATAGCTCCAATATTAACCCTTCCCCAGATATTTGCATCCATGGGTTTAGGTGCCCATTTGATAGCTCCACTAAGTATTATCTATTACATTTCAGAATCTTAACATGGCTGTGGTATTGTGAAATATATATTTGGTCATCTCCTTTCCTGGCATGGAACTCCTAAAATTCATGAAACTCTCAAATTTATAAGTGACTTTGAATGGTAATGAGTTGAATGATGGTTGGTAACCCCTAGATAACTTCAGGATGGAGACTGGTCAGGGAAAAGACTGTCAGGATTTGAGCATCTGGACTAGGGCAGTAGCTTCCAGTTTGATCTTCCTCCTCCCTCAACCCCACAGTCTGTTGTCCACTCTGTAACCAGACAGAACCTGTTAAAACACTGGTAACATCATTTAACCCCCTCCAGTTTCACTTTCTTTTTTTTTTCGCGATGGATTCTCACTTTGTTGCTCAGGCTCGAGTGCAGATTGGCACAATCTTGGCTCATTGCAGCCTCCATCTCCCAGGTTCAAGGGAGTCTTACACCTCAGCCTGCGAGTAGCTGAGATTCCAGGCACCCGCCACCATGCCCAGCTGATTTTTGTATTTTTAGTAGAGACTGGGTTTTACCATGTTGGCCAGACTGGTCTAGATCTCCTGACCTCAAGCGATCCACCCGCCTTGACCTCCCAAAGTGCTGGGATTACAGGCGAGAGCCACCACGCCCGGCCTCTCCAGTTTCACTTCTAAGCCATTTCCACATCCCAGTATCATTCCTGGGTTAATCCACCACATGTGTTTCCCACCGGTCGACAGACATGAAAACACTTCTCCATAGCCTGTGTCAGTGACTTAGGTTTGGGGTTTGAGGATTTTGCAAGATCCCCAGATCGAAGGACAGGAGAAATTGCACTTAAGAGTCCTAGGAGGCCTGGCCAGACCAGCGGCTCACGCCTGTAATCCCAGCACTTTAGGAGGCCAAGGCGGGAGGATTGCTTGAGCCCAGGAGTTTTCGACCATCTTAGGCAACATGGCAAAACCCCGTCTCTATTAAAAACACAAACATTAGCCAGTTTCTCGGGAGACTGAGATGGGAGGATCACCTGAGCCTGGGGAGGTCAAGACTATGCTGAGCCATGATCGCGTCACTGCACTCCAACCTGGGTACCAAGAGTGACACTCTGTCGCTAAATAAATAAATTCCCAGGACATTAAGATCTAGACATATAGGTGAGGATGAGGACCAGTGAGGGACTAGAGCATCCTATACTTCCTTCTGTGGGTTCCTTAAATACTTCCATAGCCATGAGAAGGTGTGCCAAAAGGCGGAGCTTTCAGGAATGTGTCCCTGCTGGGATTTGATAGACTCAGGTTTCTCTGTAAGCTTTTTTTGGCCCTGTAGCCAGGTGACCTCAGGCTGAGTCTCTAATCTTGTGGCCCAGTGCTCAATGTCACCTCTTACCAGCTACGTGACCTTGAGCAAATATTCAACCTCTCAATGCCTCACTGTCCTCATCACCGCCTTACACTCCGTTCTTCCTTTGAACATCTTTTCGGAATCTTTAACTCTAACACAGATTTCCTCCTTTGTTCAAAACTGTCCATGGCTTCTACGGTCCTCACAAAGATCAATCCTCAGCCTGGTACTGAGGAAATAACTCCGACTCATACTTTGTTCTCAGTGGACACAAGATGTCCCTGTGTTCCGAATCCTCCTGGCGCAGTCGTGCCTCCAGGCCTTTGCCTAAGCCGGTCCCTCGGCCAGTCTCGCTCTCCCGACCGCATCAACCGGTGTCGGAAACAGGGATTCCACCCGCCGGCGCCTCTAGGTCCCTGACAGAGGCCTGAGCTGCAAGGACGCGAGGAAGCGCCCCTCACAGTCAGGGGTCTCAGGGTCTGTGTGGGGATGGCGGGTGAGGCCTGGAGGTCGCAGGGCTCACTTGAGCGGCCGCCGCCACGACTTCATGCGCGGGCGGGGACGCAGGCCAGGCGGTTCCTGTGCTCGTCCTGTCCCAGGTCGCGACCAGCGGCGTCGCCAAGCCTCAGATCCGCCTGTGTGCAATGGGCACAACCACTCCTCTCGCGCGCTCTCGGTCCTGACAAAGAGGTACAGACGCAGCATAGGTGGATGGTCCCGACAAGCCAAAATGGCCACCGCGGCGAGGACGCAGGAAGTCCCTGCTTGACGTTACGTGCCTCCGCAATGGCGCGGCTTCTCTGAGGCTTCAATGGGCTTTCCAATTCACAGAGACGATTCCGGGTAATATTTAAGTTCCGAGAGACGCGCGGCGCTTAAAGGCCGCCTCCAACCTGACTTTCGGAAGAAGGGGCTAAGCTCCACCGCGACGGGCGTTAGGAAATGGCAACTCCAGGTCCAGTTGCAGAGGAGGCTCCCCCATCTTAGAAGAGGCCATACGCGCATTTCTGCGGGTACTGTGTGCAACCGATTACCCGTGTGTTTGGAGACTTATTTCAGAATTTGTGATGCTGAGCTTCTTCGCAGATCTAAGACATCATTTGAGATGCCATCAAGAGCCACGAATCAAAATGGACATTTCATTACATAGGGTCATAAAGACATAAATTGCATCTACTGGAAGCTAAAGCTAGTGTGTGTGTGTGTGTGTGTATATATATATATATATATATATATATATATATATATATTTTTTTTTTTTTTTTTTTTTTTTTTTTTTTAGAACGGAGTCTGGCTCTGTAGCCCAGGCTGGAGTGCAGTGGCGCGATCTCGGCTCACTGCAAGCTTCGCCTCCCGGGTTCACGCCATTCTCCTGCCTCAGCCTCCCGAGTAGCTGGGACTACAGGTGCCCACCATGCCCGGCTAATTTTTTTGTATTTTTAGTAGAGACGGGGTTTCACTGTGTTAGCCCGGATGATCTTGATCTCCTGACCTCGTGATCCGCCCGCCTCCGCCTCCCAAAGTGCTAGGATTACAGGCGTGAGCCACCGCGCCCGGCATAAAGCTCATAAATATTTTTAAAGGCTATATATACATATAATACATATGAATGTATATGCATGCTTTGTACTACACATAAATTTGTAAAAATTTCATTATGATTTGAAAATTAACCAGTTATTTTAAATGGAATGAGAATTAAAAAGTATTACAGTAACATTCTGACTTAGAATATTGACATAATATTCATTCATTACTTATATATATGTTTTGTTGAGACGGTGTCTTGCCCTGTCGCCCAGGCTGGAGTGCAGTGGTGTGATCTCAGCTCACTGCAACCTCCGCCCGGAGGGTTCAAGCAATTCTCCTGCCTCAGCCTCCCAAGTAGCCAGGATTACAGGAATGTGCCACCACACCCAGTTAATTTTTGTATTTTTTAGTAAAGACAGGGTTTCACCATGTTGACTCGGCTGGTCTCAAACTCCGGACCTCAGGTGATCCACCTGCCTTGGCCTCTCAAAGTGCTAGGATTACAGGCGTGAGCCACTGCTCCAGGCCAGTAGTCACTTATATTTTATCAGGCACATTTTACTGAACTGGATTTTATTATCTTATTTATTTGAGATGAGTCTCACTCTGTCGCCCAGGCTGGAGTGCAGTAGCACATCTCGGCTCACTGCAACCTCCGCCTCCCGGGTTCAAGCAAGTCTCCTGCCTCAGCCTCCTGAGTAGCTGGGTCTACAGGCACATGCCGGCTCGTCCGGCTAATTTTCTGTATTTTAGTAGAGACAGGGTTTCACCGTCTTGCCCAGGGTGGTCTCGAACTCCTGAGCTCAGGCAACCCGCCTGCCTCAGCCTCCCAAAGTGCTGGGATTACAGGCGTGAGCCACCGCACCCGCATGAACTGAATTTTTTTAAAGAGACTATGTCGCCCAGGCCTTACTCAAACTCGAGCTCATGTAATCCTCCTGTTTCAGCCTTCTGAGAAGCTGGGACTACAGAGCCATGGTGCCTGGCTTTAAAGTAAATTTCTTAAGAGTCTAAAATTCTCCAGCTTCCTAGTGCATTCAAATGAAGAATGATTGAAATAAAAATGCTACTTGTTTTCCCAAGTTATTCTCTGTTGCTAACATTTTATTAATTTGAAAAAGTAAAACTTGCATTAAAATTCTGGAAAGAAAAAAAAATGTCTCCTAATAAACCAGAAACTTAACTATGGAAACAGAAGATTCAGTATGTAGAATAATGTACTCTAACAGCATTTGCCACTGTGCATTTTAGGATCATGAATTGGATCAGTTTAAAGATATTTGAAAAATAATTAATTAGGCTGGGCATGGTAGCTCACGCCTGTAATCCCAGTACTTTGGGAGGCCGAGGCGGCTGGATCACCTGAGGTCAGGAGTTCAAGACCAGCCTGGCCAACAATGGTGAAACCTCATCTCTACGAAAAATAGAAAAATTAGCCAGGCGTGGTGGCAGGCACCTGTAATCCCAGCTACTCGGGAGGCTGAAGTAGGAGAATCACCTGAACCTGGGAGGCAGAGGTTGCAGTGAGCTGAGATTGTGCCACTGCACTTCAGCCTGGGCCACAGTGAGACTCCGTCTCAAAAAAAAAAAAAAGAAAAAAAAAAAAGAAAGAATTAATTAACCAGGTAGACCAAGTAGAGGTTAGTAAAGTTACTTGTTTTAGAGTAAGTAATTCAAGGAGAAAATATACTACAACAAATTTATTTATTTATTTATTTTTTTGAGACGGAGTTTCACTCTATCACCCAGGCTGGAGTGCAGTGGAGCCATCTTGGCTCACTGCAACCTCCACCTCCCAGGTTCAAGCAATTCTCCTGCCTCAGCCTCCCGAGTAGCTGGGACTGCAGGTGCATGCCACCACACCCGGCTAATTTTTTATTTTTAGTAGAGACGGTTCGCCATGTTGGCCAGGCTGGTCTCAAACTCCTGACTTCAGATGATCTGTCTGCCTCAGCCTCCCAAAGTGCTGGGATTACAGGTGTGAACCACCATGCCCGGCCAACAACAACAAATTTACATAAATTATGTAAAAATTTATCAGGGAATATATTGATTTATATATCACATTAAAATTGAACAAAACTAAGAAATTACTAGCATAATCAAAATACCAAAAAGTTAGAATGATAAAGCACACTAATATATTGAGAATAGGAAGGAAATCTAAATATTTTGTACAGAAATTTTCTTTTTCTTTTTTTGAGACGGAATTTTGCTCTTGTTGCCCAGGCTGGAGTGCAACAGCGTGATCTCGGCTCACCGCAAACTCCACCTCCCAGGTTCAAGCGATTCTCCTGCCTCAGCCTTCCCAAGTAGCTGGGATTATAGGCATGCGCCACCAAGCCCAGCTAATTTTGTATTTTTAGTACAGATGGGGTTTCTCCATGTGGGTCAGGCTGTTCTCGAACTCCTGACCTCAGGTGATCCACCCACCTTGGCCTCCCAAAGTGCTGGGATTACAGGCGTGAGCCACCAAGCCTGGCCTTATACAGAAATTTTCACATAAATTTTAGTCATATATAAGCAGAACAGGCCGGGCACGGTGGCTCACGCCAGTAATCCCAGCACTTTGGGAGGCTGGGGCGGGTGGATCACCTGAGGTCAGAAGTTCAAGACCAGCCTGGTCAACATGGTGAAACCTCGTCTCTACTAAATATACAAAAAATTAGCTGGGTGTGGTGGTGGACAACTGTAATCCCAGCTACTCGGGAGGCCGAGGCAGGAGAATCGCTTGAACCCAGGAGGCGGAGGTTGCAGGGAGCCAAGATCGTGCCACTGCGCTCCAGCCTGGGCAACAAGAGCAAAACTTTGTCTCAAAAAAAAAAAAAAAAAAAAAAAAAAGAAATGTTGTATTAATTATACAGACAAGAGCCTACAGATCCTAAAAGTGCTCTCATTACTAAAAACTTTGTCTTTATAAACTACAGATTTTCTCTGACTACAAAGGTTTTGTGGGAATATAATTAGGGTGTTATCAAGAAAATTTTGGTTGGGCGTGGTGGCGCACGCTTGTACTCCCAGCACTTTAGGAGGCTGAGGCAGGCGGATCATCTGACGTCAGGAGTTTGAGACCAGCCTGGCCAACATAGCAAAACCCCGTCTCTACTAAAGATACAAAAATTATCCGGGCATGGTGGTGGGCACCTGTAATCCCAGCTACTCTAGAGGCTGAGACAGGAGAATGACTTGAACCTGGGAGGTGGAGGTTGCAGTGAGCTGAGATCACGCCATTGCACCCCAGCCTGGGCAACAAGAGTGAAACTCTGTCTCAAAGAATAAAAAATAAAAGAGAAAATTTCACTCTCCACGGAAGTGACAGGAAGATATGTATCAGCGAGTGTGAGTGGTCATAACATGGTTAATCTGAATAAGCCATTTTATGACTTCTAGATGACATCCCACACACCTGTATTGATTCAGAATCACTGGACATCTTTCCAGCAAGGGAATAAAATACTAGTAACTGAAAATAAAATGTACCTATAAAACATGATGTCATTAAGTAACATTTAGGGATTGACATGTTTTACATCCTTAACTATCTTGCTATTTGTAATTTACAATTTTTATTCATGTAACTTAAGTATTTTTCCATTCACTAAATGGGACAGGAAGTTTTAACTCTTGCATTCAACACGTTAATGCAATAGCCCTGCAGCTCGCATTTGTAAATCATGTTCCCAAAAGGATAAAAATGCATATACAAAAAATGTTATAAGGACACTAAACATCTACTCAAAAAAGTCTTCTTGTTCTTCACTTTATGTGAGTAAAGCTTTTTTTTTTTTTTTTTTTTTGAGACAGAGTCTTGCTCTGTCGCCCAGGCTGGAGTGCAGTGGTGCGATAATTTCTCATCATCCACCCTCCATCACTTCTAAATTGTCTAAGATATGACAATTTCTTCTAAGATTTTGACACTTATCTGGGAATAGTAATTGTTTATTAAATCAATATTTGCCATGGTGGTTGCAATGCTGACATTCCTGCAGGTGTGGAATAAGACCATCTGATTCCTGAGAAATTATCTTGTATTCCATGATCCAACCTCCTTGCTAGGAAGTGATTATCATTTCACCTGTAGGTGCAGTGATAGTGTCTGCATGAAGACTGGGGATTATCTCTGAAAAACAGCTGAGGACTAAGCTAATTACAAAGTTATTAATGTGGATTCAGAGAGTTATCCATTGACAATGGCATAAGTAGCTAGTAAAGTTTCTGTGATGGCCAAGAACACATTAAGTCTCAGTGGATAGTAAGTAGAGGACAGTAAGCTCTAAGTTCTCAGATAATTAAGTGAAACTCATGGCTATCCTGAAAACTTGGCTAACATGAAATTCTTATTTCAATGAAGTGCGTATCCTTTCCATTTATGGGAACTCTGAGGAAGAACAAAAACTTGGAGAGAAAGAAATAGTATGGCAGGAGTTGAAAGATATGGAATAATAGAAGGGAAGCCATAGCGTATGTGTAGAAAAAAATAAACTTTTCCTCTATTGTCTGTCACACAACACAACAACAATCAATATGGAATAATTCTGTGACCAGATGTGCAGGGTGTTTTCCACACACACCAAGCAATCCTCCCGTGGACACAAGCTGGGGGTCCTCCAGTTCAACTCAGTCATTATCTACCTGCAGATAGCATCACATCCCCCAGTTTGAGGACTCAGTCACCAAGACTGAGGCTCCCATTTCTGATGACAATCAAAGCCCCAGAGCCTCTGCTTTTGACTGATGAGCTATAAACCACAAATCCCGTGGACCCCACAACTGGATTTGACTAATTTGATAGAATGGCACATAAAACTCAGGGAAAATAACTTACTGGTTAATTATAAATAGTACAAAAGATGCAGATAAAGAGATGCATAGGGTAAAGTATGAGAAAAGCACTTGGAGCTTCCATGCCCTCCTGCAAAGACTGAAGGTGTCTTAAGCAACAAGGCCTTTATTATAACACAAATCAGGGCAATAGGTGGCAGGCTGTCTGAGATTCATGACTGGCAGGCTGGAAAATTCCATCTTAAGAACTCTGTGAGATCCAAAAGATCCCTGAAAAAGGTAGTCCATTTTTTCAAGTTATCAGAAGAGTCCTCTGTGCCAAAAATGAGTCAGGTTCATGGCCTAACTCATTGGAGAGAAAGAAATGAGAATAGAATGAGTGCTGAGGATACTAAAAAATCCCTCTGTTGAATGAAACAAAATCAAAGTTACTTCTGGATCATGATGAGTTAGGCGAATGATGTACTGTGGGCACCTGCCAAGTGGTAAAGGTGAAATGCTTTTTAGAAGAGAACTGTAAGTCACAGAAGTCTAGCAAGAGACCTGGGCAGGTCGAAAAATACTATGCAGTTCCCACATACCTGGAATGTATGCAGCTATTTGATGTATGACATTCAATTTAGGCAGATGGCATCCTCATAAGGGGTTTCCTCCAGTGTTATATTGAAGAAAAAATAATATTACCTCCACATCTGTGGTATTTTCCTCATGTAAATATTGTGGTAACCAATGAGAGAGGGCTGAAGGCTTTCTCACATTCATTGCACTCAAAAGGCACTTCTTCAGTGGGAGCACTCTTTTATGTAAAGAAGCTAGCATTCTAGCTAAAGAATATTCCCCATTTGTCACACTCATAACACCTTGATCTGGTGTGAACTCTCTGGCCTTGAAGGAGCAAAAAGCCTGGGCAAGAGAATTTCCAAAATTTGCTTCACTTATAAGGCCTCATTCCAGTATGAACTCTCTGATGGCGACGGAACGAAGAACTGTGGCGAAATGATTTTCCACAATCAATGCATTCATATGGCCTTTCTCCAGTGTGAACTCTCAAGTGTTTAATAAGGCTGGAGTTTTCAGCAAAGGATTTCCCACAGTCACTGCACTCATAAGGCCTTTCTCCAGTGTGAACTCTCAGATGTATAATAAGGCTAGATTTTCGGCTAAAGGATTTCCCACACTGCCCGCACTCATGCCTTTCTCCAGTATGAACTCGCTGATGGTGAATGAGGTTGGACCTTAAGCTAAAGGATTTCCCACATTCACTACATTCATAAGGCCTTTCTCTAGTGTGAACTCTCTGATGCTGCAAGAGTGAAGAGCTTCGGCGAAATGATTTTCCACACTCAACGCATTCATAAGGCCTTTCTCCTGTGTGAACTCTCAAGTGTTTAATAAGACTGGAGTTTTCAGCAAAGGATCTCCCACATTCACTGCACTCATAAGGCCTCTCTCCAGTGTGAATCCTCCTGTGTTTAATGAGACTAGATGTATAAGCAAAGGACTTCCCACATTCATTGCATTCATAACGCTTTGCTCCAGAGTGAACTTTCCTGTGGTTAATGAGACTGGACTTTTCAGCAAAGGCTTTCCCACATTCAATACACTCATAAGGCCTTTCTCTAGTGTGAAGTGTCTGACGCTGCAAGAGTGAAGAGCTTTGGTGAAATGATTTTCCACACTCACTGCACTCATAGGTCTTTTGCCCAGTATGAAATCTCTCATGAATATGGAGTGTAGGCTTTTGGTGAAATAATTTCCCATATTTGCTGCACTCATAAGGCCTTTCTCCAGTGCGAACATTCCTGTGTTTGTGATCTCTTCTGGGTTCAGTGAGGCAGGACTTGTTCTTAAATAATTTCCTATATTCCCCACACTCATAAGGCCTTTCTCCACTATGACCTCCCTGGTCTTTGTATATATGTATACACGTGCTCTGCTTAGAAGGTGCTGCCTCATCTTCCCCTCCATGCCAACAACCTAAAAGCAAAGAAATGCTGGTGAGGTACATGTTGACTTTGTTGAGTATGCAGCCTACCCACAAGAGTATCTGACAAACCAAAAAACTAGTCTATGGAATTATTTGCACAAACAGGGAGTTGGGTTCAGGTTGAGGTTGGGGCTGCTTAGCATTATCACAGATATAGAAGGCCTCATATTGTCAAGGGCATGACTAAATGAGTCAACAGACAGAATAAAGGCAGGGTCTATAACTCCTTCATTTGCAAACAACTTGCCTGTGGAACCTTATTTGCTGATGACGTGTGAGTACTATATAAATATGTCCAGGCCCCCCCCAACATGACTAGAGCACAACATCCTTTGGTCAGGGACTGTTAAGAATAGGTATATACGTGGCCGAGAACCGTGGCTCATGCCTCTAATCCCAGCACTTTGCGAGGCCGAGGTGGGTGGATCACAAGGTCAGGGGTTTGAGACCAGCCTGGTCAACAACCAACATGGCAAAACCCCATCTCTACTAAAAATAAAAGTTAGCCAGGTGTGGTGGCATGCACCTGTAATACCAGATACTCGGGAGGCTGAGGCAGGAGACTTGCTTGAACCTGGGAGGCGGAGGTTGCAGTGAGCCTAGACTGTGCCACTGCACTCCAGCGTGGGCAACAGAGCAAACTGTCTCAAGAAAAAAAAAAAAAAAAGATTATATACTCCATAGAGGCTGGGCGCGGTGGCTCACACCTGTAATCCCAGCACTTTGGGAAGTTGAGGGGCGTGGATCACCTGAGGTCAGTTCAAGACCAGCCTTGCCAGCATGGTAAAACCCTATCTTTACTAAAAATACCCCAAAAATTAGCCGGGCGTGGTGGTGGGCCCCTGTAATCCTAGCTACTCAGGAGGCTGAGGCCAGAGAATCACTTGAACCTGGGAGGCGGAGGTTGCAGTGAGCCGAGATCGCACTATTGCACTCCAACCTGGGAAACAAGAGCGAAACTCCATCTCAAAAAAAAAAAAAAAAAAAAAAAAAAGAATGGGTATATACTTCGTAATACAAAATACATGAGCCAATATTGAAGACCACTGCAGACAGAGCCGTGAGAAAAATAGGTGAGACGTGGAGTCCAGATATATGAAAATTAGTCCTGGGCTGGATGTAACAGCAGAAGCAACAAGGTGTAGGACTAATAAACTGGCACTCTCAAGAATGGGGAAGGAAAGACATAAAGTGGGGCTACTTCTATTGGCATGAAAATACTAGTCAAATAGAAGAGGTCTATGGCATAATTTGAATAGAGCCCTGATGTCATGACCTTACTCACATGCTATTCTTCAGAACCAAGCTGCCCCAAGTCCTTGCTAAGGCTGGACTCATTTACATCTTAGGGACAACCACGGGCTCTTCATTTCACCACCAAGATGAGCAACTACATGGAAACTCGATAATGTAAGTACTAAGGGAAAAATAGGACAGACGAACAGCCAATGCTGGCTCAGAACAACTCTGCATTTGATATTCCACAGGAAAAGAAACTAAATATTACAAAAAGAATTCCTTCCTATATATTTTTAGAGATGAGGACCTGCTATGTTGGCCAGGCTGGCCTCAAACTCCTGGGCTCCGAGTAGCCTCTGAAGAGCTGGGATGACAGGTGTTATTGTGCCTGATGAAATACTACAAAAAGAATTTTGAAGTAGGGTATTGCAAGAATAGGCTGTGGTTCATGTACATAATGACCACATCAGTGACGACAATTCGTAGCATGAACAAATGTGAACTAAAGGAGGGAAACGGAACTTGAGACAAACAGAAGCCTTGGATCTGCACAGTCACCCAGACAGGCAGAGGACAACCAAGGTGGGAGGCATTAGGGTGACTTTAAGACTCCTGACCCTGACTCCTTCCCTGGAAGCCTGCAACAAAGCAGGTTGGGGCTGCTCAAGGAAAGGACAGGGCAGTACGTACACCTCAGTCCGACCAACAACAGAACCTCTCCAGAGAACTGGAGAATGAAGCTGTGTCCATGGTCCTGGTGTGAGAAAGAGATAAGGCATAAAGGTGAGGGGCACAGACTAACTCAGGTCACAGGTGAATATGAGTACCTTACCCAGGGAGGATATAAGTGTCAAGGTCTCCAGCATCACGTCACGGTACAGGCATCTCTGAGCCTCATTAAGAAGACTCCATTCCTCCAGGGAAAAGTTTACAGCCACATCTTCAAAGGTCACACTGCTCTGTTATGATGGGGATAGATGAAACCACAAATGGCCCCTATGCTGAAGACCCACAGTCCACTTCCCCAACATATCTACCCTTGCCCATCCTCCTCCTCCCAGGATCCCCAACTCAGAGGAGAAATTTTGCCCACTAGTGCCACTGTGTCCTCATGGGACCATTAATCATGACACATAGCCGTCAGCAACAAGAGGCAGATAAGCACACAGGTATCTATGCTGTGGTCCTGAAATAAAGGGTTCCATCCTCTCCTTTCTAGCAATTCCCCTGGTACAGCAAAGGTCACATGAATCCCAGTGCAGTGCCTGAGGCCTTTCAAACATAATCCTTATGTACGTACACATCCTTCCCATCTTTGGACACCACAGACACATGCCAATTGCCACCACCACCTAACTGCCCACACTATAGGCCTCTCTCTGGTCTTGCCAGAAGTTACAGTATTTTAATCCCCCTTTCTTCTACTGGTAAAGAGTAGGAGTTTCACCCTAGGGTTATGATGATGGCCAAACACAACACCTGACGCTGAACACAAGTCATCACGAAAGTTCATTAATCAAATATGCTCAGCGCTTGAGAGAAGAGGACACCACTCACCACAGAGAGCCACATGGGGGTTGCACTATGCATAAGAGAGAGTGGCCGGGCGCGGTGGCGCACGCCTGTAATCCCAGTAATTTGGGACGCCGAGGCGGGTGGATCACCTGAGGTCAGGAGTTCGAGACCAGCCTGACCAACAAGGTGAAACCCCGTCTCTACTAAAATACAAAAATTGGCTGGGTATGGTGGCATGCACCTGTAGTCCCAGCTACTCAGGAGCCTGAGACAGGAGAATCATTTGAACCCAGGAGATGGAGGTTGCAGTGAGCCTAGATGGCACCACTGCACTCTAGCCTGGGCAACGGAGCAAGACCCTGTCTCAAAAAAAAAAAAAAAAAAAAGAGCAACCAGGGATTGTGGTATGTAAGCTTTGCTCAATCAAGAGGGTGTGATAGTCCCTGATTCCCATAAAAGAATGCAACTGGCTTGTTTTTATTTTTAATTTTTGAGACAGGGTCTTGTTCTGTCACTCCTGCTGGAGCATAGTGGCACAATCACAGCTCACTGCAGCCTGAACTTCCTGGGTTCCAGCAATCCTCCCATCTCAGCCTCCTGAGTAGCTGGGACCACAGGTGTGCGATACCACACCCAGCTGCAACTGGCTTGAGTAACTCTGTGGGTAGAAATGAAATTGAAACCTGCATTGGGTGCGGTGGCTCACGCCCACGCCTATAATCCCTGCACTTTGGGAGGCCGAGGTGGGCAGATCACGAGGTCAGGAGATCGAGACCATCCTGGCTAACATTGTGAAACCCCGTCTCTACTAAAAATACAAAAATTAGCCGGGTGTGGTGGCGGGTGCCTGTAGTCCCAGGTACTCAGGAGGCTGAGGCGGGAGAATCATGAACCCAGGAGGCGGAGCTTGCAGTGAGATGAGATCTGCCACTGTACTCCAGCCTGGGCGACAGAGCGAGACTCCGTCTCAAAAAAAAAAAAAAGAAAAAAAGAAACTGAAACCTGCTACAAATAAATAATAACCAGGAACTCTGTCTAGTCCTCTTGATTAAAAGGGTAGTTAAGCTAGGACACATTATCCCAAAGAGCAGAGTGGGGAGGGAGATTTGCACTCAGACCATGTGAGGTAGTACTGGTATCACCAGACATGAAGGTAGCACATGATACTGACCTTAACTTTAGGGCTTACACCATAATGTGGCTGACATCATCCACAGTAGTCTTGGTAAATTAAAAAGGAATCCAAAATTACCACAGAATTCCAATGTTTCTCAATAGCAATGGTAGCCCCAAATCATTCTGACGCCCTCCATGCATAAATCCACAGACAAAAAGAACCACTAGCATTTTCAGATATTTATGGTTCTATTCCACTTCTGTGCTGCATTTGCTATCCTCAGAAACTATGACTTTTTATTTATTTATTTATTTATTTATTTATTTATTTATTTATTTATATTTTTGAGATGGAGTTTCACTCTTGTTGCCCAGGCTGGAGTGCAATGGCGCGATCTCAGCTCACCGCAACCTCCACCTCCCAGGTTCAAGTGATTCTCCTGCCTCAGCCTCCCGAGTAGCTGGGATTAGAGGCATTAGCCACCACGCCTGGCTAATTTTATATTTTTTAGTAGAGACGGGGTTTCTCCATGTTGGTCAGGCTGGTCTCCAACTCCCGACCTCAAGTGATCCGCCCACCTCAGCCTCCGAAAGTGCTGGGATTACAGGTGTGAGCCACCGCGCCCGGCTGACTTTTTTTTTTTTTTTTTTTTTGAGACGGAGTTTCACTCTTGTCACCCAGGCTAGAGTGCAATGACACAATCTCGGTTCACTGCAACCTCTGCCTCCCAGGTTCAAGCGATTCTCCTGTCTCAGCCCCCGAATATCTGGGATTACAGGTGCCTGCCACCACGTCAGCTACTTTTTTTGTATTTTTAGTAGAGATGGGCTTTCATCATGTTGGCGACGCTGATCTCGAACCCCCGGCCTCACGTGATCTGCCCACCTTGGCCTCCCACAGTGCTGGGATCACAGGTGTGAGCCACTATGCCCGGCAACTATGACTTTCTTCTGTCCACCTAACCCCATTCAAAGCCCAGAACCACTGGTCATCAATCTCATGCATAGTGACTCTCACAAGGTGACCATATTTGCCTCCACATCCACCAGGCTGAATCAAACACCCCAGGCCACACTAAAGTCATCTCAAAATCTTGGTGAGGCCACAAAGTGGCCAATAAACACAAGCTCCAGCCTGAGTGTCATCTTCCCTCAGCTACTCCTATGCGTCAGCATGCATCTCAAGTCTATTCATTTCTTGGAAGCATTATGTCACTTGCCAAACTAGTCTGTCAGATGTATCCTCCCTTTCCAGCCTAGCCAAGATGGTGAAACCCTGTCTGTACTAAAAATACAAAAATTAGCCAGGCATGGTGGCAGGCACCTATAATCCCAGCTACTCGGGAGGCTGAGGCAGAAGAATCACTTGAACCCAGGAGGCGGAGGTTGCAGTGAGCCGAGATTGCACCACGGCACTCTAGTCTGGGCGACAAAGCAAAACTCTGTCTCAAAAAAAAAAAAAAAAAAAGAAGAAGAAGAAACAGATGTATCCTCCCTTCATGGCCATTTACCTCCCTTACCTGTGTTTCTCAAATCCAATACCATCACCAGGTACACAAGCAGGAAACCCAAACTCTACTTCCTGTCCAACAGTGTCATCAACATAATCTGAAGGTTGTGCCTTCCAAATGTGAGCCATGACTCAATCATTTCAGTCCACACAGTAGTTACCATATATTAGATACCTCCAATATCAACGCTTCCCCAGATATTTGCATCTATGTGTCCAGCTGCCCATTTAATAGCTCCACTAAGTAGTATCTAATACATTTCAGAATCTTAATATGGGTGTGATATTGTGAAATATATATTTGGTCATCTCCTTTTCTGGCATGCAACTCCTAAAATTCATGAAATTCTCAAATTTATAAGTGACTTTGAATGGCAATGAGTTGACTGATGGTTGGAAACCCCTAGATAACTTCAGAATGGAGACCGGTCAGGGAAAAGAGACTATGTCAGGATTCGAGGTCTGGAAATTTCAGCCCCATACCCCAATCTCCAGAAAGGGGAGAGGGGGCCAAAAGTTAAGCTGATCAGCATTGACCAATGATTTAATTAATCATGCCTATGTAATAAAGCCTCCATAAAACCCCATAAAGACAGGGTCTGGGGAGCTTCCAAATAGCCAAACACATGGAAGTTCCTGGATGGTGGTGTGCCTGAAGATCATAAAAGCTCTGGGTCGCTTCCCCTTATGCATCTCTTCATCTGTAACCTTTGTAATAAATACTCTTTAAAATAAACTGGCAAATTAAAGCATCTCCTGAGGTTCTGTGACTGGCTCTAGCAATTTAATGGAAGCCGAGGAAGGGGTCATGGGAACCTGATTTTTATCAAGTCAGTCAAAGGACAGGTAAAAAAAAAAAAACATCCTGGGGCTTGTGATTGGCATCGAAAGGGGTTGGCGGACAGTCCCGTGGGACTGAGACTTCACCCTGTGGGATCTGATGTCCACTGCAGAACTACTTGGTGTATGAGGAAAACCATCCACACATTATCTAGTCACAGAAGTACTCTGTGTTGATTGTTGTGGGGGAGAGCAGAGCAAAAGCAATTTGTATTTTTTTCCACGCAGAATGGCCAAAACAAACCTCCTGATAGCCTCAGTGAATATTACACCTGCTATCAACTTGCTCATCTCAGTTGATGCAGCTCCCATTGCTACAGCTGCTAAGATAAAAAACCCAGGGGTGTTTCCTGAATCCTCTCAAGCTCTCACTGTTCACATTTAAAAATTGAGTTGCCAGGCTGGGCACGGTGGCTCAAGCCTGTAATCCCAGCACTTTGGGAGGCCAAGGCGGGTGGATCACGAGGTCAGGAGTTCGAGGCAGCCTGGATAATATGGCGAAACCTAGTCTCTACTAAAAATACAAAAATTAGCTGGGTGTGGAGGCGCGCGCCTGTAATCCCAGCTACTTCGGAGGCTGAGGCAGGAGAATCGCTTGAACTCAGGAGGCGGAGGTTGCAGTGAGCCAAGATTCCACTATTGCACTCCAGCCTGGGCAACAGGTCCAGACTCCATCTTGGGAAAAAAAAAATTGACTTGCCCCTCTAAAAAACACAAATCCAGATCTAGCCACATTGCCTAAGCCACAACTCTAGTCCATTAATCCTCACCTCGACTAGGGCAGTAGCTTCCAGTTTGATCTTCCTCCTCCCTCAACCCCACAGTCTGTTGCCCACTCAGTAACCAGACAGCGCCTATTAAGAAATTGGTAACATCACCTCACCCCTCTAGTTTCACTTCTAAGTAAGTATTTGCACACCCCAGTATCAGTTCCTGGGTGAACCCTCCACATGTGTTACATTAGTTGACAGACATAGCAACAACTCCCCATAACCTATGTCACTGATGTAGGTTTGGGGTTTGAGGTTTTTCCAAGATCCCCAGATTGAAGGACCGGAGAAATGGCACTTAAGTGTCCTAGGAGGTGCGGTAGTTCCTGCTTGGCATCCCAGCACTTTGGGAAGCCGAAGCAAGAGGACTGCTTGAGCCCAAGGGTTCGAGACTAGCCTGGGCAACATGGCGAAACCCCATCTCTCTCTCTCTCTTTTTTTTTTTTTTTTCAGACGGAGTCTTTCTCTGTCGCCCAGGCTGGAGTGCAGTGGCGCGATCTCGGCTCACTGCAACCTCTGCCTCCCGGGTTCAAGCGATTCTCCTGCCTCAGCCTCCCAAGTAGTTGGGACTACAGGTGTGTGCCACCAGGCCTGGCTAATTTTTTGTATTTTTAGTAGAGGGGGGATTTCACCGTGTTAGCCAGGATGGTCTCAAACTCCTGACCTCGTGATCCGCCCGCCTCGGCCTCCCAAAGTGCTAGGATTACAGGCGTGAGCCACCGCGCCCGGCCGTGAAACCCCACCTCTACTAAAAATACAAAAAGCCAGTTACTCGGGAGACTGAGATGAGAGGCTCTCCTGAGCCCGGAGAGGTCGAGGCCGTGCTGCGCCGTGATCGCGTCACCGCAACCCAGCCTGGGTGTTGAGTGAGAACCCGTCGCCGAAAAAAAAAAAAGATGCCAAGATCTAGACATGTGGGATAGGATGAGGACCAGTGAAGGACTAGAGCATCCCCTACTTCCTACTGTGGATTCTGTAAGTGCTTCTGTAGCCATGAGGTGTGCCAAAAGGCAGGGCTTTCACAAATGTGTCTGTGCTCGGATTTGATAGACTCAGGCTTCTCTGTAAGCTTTTTTTGGCCCTGCAGCCAGATGACTTCAGACTGAGTCTCTAATCTTGTGGCCCAGTGCTCAATGTCACCTCTCAATGATTCAACCTCTCAATGTCCTCATCACTGCCTTCAACTCTGTTCTTCCTTCGAACATCTTTTGGGAATCGCAACTCTAACACAGATTTCCTCCTTTGTTCAAAACTGTCCATGGCTTTTAGCGTCCTCACAGTCAAAGTTCAACCCTCAGCCTGGTACTGAAGAAACAACTCCGCCTCGGCCAGGCGCGGTGGCTCACGCCTGTATTCCCAGCACTTTGGGAGGCCGAGGTGGGCGGATCACCTAAGGTCAGGAGTTCGAGGCCAGCCTAGCCAACATGGTGAAACCCCGTGGTGGCGCATGCCTGTAATCCCAGCTACTCGGGAGGCTGAGGCAGGAGAATCGCTTGAACCGGGGAGGTGGAGCTTGCAGTGAGCCGAGATCGCGCCACTGCACTCCAGCCTGGGCGACAGAGTGAGACTCCGTCTCAAAAAAAAAAAAAAAAAGAAATAACTCCGTATCACACTTCTTTCCCAGTAGACACACGATGTCCCCGTGTTCCGCATCCTCCTGCCTCAGTCGCGCCTGCAGGCCTTTGCCCTCCGCCAGTCTCGCTCTGCCGACCGCATCAACTGGGTGTCGGAAACAGGGATCCCACCCGCCGGCGCCTCTCCGTCCCTGACAGAGGCCTGGGCTGCAGGGACGCGAGGAGGCGGCCCTCACGATCAGGGGCCTCAGGGTCTGGGTGGGTAGGGTGGGTAAGGCCCGGAGGTCGCAGCGCTCACCTGAGCAGGCGCCCTCAGAGCGGCTGCTGCCGCCATGACTCTGGGCGGGGGGGGAACGCGGGCTCGGCGGTGTTCCTGTCGTTGTCCTGTCCCGGGTCGCGACCAGCGGCGTCGCCGAACCTCAGATCCGCCTGTGTGCAATGGCCACAACCACTCCTCCCGAGCTCGTCCAGACCCAGCATCGCCGGATGGACCTGACAGGCCAAAATGGCTGCCACGGCTAGGACGCCGGAAGTCCTGGCTTGACTTTACGTGCCCCGGCAATGGCACGGCTTCTCTGAAGCTTCATTGGCTCAGCCACGTTACCATTTCGCAGGGCGGATTCTGGGTAATGTAGTTCCCAGACATGGGCAGCGCTTAAGGTGGCTTTCTTCCGACTTTCCGAAGAAAGGGGCAAGCTCCACTGCGAGGGGCGCTAGGAAATGGCGACTCCAGGTCCAGATGCGGAGGAGGGTCTCCCATCTTAGAAGAGGCCATACGCACATTTCTGGGGGTACTGTGTGCAACTGATTGCCCGCGTGTTTGGAGACTTCTTATTTCAGAATTTGTGATGCTCGGCTTCTTCCTTTTTTTTTTTTTTTTGTCTTTTTTTTAAGACATAGTTCTCTCTGTCACTCAGGCTGGGGTGCAGTGGTGTGATCTTGGCTCACTGCAGCCTATGCCTCCCGGGTTCAAGCGATTCTCGTGCCTCAACCATCCGAGTAGCTGGGATTACAGGCGTGTGCCACCATACCCTGCTAATTTTTGTATTTTTAGTAGAGACGGGGTTTCCTCATTTTGGCCAGGCTGGTCTCGAACTTCTGGCCTCAAGTGATCTGCCTGCAATGGTCTACCGAAGTGCTAGGATTACAGGCGTGAACCACCGTTCTCAGCCCATTAGCAACACTTTTATTTATATCTTTAACCTACAGATTCCTCTAGAAATCTGATATCAACATCAAAAAGCTAATGAGACAAATGCTATTATGTTACAGGACAATGGCTGCGGTGTTCAAACATGGAGTATGTATGCATGAGAGAAGAGAGAGACCCTCTCACATTGTTTTATATTCAGTAAAAACAACAAGGAAGTAAAACCAAAGACAGGCAACCCCGCGCCAGGCCCGAAACCAGGCCTAGGCCCGCCTGGCCTAAACCCAGTAGTTAAAAATCAACTTATGATTTAGAAGCCGATGTTATTCATAGATTCCTTAGATTGTATAGAAGAACATTGTGAAACTCCCTGCCCTGTTCTGTTCCTCCCTGACCACCGGTGCATGCAGCCCCTGTCACATACCCCTTGCTTGCTCAAATCAATCACGACCCTTTCATGTGAAATCTTTAGTGTTGTGAGCCCTTAAAAGGGACAGAAATTGTGCACTCCGGGAGCTCAGATTTTGAGACAGTAGCTGGCCAATGCTCCCAGCTGAATAAAGCCCTTCCTTCTGCAACTCGGTGTCTGAGAGGTTTTGTCTGCGGCTCGTCCTGCTACATGCACAGGGTGCTTTTACACTGAGATATTTCAAGTGCCTTAAATCCATGCGTTCACCTCTTTGCTGGCAAGTGCTTATCATTGTCAGTGGCATTGGAATCAGAGTGACTCCATCTTGAAAATGGGCTGGATAAAGTAAGGCTGAGAAATACTCGGCTGCATTCCCAGGTTAGGCATTCTTAGTCACAGGATGAGATAGGAGGTTGGCACAAGATGCAGGTCACAAAGACCCTGCTGATAAAACAGGATGCAGTAAAGAAGCTGGCTAAAACGCACCAAAACCAAGATGGTGATGAAAGTGACCTGTGGTCATCCTCACTGCTCATTATACGCTAATTATAATGCATTAGCATACTAACTCCCGCCAGCGCCATGACAGTATACCAATGCCCTGGCAATGTTTGGAAGTTACCCTATATAGTCTAAAAAGGGGAGGGAACCTCAGTTCTGGGAAATCTCCACCTCTTTTTTTTTTTTTTTTTTTGAGATGGAGTCTCGCTCTGTCACCCAGGCTGGAGTGCATTGCTGCGATCTCGGCTCACTGCAACCTCCGCCTCTTGGCCAAGTTCAAGTGATTTTCCTGTCTCAGCCCCCCGAGCAGCTGGGATTATAGGCGCCTGCCACCGCGCCCAACCTGTAAAATTTTCTATACTTAAAAAAAAAGTTGGCTGGGCGCGGTGGCTCACACCTGTAATCCCAGCACTTTGGGAGGCCGAGGCGGGCGGATCACGAGGTCAGGAGATCGAGACCATCCTGGCTAATATGATGAAACCCCGTCTCTACTAAAAATACAAAAAAATTAGCTGGGCGTGGTGGCAGGCGCCTGTAGTCCCAGCTACTCCGGAGCCTGAGGCAGGAGAATGGCTTGAACCCGGGAGGCGGAGGTTGCAGTGAGCCGAGATCACGCCACTGCACTCCAGGCTGGGGGACAGAGCGAGACTCCGTCTCAAACAAACAAACAAACAAACAAACAAAAAAGTTGGCCGGGTGCGGTGGCTCATGCCTGTAATCCCAGGACTTTGGGAGGCAGAGGTGGGCGGATCACGAGGTCAGGAATTCGAGACCAGCCTCACCAACATAGTGAAACCCCGTCTCTACTGAAAATAGAAAAATTAGCTGGGTGTGGTGGCGCATGCCTGTAATCCCAGCTACTCAGGAGGCTGAGGCAGGAGAATCACTTGAACCCAGGAGGCGGAGGCTGCAGTGAGCCAAGATCGCGCCACTGCACTCCAGCCGGGGTGACAGAGGACAGAGTGAGGCTCCGTTTCAAAAAAAAAAAAAAAAAAAAGCTTTCTTGGATTATGCTTTGTATAAATTAAATTGGATATTTAGTGTAAACTTTATTCAGTAATGGAGGTGAGGGTTTCCAGTAGTATTTCTTTCCCCAAACAATCATTTTCTCAGATTTCCCGTGAGTTGGCTCATAAACATGTTGTACCATAAGAAATTGAAATCTCAAAGGCAAGATGGGTCTCCTGTTGGGTCCACACCAAAATTTGTAAATGGGGGAAAAGCATTACCGCTTTGTTAGCCATATCTACTTTTTCTTATCTGAAGCCTCTTTTTGAATCCCTTGGAGTTCCTGTTCAATGGCACTTATTTTGAATGTAGTGACTTTTATAGTTTCATGTGATATTGGTGTCAAGAGAGTCTTTTTGCTGCTGCATCTGCGAAATAATTTTTTTTTACTCTTTGGAGAGGTGAGTTTGAATGTTCAGGAACGTTAATAAAACATTCTTTTTTGATAATCGGATGGCTTCTAAATGATCAGAAACTTGAGAGCCATGTTTAATTAGATATCTGGGGGAGGTTAAGTAACCTCACTGGCCAGGCACAGTGGCTCATGCCTGTAATCCTAGCACTTTGGGGGACAGTGGGGGGGTGGGGGGTGGGGGGGCGGATCATGAGGTCAGGAGTTCGAGACCAGCCTGACCAACATGGTGAAAACCTGTCTCTACTAAAAATACAAAAATTGGCCAGGCATGGTGGCTCATGCCTTTAATCCCAGCACTTTGGGAGGCCGAGGTGGGCAGATCATGAGGTCGGGAGATAGAGACCACGGTGAAACCCCGTCTGTACTAAAAATACAAAAAATTAGCTGGGCGCCGTGGCGGGTGCCTGTAGTCCCAGCTACTCGGGAGGCTGAGGCAGGAGAATGGCGTGAACCCGGGAGGCGGAGCTTGCAGTGAGCCGAGTTTGCGCCACTGCACTCCAGCCAGAGCGAGACTCCATCTAAAAAATAAATAAATAAATAAATTAGCCGGGGGTGGTGGCGAGCGCCTGTAATCCCAGCTACTCGGGAGGCTGAGGCAGGAGAATTGCTTGAACCCGGGAGGAGGAGGTTGCAGTGAGCCAAGATTGCACCACTACACTCCAGCCTGGGCAACAGAGCAAGCCTCTGTATCAAAAAAAAAAAGCCTGATTCCATAACATCCCAAGGTCATGAGCTACACCAATAGCATAATACCTTTAAGTATAAATATTATCCATTTGATTTTTGGCCAGTTGACAAACTGGTGAGTGCTGTTAATTCAGCTAGCTGTGCTGATTTTACTTGAGGCAAGTGATGGCTTTTTTTTTTTTTTGCTTTTTTTTTTGAGACAGAGTCTCCCTCTGTTGCCCAGGCTGGAGTGCAGTGGCGCAGTCTAGGCTCACTGCAACCTCTGCCTCCCAGGTTCAAGCGATTCTCCTGCCTCAGCCTCCCAAGTAACTGGGACTACAGGCGCCTGCCACCACACCCGGCTAATGTTTGTATTTTTAGTAGAGACGGGGTTTCACCATATTGGCCAGGCTGGTCTTGAACTCCTGAACTTGTGATCCGCCCGCCTCAGCCTCCCAAAGTGCTGGGATTACAGGCATGAGCCACCGCACCCGGTGGGATTGCTCTTTCTGATGTCCACAAGAGACACAAGGTTGTAGCCTGCTCAGTATTTTCAAAATGTATCCTTTAGATCCGATCCATCTGTGAACCAGATAATATCAACATTTTTACATGATGTGTCCTATAAATCCTGTCTGGACACCAATTCTGTGAGTAGAATACAGTGATGAAATATTTCATCTGTTGTTTCAGGAAGTTGCACTGCAGGATTAAGAGTATTACAGATAGAGAGGGCAGCATATGAAGCAGACAGTGTAAGTTTGTCATAAGAAACCAATCTATTAATGGAAAATTGCTGTGTATTATGTGAATTCAAAAGAGCTTCTATAGAATGAGGAGCCTCCATTACAATTTTCTGAGTAATCGTAAGGAGCATGGCAGTGGCAAAAATGGCCCTCAGACAAAGAGGTCACCCATGTACTACATGGTCTAATTGCTGACTATAATAACCAATAGCCCTACATTGTCCTCCAGGTTTTTCAATTAGAACACCCAGGGAACTGCCATGCCTTACATGAACAAAAAATCGCAAAAAACAAAGAAAGGAAAAACAGCAGCTAATAATTTGCATGGGCCAAAGCGGGGGCTTGTAAGATTTTTCTTTATTTATTATTTGTCCTTCTGATGTCCAGTGTATGAGGTTAGGCTGATCTTTCTACAATGCATATAAAGTCTGTGGCATTAGAGAAAAATTGGACATCCAGCTATGACAGTAGTCAGCCAAGCCTAAAATCCTGTTGTCTTTTTTTTGTTTGTTTGTTTATTAGATGGAGTTTCGCTCTTGTTGCCCAGGGTGGAGTGTAATGCTGCGACCTCGGCTCACTGAAACCTCTGCCTCCTAGGTTCAAACAATTCTCCTGCCTCGGCCTCCCGAGTAGGTGGGATTACAGGCATGCACCACCACACCTGGCTAATTTTGTATTTTTAGTAGAGACGGAGTTTCTTCATGTTGGTCAGGCTGGTCTCGAACTCCTGACCTCAGGTGATCCATCCACCTCAGCCTCCCAAAGTGCTAGGATTACAGGCGTGGGCCACCGTGCCTGGCCAAAGCTGTCTTTTACTTTTTGGAGTAGGGTATCCAAGAAGTCCGGTTACTCAATCCAGATGTATCTGTAGTTTCTCCCTAGGAATTAATTGTTCCAAATATTTTAGTTCTGTAAGGCAAAACTGGAGTTTTTCTGTAGATAGCTCATAAAGCAAAACTGGAGTTTTTCTGTAGACAGCTTATGACCTCTTTTTGCTTTTTGTTCCAGGAAGTGCAAGGAGTCCTTTTTATAATTATGCAGATTGGAGAAGCATAACAAGAGAAATTTAGCTCAGCTAGGTCAGCCTTTAATATGTGTGAAAAATAAGTTGGGCTTTTGGTGTAACCTTGAGGCACAACAGTCCAGATATATTGATATCCAATCTAGGTAAAGGCAAACAAATACTGTCAGGGTGTATTGGTATGCCTAAAAAGCACTGCATAAATCAACACCAGTGACATATTCACAGTTTACATGTACATTGGATAAAAGAGTGTGGGGGTTTAGAACTACTGGTTGATGAGGAATCACAGTAGTATTTTTTTTTTTTTTGAGACAGAGTCTCACTCTGTTGCCCAGGCTGGAGTGCAGTGGAGTGATCTCAGCTCACTGCAAGCTCCGCCTCCCAGGTTCACACCATTCTCCTGCCTCAGCCTCCCGAGTAGCTGGGACTACAGGTACCCGCCACCACACCTGGCTAATTTTTTTTCTATTTTTAGTAGAGACGGGGTTTCACCGTGTTAGCCAGGATGGTCTCGATCTCCTGACCTCGTGATCTGCTCGCCTCGGCCTCCCAAAGTGTTGGGATTACAGGTGTGAGCCACTGCGCCCGGCCGAATCACAGTAGTATTAATAGTTCTCAAATCTTGTATAAATCTTCATCCTTTCCTGTGAGGTTTTGTGTCAGGAAGATGGGACTATTAGGACTGGTGGAAGGGATAATCAATCCCTTTTCAAGGTAATCTTTGGTTATTTGTTTTATTCCTATTATAGCTTCTTGTTTTGAGATGATGTCTCCCTATGTTGCCCAGGGTGGCTTCAAATTCCTGGGCTCAAGGGATCCTCCTGCCTCAGCATCCTGAGTAGTGTTACCTGAAAAATACCAGGTTCATTCACCTGGTGCATAACAAATGACTTTCCATGAGAACACAGGTTTTTGTTTGTTTGTTTGTTTGTTTTGAGACGGAGTTTCACTCTTGTCACCCAGGCTGGAGTGCAATGGCGGGATCTTGGCTCGCTGCAACCTCCGCCTCCCCAGTTGAAGTGAATCTCCTGCCTCAGCTTTTGGAGTAGCTGGGATTACAGGCACCCACCATCATGCCCAGTTAATTTTTGTATTTTTAGTAGAGGCAAGGTTTCACTATGTTGGCCAGGCTGCTCTTGAACTCCTCACCTCAGGTGATCCATCCGCCTCAGCCTCCCAAAGTGCTGGGATTACAGGCACGAGCCACCTCGCCCGGCCAGAGAACACAGGTATTGATCAATACTTTTATTACTTGGCTCAAGTAAAGAGGACACTGGGAGTATTCTCCAAAGCAGTGTCTCCCTGAGGACAAGTAACAGGAGAGTTTTATGGTATAATGGTGATGGGAGAAGGTGCATCAGTGCATGTAGAATTGGGGTCCCAGTTGCACAGATGCAGTGAGTCATACCAGCACATAGAAAGCATGTTATGGTAATGAAGCTATAGCTCCTTCCAGAGTGGAGACTTCAGCATGTTAATAAGGAAAGTTAACTTGGGTTCATCTACACTGCTTGGGGTCTGTCAGGAGCTGTTTTAGCCCAACAAGGTGACTGCATTCAAACCATGGTTTGGAGAGGTACAGGCAGAAGGGGAGGAGGCTGTAAAACAGGGTAATTGCTCAAGTTGATTATATTCCTATAATCCATGGAGATCCTCCCTGTCTGCTTACAGAGGCTAAAACTACAGGTGTGCAACACCGTACCCAGCTTATAGCTTCCTGCTTCAATGAATACTGTTTAATATTGGGAAGTGGTTTATTTGGAGCCACCTGTATCTGTACTGGTGTGGCCATTAAAATTTTCCCTAAGTCTGTAGACAATTGACACTGTCACCCGAAAAGCGGTCTTGATCCAGACCTCACGAGTGGGACTTTGTCTCAAAAAAAAGAAAAAAAAAAAAGAATTAACAGAATTGACCAAGTTGAGCCGGGCGCATTGGTTCATGCCTGTAATCCCAGCACTTTGGGAGACCAAGGCAGGTGGATCACAAGGTCAGGAGTTCAAGACCATCCTGCCTAACATGGTGAAACCCTGTCTCTACTAAAAATACAAAAAAATTAGCCAAGCGTGGTGGCAGGCGCCTGTAGTCCCAGCTACTCGGGAGGCTGAGGCAGGAGAATGGCATGAACCCGGGAGGTGGAGCTTGCAGTGAGCTGAGATCACACCGCTGCACTCCAGCCTGGGCGATAGAGTGAGACACCATCTCAAAAAAAAAAAAAAAGAAAAAAAAAAAAAACAAGAATTGACCAAGTTGAGGAAAAAATCTCAGAGCATGAAGGCCGGCTCTCTGAAACAACTCAGGGAAAATAAAAAACAGGCCTGGTGCGGTCGCTCACATCTGTAATTCCAGCACTTTGGGAGGCCAAGGCGGACAGATCAAGAGGTCAGGAGTTTGAGACCAGCCTGGCCAACATGGCGAAACCCCATCTCTACTAAAAATACAAAAATTAGCTGGGCGTGGTGGCAGGCGCCTGTAATCCTAGCTACTCGGGAGGCTGAGGCCGGAGAATTGCTTGAACCAGGGAGGCAGAGGTTGCAGTGAGCCGAGGTTGCGCCATTGCACTCCAGCCTGGGCGACAAGAGCAAGACTCAGTCTCAAAATAAAAAAAAGAAAAGAAAAGAAAAAACAACACAGAAGAAAACCTTCAAGAAATATGGGATTATATAAAGTGGCCTATGACTCTTTGGCATGCCTGAGAGACAGGGAGAGAAACCAAGCAACTTGGAAAACATATTTCAGGATATCACTCATGAAAATTTCTCCGACCTCGCTAGGGAGGCCAACATTAAAATTCAGGAAATGCAGAGAACCCCTGCAAAATACTACAAAGAAGACCATCCCTGAGACACATAGTCATCAGATCCTTCCAGGTCGAAATGAAACAGAAAATATTAAAGGCAGCTAGATAGAAGGGACAGGTCACCTATAAAGGGAACCCTGTCAGGCTAACAGCAGACCTGTCAGTAGAAATCCTACAAGACAAAAGAGACTGGATCCCATATTCAGCATTCTCTCTTTTTTTGATTTTTATTTTTGAGACGGAATCTCACTCTGTCACCCAGGCTGGAGTTCAGTGGTGCAATCTCGGTTTACTGCAACCTCTGCCTCCTGGGTTCAAGCAATTCTCATGCCTCAGCCTCCCAAACAGCTGGGACTACAGGCACATACCACCACAACTGGCTAATTTTTTGTATTATTATTATTTTTTTAGTAGAGACAGGGTTTTGCCATGTTGGTCAGGCTGGTCTCAACCTCCTGGCCTCAACCGATCTGCTCACCTTGGCCTCCCACAGTGCGGTTAATTCTTGTGATTGCATTATGAAATTCTTGTAGAGCATTTTTCAGCTCTATTAAGTCAGTCTGGTTCTTTCTTATAAAGGCCATTTTGTCTATCAGCTCCTGTATTATTTTATTGTAATCAATAGATTCCTTGGATTAGTTTTTGACTTTCTCCTGTATGTCAATGATCTTGATTCCTATCCATATTTTGGATTTTATTTATGTTATTTCAGCCATCTCAGTCTGGTTAGGAACTACTGCTGGGGAACTAGTGTGGTTGTTTTGAAGTAAGAAGACACTCTGGCTTTTTCGGTTACCAGAGTTCTTGCCCTGGTTCTTTCTCATCTTTGTTGGCTGATATTTCTTCAATCTTTGAAGTTGCTGAACTTTGGATGGACTTCTTTTTCTTTTATCCTTTTTGGTGCCCTTAAGAGTTTGTGGTATAATGTGGCTCCAGTCAACTGTCTTAATTTCTGGAGCATTTTAGGGGTCCAAGGCTCAGCTCAGGACTACTAGACTGTGTGCTCTAATACACGGGGCCTGGTATCAGGCATCCAGCTTTGTCCTATGATCCCTGGAGGTCAGAAACCTGCCATGCTGGAGGGTCAAGTTGTTCCCAGACTATTGGTAACAACACTCTGAAGGGCAGTGCCAGCCCCAGTGCTTAGGGTGGTGGCAGCAGGATCCATCCTTGTTCCCACATGCCAGCAGCAATGGCAGTGGTGGGGTGTACGTTTATTGGCTGCGATGGAGTGCTGGTGGGTGTAGGGGTGCCAGCCTCCACGTGAGTGTTCACAGTGCTGGTGGTGGCAGCACAACATGGGGGGGTAGGGAAGGGGGTTCCATTGATGTCCCAGTACACATTCACACCAGCAGTGGAGTTAATATGGAGGCAAGGTGCTGGCAGGTGCAGGACTGTTTGTACCCTCTGTGCATGCATTCACGTGGGTAGCAGCTGATACTGGTGAGTGGAGTGTGTCTGCTCGTCTGTGTAGTTTTGTGCTGGTCCAGGGGTGGGGTGCTGGCAGGTGCGGGCTGGCAGTCTCTGGGATCGCAAATGCTCTGACAGCAATGGTGGTGCAGCGAAAAGTTGGGGGGATGAGGTGTGCTCACACTGGCAGCTGTAGCATGACAGGGTGCACATGCACACGCATGCTGGTGGAAAAGAGAAGGCAAGGTCCACTTGCATGCACATATGCTGGCAAAGCAACGTCGGGGGTGGCCATAGGTGAATGCATGCAGGCAAAGTGTCTCAGAGAGGCCGCAGTTTTGGGAAGGTGCAGGTGGGCTGTTGCACGACTATGGGATTTATCAACTGCAGTTCACCAGCACAGGAGCTATGATGTACACCCCCATAAGGGACCCCACCTGGGCAACCGAGGTCGCACTGCAAGCAGGTGTGGGTAGCCTGGAGCCCTGGGAGAGGCCAGCTGACCAAGAGGTGCTCAGGTCCAACCATCCCCAACTTATCGGCAAGAACGCCCTGCACTGATCAGGTCTGACTTCCCTAGGGCTAAAGTCTGTTAGGGAAGCAAGGCGAACCTTGAAATATGGGCGTGTCTAGCTGTGCTCCACTAGAGATGCTCCCACCCCAAATCCTCTGGGCTCTGCACTGGCTGGAGTTCTGTCCCTACCACTTCTCTAAGCAGCTCTCCCTGCCAGCTCAAGTGTTCATGGGGGTCATTGAGTCTCCTGCTGGCAGGTTTCCAAAGTTTCTTTGTGCTGAGCTGCCTTTAGCTGGAGGAGCAGTAACACAAGTACCCCTGTGCCACCACCAATGGGACTATGTGGGGTCAGACCTGTAGCCAGCAGAGAACTGGGTGCTGCCCAAGGCTCATACTGACCACTTCCTGGCTACTCCCTGTTTGTTCAAGGCCCTAGGACTCTACAATCAGCAGGGGGCAAAACCAGCGAGGTTTATGTCCTTCCCTTCAGAGTGGCAAGCTCCTCCCCATCCTAGGCACATTCAGAAAAGCCATCTGCGAGCCAGAGCCTGTAGTGGGAAACCTTAGGAATCTATCTGGTGTTCTACTGCAGGTGAACTGGCACCCAAGCCATAAGACAAAATCCTTCTCACTCTTCCCTCCTGTTTTCACAAGCAGAGGTGTCTCTCCCCATGGTCCTCACCAGTCCAGGACTGTGGGACTCACAGGCTTGTGGTGAGTGCTGCCAGGCTTGGGACACTGTTCAGGGCAGTGGGCTTTCCTCTGGCCATCCAAGAGCCAAGGCCTGAAATTAGGGACCCTAAGAGCCTACTTGGTGCTCTACCCTACTGTGGCCAAACTGGTATCTAAGCGGTAAGACAAAGTCTTCTTTACTCTTCTGTTTCTCAAGCAGGAGTCATTCCTGAAAGCCATCACAGCTGGGAATGTGCTGGGTCACACCTGAAGCCAGCGTCTGAGTCTCACCAATGGCACATGGTGAGTACTGCCTGTGTATTACTGCTGATTATTCAGGGCCCAATGACTCTTTAGTCAGCAGGTGATGGATCCTCCCAGGACTGGATCCTCCCTTTCAAAGAAGTGGGTTCTCTTCTAGCCCAGGGTATATCTAGAAATGTCATTCAGAGCTAGGGCCTAGAATAGGGGCCTCAGCCTGGTGCCCTATCCTACTGTAGCTGAGCTGGAACAAGTTCCAAGACAAAGTTTTCTTTATTCTTCCCTCTCCTCTCCTCAAGTGGAGGGAAGGAGTCTCTCTTGGAGCTGTAAGCTGTGCGGCCTGGAGTTGGGAGAGGGGTATACATTCATCTACCATGTGAGTTGGGCACTGCACACCAAGGCATTCAAACAAGAGAAATGAAACCTTATCTATATGAAGAATTGCATTCAAATGTGCTTAACAAGCAGTTTTATTCCTAACAGACAAAAATAAGAAGCAATAACATATCCATAAGCAGATGAATTCGTATACAGTGATTTCCATAGCATGTCATATTCTAAGATAAAAAGAATGAACTACTCATATATCATGATTGATGAATGTCAAAATATGCATCCCTGCTATGTGAAATAAAAATAATAATAAAGAAAAAAGAAGAACATCTAAATAAATAGGGCTCAGGAGAGTACTCAGGTATGAAAAGAGGAAACATGTTATATCAGTCATATAAAATTCCAGAAAATTGACATTAATCTACTGTTAAGCAAATATTGTAATTCAGTGATTGTCTGGAGCATGGAGAGGCCAGAGAGAAAGATAGTATTTATTTTTTAAGAGACAGGGTCTTACTATGGGACCCAGGCTAGTCTCAAACTTCTTACCTCAAGCAATACTCCCACCCTGGACTCCCAAAGTGTTGGGATAACAGGCATGAGTCACCATGCCCAGTCTTATTACAGCTTTAAAAATTTAATTTGAAAGAACTATCTGGATTTAACATTATTTTTGACAAATAGGTTATGTGATTTTACATTGACTCTCCTAACTCTCATCACGCCCTAAGGGGGGCAATTAGCCTGTGTGATACCAAATACTTATGAGCCAGGAAGATCATTTCCACCTGATTAAATTGGAATGCTGGCTGGTTGCAAAGGCCACATCACTGGACTAAGAGATTTCCTTTCTCCCTATCCTCTTCCTCCTACTAATTCAGGGATGGCTTTTTGGTATGCAGCCCAGATAGGCTACAGAAATCCACAAAACCTTTAGATTTAGTCTGACAATGACCTAAGCTACACTAGATTCATAATTATGGAGGTCCTGAAAATTTCTGTACCTGCTTGTCCATCACAGACATAGTGACTGAATCATTGTGGATGCCTTTTTAAAAAAAGTATATCCCAACTATTCTGTTGCAGTCTGCTTCACTACCTAGAAATGCTAATTCTACAAAAATTATTTTTGGGCTGGGCATGGTGGCTCACACCTGTAATCCTAGTGCTTTCAAGGGCGTATGCTAGAGGATTACTTGAGGCCAGGAGTTGAACATCAGTCAGGGTAAAATAGCAAAACCCTATCTCTATAAAAAATTCTTAAATTACCTGGGCTAATCTCAGGTACTCGGGAGGCTGAGGCAGGAGGATCACTTGAGCCCAGGAGTTTGAGGCCGCAGTGAGGTATGACCATGCCAGTGTATTCCAGCCTGAGTTTCAGAGTGACATCATTTCCCTAAAAAAATAAAAATTAAAGAATTATGATTTCTTTCTCCAGGCTTATAACGTAGGACACTATCCTACAGAATTCTGGACTTCAGGACACATGAATGCACTGTAGGACTTGAGAACAGATTTCCCTCACCAGTACTGAGCAGAATGCAATATCCATTATAAACAAGAGAATAATTTTGTGCTGTTCTCAGAAGCACCAAAGTGTGTCACTAAAACTGTCCCCTACTCAGGTTGATTTATGAAAACACATATTATTGCACTATTTCATCTAAAAATAAAGATCACAAAGCCCTGAAGTCTTTATTTGGAGGCCTTAGGCAGCCATCCAAACTAGGCCACAAATGCAGAGCTATATTCTGCCTTCATACTGTTCCCTAAGAGTCACACAGTTTAGTAACCCCAACAAACTTTCATGGTACCAGAATCCTTCATGGTACCAGAACCATGTTGTATCTAAGCCACACAATGCAGTGAGTATACAATTCACACAATACAGTCAATACAATTCCCAAGATTGAAGGAAGCTTAAATAAGGACTTCATCATAGCAGAAACCAGAACAATGAGAGGCAGCTTGTACTTGGGTTGGTGAGTTAAGAGGCTGGAAAATTCCATTTTAAGAATCATGACAATCATGAGATTCCTAGGAAAGACAGCCCATCTTGTCAAGTAATCAGAAAAATTCTCTAGGCCAAGCTGGTCCAACCCGCAGCTTGTGGGCCGCATGTATCTCAGGACAGCTTTGAATGCAGCCCAACACAAATTTGTAAACTTTCTTAAAACATTATGAGGGTTTTTGTGTGATTTTTTAAAAAAGTTCATCAGCTATCATTAGTGTTAATGTATTTCATATGCGGCACAAGACAATTCTTCTTCCAATGTGGACCAGGAAAGCCAAAAGATTGGACACTTCTGCTCTAGGCCAGAACTGAGTCAGGTCCATGGCCTAACTCTTCATAGAGAAATGAGAAAGGAACGAGTGCAGAGGCTACTCAAAAATACCACTGCTGAATGGGAGACAACTTGAACTTTTTTTCTGGAATATGATGGAGTGCATGAGTGATGCACTGTAGGTACCTGCCAAGTGGTAGAGATGAAATGGCTTTTGCCAGAGACCTAAGAATGAAATAAATCTGGCAAGGACATACGCAGGATAAGAAATGCAATACAGCTCCCATATACCTGGAATTTATGCAGCTACTGGACATATGACATTCAATATAGGTTGATGGTGTCCTCATAAGGGCTCTCTCCCACAGTTACACTGGACAAGAAGTAATATTCCCACACATCTATGTTATTTTTCTCCTGTCAACATTCTGGTATCCAGTGAAAGAAGAGTGAAGCCCTCGCAAATGCTCTGCACTCAAAAGGCACTTCCACAGCAGGAGCTTGTCTGTGCATAATATGTTAGACATTTAGATAAAGAATGTGCCATATTTGTCACACCATAAAGCCTTGATCCAGTGTGAACTCTGATTTTGAAGGAGCATAGAGGTTTGACTAATCAATTTTCCAAATTTACTTCACTGAGA
Source organism: Homo sapiens (assembly GCF_000001405.40). Lineage (NCBI taxonomy): Eukaryota > Metazoa > Chordata > Mammalia > Primates > Hominidae > Homo > Homo sapiens. The sequence continues at coordinate 57,755,338 of NC_000019.10, read as the reverse complement.
AGGGCTTTCTCTAGTGTGAACTTGCAGGGCAGAGCTTCTAGTGAATGTCTTTCCATATTTGCTACACTGTTGAGGCCTTTCTCTAGCATGAACTCTCCTGTGTTTAATGAAACCAGAGTTTTCCCACAAAGGATTTTCTACTCGCTGCTCTCATAAGGCTTTGTCCAGTGTGAACTCTTACGAACATGGAGCGCAGAGCTGTACGGAAATGATTTCTCACATTTATTATGTGAGAAATTATTATGTGGCCTTTCTCCATTGTAAATTATCTGATGAATAGTAATGCAGCTCTTCTGGCTAAATAATTTTACAAATTCCTTACAGTCATATGGCCTTTCTCAACTGTGAACTCAGTAGTGTTCAGTGAGGTGGGACTTCTTGTTAGGTAATTTCCCAAATTCCCCATAACTATAGGGTCTTTCTCCAGTGTGACCCTTCTGGTATTTGGTGAGGCAAAACTTCTATGTACAGGATTTCATACATTCTCTACACTCAGAAAGCCTTTCCCCAGTGTGATCTTGCTATTGTTGAATGAGGCCAACCTTTTGGCTAGATGATTTTGCACATTCTCCATACTCATAAGTGCTTTCCAGTGTGATCTCACGAATGTTGAATGAGGGTGCTCTTTTTACCAACAGATCTGCCAAATTTTCAACATTCATGATGTCTTTCTCCCGTGTGAACTCGTTGATGTTTAATGAGGTTTCCCTTTTGACGAAAACACTTTCCACATTCTCCACACTCATGTGGCCTTTCTCCAGAGTGAATCTGCTGATGTCGAATGAGACTGCCCTTTTGATGAAAACATTTCCCACATTCTCCACACTCATGTGGCCTTTCTCCAGAGTGGATCTGCTGATGTTGAATGAGACTGCCCTTTTGATGAAAACATTTCCCACATTCTCTACACTCATATGGCCTTTCTCCAGTGTGAACTCTCTGGTGTTCAGTGAGGTGTGACTTGTACCTAAATGATTTCCTACATTCTTTACACTCATAGGGTCTTTCTCCAGTGTGAACTCTCTGGTGTTCCTTTAGGTGGGAGTTGCTCCTAAATAACTTCCCACATGCCGTACACTCAAAAGGTCTTTCTCCAGTGTGAACTCGCTGATGCTGAATGAGGTTGCACTTGTGATTAAACGATTTCCCACATTCTCCACACTGATAAGGTCTTTCTCCAGTGTGAACTCGCTGGTGGTGAACAAGGCTGCGCTTATGGCTAAAAGATTTCCCACATTCGTCACATTCATAAGGTCTTTCTCCAGTGTGAACTCGCTGATGGTCAACAAGACTGTGCTTATGACTAAAAGATTTATCACATTCTCCACACTCATAAGGTCTTTCTCCAGTGTGAACTCTCTGGTGTTCAGTGAGGTGGGCCTTATACCAAAATGATTCATCACATTGTCCACACTGATAAGGTCTTTTTCCAGTGCGAACTCCCTGATGATTATTAAAACTATTACTTTTGCTAGTGAATTTCCCAGAATCACTGCATACATAAGGTCCTTCTCTAGGGAGAAGTCTCTGGTGAAGGACAAGTGAGTGTTTGTTGCTAAACGGTATTGTGGACTCTCCACAGATGTAATGAGTTTTTCCACCCTGAAGGGGTATCCCATGCTTAGTTTCAAAGTTTGACTTCCCTGAAGTGTGAATGTCCTCTTGTTGGAGTAATCTCAAGCTGGACAAAAAGTCTTTCCCAACCTCATGAAAGATAAATGGCTCATGTGACATATGGAATTTACAGTTCTTTACAAAAGATGTTCCCTTGGCATTGCTTCTGTACGATTTCTCTCCAATGTGCTGCTTCTGGTCTTGATGATGGTTTGCATCGTCATCCAATTTTTTTTCATATGCCCCAAACCCATTCAATTTCTGATTGTGTTGTGTTCCCTGGTGTAAGATATCTCCCAGGAGAGGGCCACACATTCCCCAGAGGTGGACCTTCTTGGTACATACACCTGTCCAATGTGTCCTGAGTGGGGACTCCTGTTGTATAGAAAGGGTCTGCTTAGAAGGTGTCTCGTCTTTTGCTCCATACCAACAACCTAAAAGAAATAAAATGCTGGTAAAATGCAAGGTACTTCCGAAGGGAAGTATTACTAAGCCATACCTGATCAACAGCTGCTTTGTTGTACTTATATTTACTTGGGCCTAGACATATCCTTTTATATAGCACCCACATGCTTTATGAAGGTCCTTTAGATGTTTGCACAGGAAGGAATTGCCTCTGCTTCCTGTAGTGCATGTATTGTTGGCTCCTTCACATCATGTGGCCCCCTACATTCTGTAATCATTCTAACCCAGTAATATGAAGAAGACTTATCTTCAACCTAAAGGCAACATTCTGTTTCTGCAATTATTTCCATGGAGTAATACCTCTGTTAGATACACTTGTTTGTGTGTCACAGGAAAATACGAGTACAACAAAGATACACTTGTTTGTGTGTCACAAGAAAATACGAGTACAACAAAGCAGCTGTTGGTCAGGTATGGCTTAGCAATGTGTACACACTTCCTAATACAAAATTGATATGCCAGTATTGGAGTCCACTGCAGATGGAAATGTGAGAAAAATGGGTCCAGGTGGGATCCAGAGATGTGAAGATTAGTCCTGGGCTGGCATCAGAGGAGAAGTGACAGGGTATAGAACGGTGAAGTCTGAAACTCTCAAGAATGGGGAAGACAGAAACAGCATATGGCTCGTCATGTTGCCAGGTAAATACTTGTGAAATCAGAGAGCTTCTAGCATGACTTTCCTAAATCCCTAATGTTATGTCTTCCTCCAGGGTGTTACTCCTCAGAGGTGGCCTCCCTCTGGGCCCATCATGCTGAGCCTGGGTTTAGCTGCAACTTCTGGATCACTGAGAACTCTCAGTCCCACTGCAAAGATATACATGGAATTTACATGAGACATGGATGACATAAAGAATAAGAGAAAGACAAGAGAGAAGAATAGCCAACCAACAGTTCAGAAAAAATCAGCACATGATAGCCCATAGGAAAGAAAACTAAATACTACAAAGATAATTTTTGGCCAGGTGCAGTGGCTCACACCTATAATCCCAGCACTGTGGGAGGCCAAACTGGAAGGACTACTTGACCCTAGGAGTTCAAGACCAACCTGGGTAACATAATGAGACACCATCTCTACAAAACAAACAAATGAGGCCGGGCACGGTGGCTCACGCCTGTAATCCCAGCTCCGGGAGCCCGAGGCGGGTGGATCACAAGGTCAGGAGATCGAGACCATCCTGGCTAACACGGTGAAACCCCGTCTCTACTAAAAATACAAAAAAATTAGCCAGGTGTGGCAGCATGTGCCTGTGGTCCCAGCTACTCGGGAGGCTGAGGCAGGAGAATGGTGTGAACCTGGGAAGCGGAGGTTGCAGTGAGCCGAGATTGGGCCACTGCACTCCAGCCTGGTGGCAGAGCAAGACTCCGTCTCAAAAAAAAAAAAAAAAAAAAAACAAAACCAAAAATACAAATGAACAAAAATTAGTTGGGCAGGGTGGCATGCTCCTGTAGTCCCAGCTACTTAGGAGTCAGGTGGGAGGATTACTTGAGCCCAGAAGGCTGAGAATGAAGTGAACCATGATTGCATCAGTAGACTGCAGCCTGGATGACAGTGAAACCCTGTCTGAAAAAAAAAAAAACAAAAAAGCAAAAAATACTCAGGGCACACTGGCTCATGCTTGTAATCCCAGCACTTTGGGAGGATGAGGTGGGAGGATCACGTGAGGTTGGGAGTCAGAGACCAGCCTGGGCAATACAGCCAGACCTCATCTCTATTAAAAATAAAAATAAAAATTAGTGGGATGTGATGGCAGAAGCCTCTAGTCCGAGTTACTCTAGAGGCTGAGGAAGGAGGATTGCTTGAGCCTGGGAGATTGAGGCTACAGTGAGCTATGACTGCAGCACTGCACTCCAGCCTGGGTGACAGAGTTAAGACTTTGAAAACAAAACAGAACAAAACAAAACAAACAAGATAATTTATAAGGAGGGTCTTGCAAGAACAACCTATGGTGCATGTAAGTATTGAGAACATCAGTGATGGGAGGAATTCCTAGCACAGGCAGTCATGAATAAATGTCACCTAGAGCAAGGAAGTAGAACCTGTGCATACCAGTCTCTGATCTAGAAAAATTACTCAACAGCCAGAGGGCAAGCAAGGTGGGATGCATTATGGTGCCTGTAAAGCTCCTTCTCTGGGAGCTTGCAGCAAAGCAGGTGTTGGGGCTGCTCAAGGAGAGAGAGGGCAGTGCACACACCTCAGTCCTACATACCACATAGAACCTACCCAGGGAACTAACAGAGGAACCTGTGCCCAGGCTCCTGAAGTGAGGAAAACAGTCTTGCCATGGGGAAAAAAGATGGGGACAGACAGACAATAGCTGAGGTCATAGAGAAGAGTGTGAGTGCCTTACCTAGAGAAGATATAAGTGTCAGGTTCTCCAGCATCACGTCATGATAAAGGCATCTCTGAGCCTCACTAAGGAGACTCCATTCCTCCTGGGAAAAGTTCACAGCCACATCTTCAAAGGTCACAGTGCCCTGCCGTGATGATGACAGATGAAACCACAAACACTCCATATGCTCATCCACTTATCCACCCTTGCCCTTCCTCCTCCCAAGGTCCTAAACTACAAGGAGAAACTAGGCCCACTGGTGTCACTATCTTCTCATGGGCTCACTGGTCATGGTGTACAGCCATCAGCCACAAGAAGTGGGTGAAACAATAGATTTCTATGTTTTGGTGCTGATATAAAGCGGTCCATAACTTCCTGATAGCCAATGCCCCTGGTAGAGATGAAGTCATGTAAATCCCAATGCAGCATCCTCAGTCTATCAGACATACTCCTTCTCTAAATACACATCATTCCTTTTTTTTGCTTTTTTTTTTTTTGAGATAGGGTTTCACTCCTGTTGCCCAGGCTGGAGTGCAATGACATAATCTCAGCTCTCTGCAACCTCTGTCTACTGGGCTCGAGTAATTCTCTGGCCTTAGCCTCCCGAGTAGATGGGATACAGGTGCATGCCACCGTGCCGGCTAATTTTTTTTTTTTTTTGTATTTTTGGTAGAGAGAAGGTTTCACTATGTTGCCCAGGTTAGTCTCGAAATCCTGAGCTCAAGTGATTCACCCACCTCAGCCTCCCAATGTGCTGGGATTACAGGCATGAGCCACTGTGCTAGGCCAAAATACACATCATTCTTTAGACTGCACAGACACATGCCCATGGCCACCCCCACTAAACTGCCTCCCACATTGGCCTCTGCCTCCCCACAAGTTAAAGTATGTTTATACCCTCTTCTTCCTTCTACCAGTAAGGGTGAGATTTTCACCTTACAGTTATATTAATGACCAAACACATGACATCAAACACTAGACAGGTGCTATAAATATGTTTAAAAATCAAATACACTCAAAGTCTAGAAGAGGACATCCCTCATCATGAAGGACCACATAGGGGTTGCACTATGGATAAGAGTGCATAACCAGAAACTATGATATGCAAGCTTTTAAAATGAAGAGGGTGTGATGACCCCCGAATCCCTTAGGAGGATGCAACTGGCTTGTTTGAATAACACTGTGGGTAAGGATAAAATTGAAACTCACTACAAAGTATAATAACCAGGAATTCTGCCTGGTCTCCCTAATAAAAGGATTATTAGGCCATGCTGATTATTATCTAAAAGAGCCTAGTGGGAAGGGAATTGGTTCTCAGGTCATTTGAGGTCATACCAATATCACTAGATGTCAAGGTGACACATCATATTGGGCCTCCATTTTTGGCTTTATACCACAATATGGCTGACAGCATCCAATATGCTTCACATATTCAAACAGGATCCAATAATAACACAAAATGACCATGGTTCCCATTAGCAGTGGTAGTCCCTAATAATTCTATGAATGCCTCCTTGCATTACTCCACATCCATGCAAAACCACATGTAACTTCAGATATCCATGGTCTTATTCCACTTCTGTGCTACAATGGCTTACCCTTCAGCAACACGGACCAACTTCCATTCACCTAATACCATTGCCATTTAAAGAGCAGTCCTGGATGGGCATGGTGGTTCACACCTGTAATCCTAGCACTTTGGGAGGCTGAGGCAGGTGGATCATGAGGTCAGGAGTTCGAGACCAGCCTGGCCAATATGGTGAAATCACATCTCTACTAAAAATACAAAAAAAAATTAGTGGGGCGTGGTGGCACGCAACTGTATTCTCAGCTACCGGGAGGCTGAGGCAGGAGAATCACTTGAACCTGGGAGGTGGAGGTTGTAATGAGCCAAGATTGCGCCACTATACACCAGTACACCAGCCTGGGCGACAGAGTGAGACACCGTCTCAAAAAAAAAAAAAGTCCTGTTTTTAATCCATTTAAGGCCCAAGACCTACTGTCACAGATGACCATATTTCTCCCTGAGCATATTCAGCACGTGTAATGAAACCCCCCACACACTACCAAAGTCATCTCAAATCTTGATTGCACAGAGTGGTGAATAAGTACCACTCTGGCCTAAGTGTCATCTTCCCTCAATTTGACTACACTTCTGCATATATCTATTTCATGTCTATTCTCTCCTTGAAAGTCTATGTCCCCTGTCAAATTATGCTGACAGGTATACCCTACCATCATGGTCACTTACCTACCTCTCCAGTGTTTAGGAAGCCCAGTAACATTACCCAGGGACCCAAGCAACAGATGCAGTCCTCATCATTCAACCACTGCTTTCTGGTCCCCTAAAAGATTTACCACCAGAATCTGAAGTGTGTTCTCCTTAATGTGACCCATGGCTCACTCACCATAGCATACACATTAGCTACCATATATTAGATGTCTCCAGTGTCAATCCCTTTCCAGATACCCCAACCTGCATGTCCATAGCCATTTGATGCCTACACTTATTCGTCTCTGACTCTTCATATGGCCATAACAGTCATCCTGATATTTGCATAATATTCTAATTATGTTTATTACCAACATGCTCATCTCAGCTGATGCAGCTTCCATAGCTACAGCTACTAAGACCAAAAACCTCGGGATCCTGATTGCTCTCTTCATGCCCTTACTTTGTGTATTAGGAAACCTAGATGCTGTAACAAAATATCAACTTTGAATCCAGCCACATCTCCTTAGCCATGAATCTTAGTCTGTTAACCCTCACTTGGATTACGGCAAAAGCCTCAACTCTCATCTTATTTCCTCCTCTCTCAACCCCACAGTCTGTTCTCCACTGTACAGCCAGAGGAGACTACAGCCAGATGAAACTGTGGCAACATCACCTCCTCCCTCTGGTCAGTTTCACCTCTAAGCATTTCACATCCTGGTACTAACTCCTGGGTTAACCTTCCAAGTATGTTTATACTGGTTGACAGAAATGGGAATACCTCCATATATCCTGTGTCACAGACTTTGGATCCTGGGTTTAAGGTTCCTCCAGGGTTCCCATATCAAAAAACTTAAAAAAAAAAAAAAAAAGGTACCTAAGAATCCCAGGACATCCCAATCTAAAGAGCATGTGGATAGGAGTTAGGGCCAGTGAGGGAATAACACCCTCCGCTTCCCTGCGGAGGTTCTGCAAGTGCTTCTGCAGCCAGGAGTTCCTGAGAGGAGAGGCACAAGCTACAAGAATGTATCCCTGATGAGATTTGATAAGCTCAGGCCTCCCTGAACTCTTTCTTGGCCCTGTAACTAGGTAAACGCGAGTTGGTTGTCTGAACTGAGCGCCTCAGTACAAAATGTCATCTCTTAGCACCTATCTGATCTGTAGAGGTTGAACAAGAATTCAACCTCCCAGGGCCCAAAAGTCATCCCCTGTGTTCTTTTTCGACTGGACTTTGGGAAACCTTTAAAGCCTGGACATTGATCTTTTCCTTCCTTTGTTGGAAGCTGTCCATGGCTTCCAGCGTTCTCAGGGTGAATACACGGTCCTCAGCCTGCTCTTCCAGGAGGAGCTCTGCCTCACACTTTGCTCCCGACAGGTGCCTGTGGACCCTAGGTTACGATCCTCTCGGCTCAGTTCATCTCCAGGCCTTTGCCTGCACCGCTCCCTGTGCCTGTAGCTCTCCTGAGCGCATCCCGCGGGTGTCAAAAACGGGGGCCCATAGAGAGCGCCTCAGTGTCCCGACGCCGGGTTCAGGGTGTAAAACCTTGAGCAGGCGCCGCTTCCTCTCTGCTTTTGGACTTAGGTAAAGATGAGGTGACCTGAGGGCACGGAAGACGCCACAATTACCTGAGCCGGGGGCCTCAGCGCGGCCGCCGCCATCCGACTGGGTGGGGAAAGCGGGGTCGAAAGGAGGGGGCGAGCAGTGCAGGTACCCGGGCACGGTGGTCCCGATCCCGGCCTTGGTGCGGGTCACGCCTAGCGCCTTTAAGGAGCTGCAGAGCAGCCTCTGTGCAGTCGGGACAACGTCTCGTCTCCACCTTCTGGGTTCAGTCACTTCTACACGACCCAACACTCCGCGGTCTCTCACTGGAAAATACACCCAACACCAATCAAAATGGCCACTAGTAGAGGACGCCGGAAGTCCCACCTTTATACTGTTTCCGCGGAAACGCCTTTATTTTGAGCCCTCATTGGCTCTGACGCGCTGTCATTCGACGCAGAGATTTCTGGGTTATGTAGTTTCCTCAGGTTCCAAGACAGTTCCAAGGCGGTAAAGAAGGCCTTCTCAGAGGCGCTTGATTGCACAGAGTGGTGAATAAACACTACTCTGGCCTAAGTGTCATCTTCCCTCAATTTGACTATACTTCTGCATGTATCTATTTCATGTCTATTTTCTCCTTGAAAGTCTATATCCCCTGTCAAACTATGCTGTCAGGTATACCCTACCATCACGTTCACTTACTTGCAGGAAAGGCCCAGCTCCATCTCAGCGGCCTGTCCTTAAAGTGCATGTCCTTCTAGGGTAGAGGATAGTCTCACCTAGCCTTAGAACCCGTATTGAGATTTTTGGAGATTAGTGTCTGTAACTGATCACTCAAGTATTTGAAAAAATATTATTTTAGATTTTGGGGAACTCGAGCTCTCCGATGCTAAACTTATTATTTAGGATGCCCCCAAAGACTAAAAATCCAAATTATCATAACGTTTTGAACAGTCTTTCAGTCGCAAAATCCCGGTACTGGCAGCAGAGGCTGATAAACATTATTGTGTTATAAATTCACATGAATGCACTCTGAGGCATTAGAGTCAGTTTCTCAGTCTGTCAGGGACAAGAGAGAACTAATCCAGATAGGACAAGACAAGGAAGATAGAGGAGAAATGTTGTGTTCCCTAAAGCAGGAATACATGCTGAATCTCTGTCTGTGATTCCCACAGAAGACAACTCTCCTGCCTATAAAATCAATCATAGTGTCCAGTACATTGAGCAACACTTTTATCCACTTAGTATCCCTCGCTTGAGATTCCAACTTATATTCAATTAATTCTGGATTAATTTATCTAAGATTTATCAATCTTACAGGAAGACCAATGAAAGAAATGCTATTTTGGTAGTGATAAATGGCTGCAGTTTTCAAAGGTGGGGCACGTATGCAGAAGATGCTCTCCACCTGTTGATATTGGTTGTGTCTTAAATCCAGGAGTTCATGTTATTGCTGGGAAGTGGCTATTTTTTTTTTTTTGTATTAGATAAAACAGACTTTATTTATTTCTTTTCTTTTTTTTTTTTTGTGACTATTCTTTATTTCTGTTTCCATGGCAAGGAGTGTTTTGCCTAATAAATTAATGTTATGGATGGGATTACAGGCATGAGCCACCATACCTGGCTAATTTTGTATTTTTAGTAGAGACGGGGTTTCTCCATGTTGGTCAGGCTGGTCTCGAACTCTCAACCTCAGGTGATCCACCTGTCTCGGCCTCCCAAAGTGCTGGGATTAAAGGCATGAGCCACTGTACCCAGCCGCTCAGTTCTTAAAAAACCTATGTCTTCTATGTTCAGGGAGAAGAGGCATTTAGAGCAAGAGCTTACTCATTCTCCATTTCTGCTCAGAAATAAAACTTGCTTGCCTTTTTTTTTTTTTTTCCCAAATTGGGTGTTCTTTTTTTTGTGACCAATACAAAGTAGGGAAAGAACTCAGTTTATTGGTAGTACAACTTAAAAAAAAAAAAGCATGTTTAACATTCCAACTTTCATAGTCCTGTCAACTTTTACTTTATGTTGTAGTCCCAGGACTCTTCTCTCCAGACCATTTTACCCTTTCTTGTGCAGATGTCTTCAGGTTTCCACCCAGGGTTCAGGCCAGGAGACTTTGGCCTTTTTTCCAAGTGCTACCTTGATTAACCAGTCTAACCATCACCCTAGGCATTCCAGGTGGGGTTTCTCATTATATCTTTACCTTCTGGCTTTTAAAATTTATCCAAACTTCAGGAACTACAGCAACTTAGCTTAAGGCCCTTTAATGTTGGGGGATCAACAGGAACTTCCTTTGGTCCACCCAACCTTCAATAGTGTTATATTCAGAATTTTGTTTTAATCCGATCAGTTTTTATTTTATTCATCTAATTTCCATCTAATAGCCATCTAAAGATTTCCACCATGCTGGGATGAGTATCATGATTTCCCCCTTTTCTTTTTCCTCTTAGTTTCATTCCTATCCATGTTTTCTTTATTTGTCTTATTTCTTTATAACTATTTAAAAATTTCTACCTTCCTGGAAGGAGCTGTTTGACTCTCCCCTGTACCTTTCATCATTGTCTATCTTATTAATTAATCTAATGGTTTTATTAGCATCTGAAAGGCCCATAATAGGAAGCAAATTTGGTAAGACTGACTATAGCTCAATTTTGCAGCAGTAAGTTTACATAAGGTGCCCAAGAAAATGGGGTTCCCCAAACCAAGACATTTACCATGACCTGGGTAATAAACATATTCAGTAGGTAAATATTCCTATCATCATAATGCCAGTTCCACATGGCTTGCATGGGAAGCATATTAAGCTGGTTCATCTGGGGAGCCCCACTTGGCATTTATAGGGGGAGTCAGACAGTCCCGCTTTTCCGAGTAGACAGACTTCAGAGTAGCTTTTATACACCCACCCAGGCTGGCTGTTCCTTCAGGAATAAACTCTTGTGTGTGTGGATGATACATACCTATCTGCAATTGTTGAAGAGTGACCTGTAGGTACTACATCAACCCAAACATGTTCTTCCACTCTGCATTATTTAAAACCAAAGATGTTTCCCCTAAGTTAGTTATTCTCACTATCCATGTTAGTAAAGGTTCCTGAGGAAGCTGACGATACTGGTCTATAAAATGAAACAATTCCTCCACACTATTGATATAGAACCAGGCCTGTTCTGTCCATCTCACAGTATGCCAATCACTGAGATGATGAGTCTTGCAGCAGAGAAAGCATGTATTTACAAGGCTGCCAAGTGCAGAGGTGGGAGAACAGTTCTCAAATCTGCCTCTTTGATGATGGGATTTAGAGATATTTATGGGATAAAGAAGCCTGTCGGCCGGGCGCGGTGGCTCATGCCTGTAATCCCAGCACTTTGGGAGGCCAAGCCAGGCAGATCACAAGGTCAGGAGTTTGAGACTAGCCTGGCCAACATGGTGAAACCCCGTCCGTACTAAAAATACAAAAATTACCTGGGCATGGTGGCGGGGGTGGGGGCACCTGTAATCCTAGCTACTCAGGAGGCTGAGGCAGAAGAATTACTTGAACCCGGGAGGTGGAGGTTGCAGTGAGCCGAGATCGCGCCACTGCACTCCAGCCTGGGCAACACAGTGAGACTCCATCTCAAAAAAAAAAAAAAAAAATTGACCTGTTCTATCTCCAAAGTATGCCTGTATAAAGTTATTGATGCAAGAACATATTGTACCTTTTGTAATGGATTTTTCCAAATATATACACAAATACAAAGGACTATGTAATGAAGTCCCATGAATTCTTCCTCAATGATCCATTATTATTTATCATTGCATGGTGGTTTGTTTTTTTTTTTTTTTTTTTGAGACGGAATCTCGCTCTGTGACCCAGGCTGGAGGAAGTGGCGTGATCTTCGCTCACTGCAAGCTCAGCCTCCCGGGTTCATGCCATTCTCCTCAGCCTCCCGAGTAGCTGGGACTACAGGCGCCCGCCACCACACCCGGCTAAGTTTTTGTATTTTTAGTAGAGATGGGGTTTCACTGTGTTAGCCGAGATGGTTTCGATCTCCTGACCTCATGATCTGCCCGCCTCGGCCTCCCAAAGTGCTGGGATTACAGGCGTGAGCCACTGCGCCCGGCTTTTTTTTTTTTTTTTTTGAGACAGAGTCTTGCTGTGTCGCCCAGGCTGGAGTGCAGTGAGGCAATCTCAGCTTACTGCAACCTCCACCTCCTGGGTTCAAGCAATTCTCAGGGCTCAGCCTCCCAAGCAGCTGGGATTACAGTGCCATTACGCCCGGCTAATTTTTTTTTTTTTTTTTTCTTTGAGACGGAGTTTTGCTCTTGCTGCCCAGCGTGAAGTGCTATGGCACAATCCTGGCTCAACACAACCTCTGCCTCCCAGGTTCAAGCAATTCTCCTGCCTCAGCCTCCCGAGTAGATGGAATTATAGGCATGTGCCACCACGCCCGGCTAATTTGGTTGTGTGTGTTTTTTTTTTTTTTTTTTTTTTTTTAGTAGAGATAGGGTTTCTCCTGTCTCTACTAGAAAAAAAAAAGGGTCAGGCTGGTCTCCAACTCCCAACCTCAGGTGATCCATCCACCTCGGCTCTCCAAAGTGCAGGGATTACAGGCATGAGCCACCACATCTGACCGATTATCTATTCTTAAGTGTATTACTATGCTGTTTTACTTATAATCCTGATATCTCTCATTTTTGTTATTTTTGAGACGGAGTTTCTTGCTCTTGTTGTCAGGCTGGAGTGCAATAGCACCATGTCAGCTCACTGCAACCTCTGCCTCCTGGATTCAAGTGATTCTCCTGCCTCAGCCTCCCTAGTAGCTGGCTAACTTTGTATTTTTAGTAGAGACAGGGCTTCTCCATGTTGGTCAGGCTGGTCTCAAACTCCTGATCTCAGGTGATCCACCTGCCTCAGCCTCCCAATGTTCTGGGATTACAGGCATGAGCCACCATGCCTGGCCTCTAAATGTTATCTTGTATGACAGCATGATATATAGGCACATAAAAGCAAGATGCTTTAGAAATGTAAATAAAAGATTATAAATTACAAATGGCAATGTAATCAGGGATGTAAAGAATCTCAATACCTAAATGTTACCTTGCATGACAGCAAGTTATATAGGCATATTTCATCTTCACTATCAGTAATATTTTGCTTTCTTCTTTCTAGAAATATCTGTGATGATTCTTAATCAACATAGGACTCTACAGTAATGTCTAGAAGTTTAAAATTGTGTGTTCCAATTATATTATGACTACACACACTGGAAGGTATATTTCTATCTATTGTGGAGTAAAATTTTCTTGATTATACCCTGCTTATGCTCCCACTAAACCTTTGTAATCAGCAAATTTAAAAGCCCAAGTCTCTGAGTAGCATTTGTGCTTCTGTGTGGCCAGTATGACCCCACCTCCATTCTGTCTAACAGCCCCTTGGGGTTCTGAATATGCTGGTTGTGTGGATCACATCTCTCCCTCTTGGGTTTGTTGTCAGTGTGGTATATATTTATGTCGGCTCAGGCTGTCAATAGGTGCCAGTACCCAATGCCTCTTACACAGAGTCCTATAGGTATAACAGGGGCACCTCTAGGATGGACTGAGATTTTTTTTTTTTTTTTTGAGACAGGGTCACTCTTTTCCCCAGACTGGACTGTGGTGGCATGATCTTGGCTCACTGCAACCTCCGCCTCCCTGGTTCAAGCAACTCTCCTGTATCAGCCTCCCGCATAGCTCGGACTACAGGTGAGCGCAACCCATGGCTAATTTTTGTATTTTTAGTAAAGACAGGATTTCTCCATGTTGGCCAGGCTGGTCTCAAACTCTTGACCTCGTGATCCACCCACCTCGGCCTCCCAAAGCGTTGGGATTACAGGCGTGAGCCACCGTGCCCTGCCGGACTGAGGTCTTTAAATACTGCACACCTGTCACACAGGGTCCCTGGGATATGTGTTTTGTCTATAGGCTGTGCTGCAGTATAACCCTCAGGCACTTGTCACACACCAGGAGCATACACTCTTTGAAATTTTTGCTTCCAGACTGTACCACAGCATGCTGGGAGAATGTAATCCAACTGTGTGTTTCTGGCTGTGTCATAATCACACACTTATGTGGGACTACCCCTGAATCACCCATTTCAAGAATATCTAGTTTGCTTATGGCTTATACATGTGTAAACAACTTAAATCATATCAGAGATATGCACAAAAAATTAGAGTATAATAAATTCTAATACAAAAATTACACAATTTCAAGAAATAAATAAAATTTTGGCCAGGCGCGGTGGCTCACGCCTCTAATCCCAGCACTTTTGGAGGCCAAGACGGGTGGATCATGAGGTCAGGAGTTCAAGACCAGCCTGGCCAAGATGGTGAAACCCCGTCTCTACTAAAAATACAAAAATTAGCCGGGCGTGGTGGTGGGCGCCTGTAATCCCAGCTACTTGGGAGGCTGTGGCAGAGAACTGCTTAAACCTGAGAGGCGGAGGTTGCAGTGAGCCAAGATTGCACCATTGCACTCCAGCCTGGGTGACAGAGAGAGACTCCGTCTCAAAAAAAATAAAAAAATAAAATAAAATTTAAGGCCAGGCATTGTGGTTATGTATGTAATCCCAGCACTTTGGGAGGCCAAAGCAGGTGGATTGCTTGAGCCCAGGAGTCTGAGACCAGCCTGGGCAACATTGTGAAACCCAGTCTCTACAAAAAATAAAAAATAAAAGCTTAGCCAGGCATGGTGGTGCTTGCCTGTAGTCCCAGCTACTTGGGAGGCAGAGGTGGGAGGATCACCTAGCCCAGGGAGGTCCAGGCTGCAGTTAGCTGTAATTGTGTCACAGCACTCCAGCCTGGGTGACAGAGTAAGACCCTGTCCCACACCCCGCACAAAAAAGGAATTTTAAAAAGGAAAGTCATACCTGTAGATTAATAGAGATATATGAGACAGAACTACTAAAAGTCATGGGGATAAATTTGGGAATTTCTTTCTTTTTTTTTTTTAATTTTTGTATTTAGTAGAGACAGAGTTTCACCATGTTGGCCAGGCTGGTCTCAAAATCCCAACCTCAGATGATCCACCCGCCTCAGCCTCCCAAAGTGCTGGGACCACAGGCGTGAGCCACCACGCCCACATTTGGGAATTTCATTGCAATGAAGCTGCTTAAAGAACAAAGATATTTTTGAGACAATAGAAAAAATGGACGATGATAACATATTTTGTTATGCTTTAAACATTTCTGATGGAACCAGTTGTAGGTGTTATGAAAGAGCCCTTGGACTTTGGAAATACCCTGTGAAGAGATTATGCATTAAGCGATGTCAGGAAGCTGGGCGCTGTGGCTCATGCCTGTAATCTCAGCACTTTGGGAGGCCGAGGTGGGTGGATCACCAGAGGTCAGGAGTTCTAGACCAGCATGACCAACATGGTGAAACCTTGTCTCTACTAAAAATACAAAAATTCACTGGGCGTAGTGGCAGGTGCCTGTAATTCCAGCTACTAGAGAGGTGGAGGCAGGAGAATCACTTGACATGCTGGGATTACAGGCGTGAGCCACCACGCCTGGCCTAGATTCTTTACATATCTGATTACCTTACTATTTCCAATTTACAATCTTTTATTCATGTTTCTGAAGTGTCTTTCCTTTCACTAATGGGAGAGGAAGTATTAACTCTTTCACTCATCAAACACAAGTTAGTAAAATACCAGAGACTCAATTTGCAAATCATGCCCCCAAAAAGACAAAAATGCATAACCAAAAAATGTTATAAAGACACTAAATGGCCACTCAAATACTTTAAACAGTCTTCTTCATTTCCCACTGGTAAAGATCTTACAGTGGACTTTGTGAGGCTTAATATTTTCAGTCAGTAATGGAAGGAAGAATATTCAAAGAAGGTTTCAGAGGAAATATAGAGGAGAGGCATAAGGCAAGGAGAGGAGGTTGCACCATGTCTCCAGGTCCCTCAGAGTATGTCTCAACCTCAGAGCAGAACTGGTTCCTTCTGATTGTAACACTCTGTAGGGACCAGCCCCACAGGGTCGGTGGGTCTCTCCCTGTGTGCGGTGACGAGAGAGTGTAGAAATAAAGACACAAGACAAAGAGATAAGAGAAAAGGCAGCTGGGCCCGGGGGACCACTACCACCAATGCGCGGAGACTGGTAGTGGCCCTGAATGTCTAGCTGCACTGTTATTTATTGGATACAAAGCAAAAGAGGCAGGGCAAAGAGTGTGAGTCATCTCCAATGATAGGTAAGGTCATGTGGGTCATGTGTCCACTGGACGCGGGGCCCTTCTCTGCCTGGCAGCCAAGGCAGAGAGAGAGAGGGAGAGAGAGAGACAGCTTACACCATTATTTCTGCATATCAGAGACTTTTAGTACTTTCACTAATTTTGCTACTGTTATCTAGAAGGCAGAGCCAGGTGTACAGGATGGAACATGAAGGTGGACTAGGAGCGTGACCACTGAAGCACAGCATCACAGGGAGATGGTTAGGCCTCCGGATAACTGCGGGTGGGCCTGACTGATGTCAGGCCCTCCACAAGAGACGGAGGAGCAGAGTCTTCTCTAAACTCCCCCCGGGGAAAAGGGAGACTCCCTTTCCCGGTCCGCTAAGTAGCGGTTGTTTTTCCTTGACACTAAGGCTACCGCTAGACCAGACTTCCCAGATGCTGGCATCACCGCTAGACCAAGGAGCCCTCTGGTGGCCCTGTCTGGACATAACAGAAGGCTCGCACTCTTGTCTTCTGGTCACTTCTCACTGTGTCCCCTCAGCTCCTATCTCTGTATGGCCTGGTTTTTTCTAGGTTATGATTATAGAGCGAGTATTATTATAATACTGGAATAAAGAGTAATTGCTACAAACTAATGATTAATGATATTCATATATAATTACATCTATGATCTAGATCTAGTATAACTCTTGTTGTTTTATATATTTTATTATACTGGAATGGCTCATGCCCTCGGTCTCTTGCCTCAGCACCTGGGTAGCTTGCTGCCCACAACACTCACCTGGGAATAGTTGGTATTTACTAATTCACATTTACAAAACCGTGGCTGGAGTGTCAGCATTCCTGCCATGGGGAAAGTGGATATTTGAACCCTGAGAAAAGATTCTGGGTACAATAATCTCACCTTCTTGCTGGGAAGGAACTATCATTTCAGCAGTAAGTACAATGATAGTTTCGGCATGGGGACTGGAGATTACCTCTGGAAAACAGCTTGGACTGAGAAAATTAGTTAATATTGTGGATAAATGAAGTTACCACTGAGAATGACATAAGTAGCTAGAAAAGTTTCTGTGAAGTCTGAGAACACATAAATCTCAATGGATAGTGAGCAGAGGACATGGGGCTGTAAGTTCTGAGATAATTAAGTGGAGCCCATGGCTATCCTAGAGACTTGACTAACATGAAATTCTTATTTCTACAAAGTGTGTATTATTTCAATTTCTGAGAACTCAGGAAAAACCAACTGAGAGCCAAGGAAATAGTAAGGTAAGACTAGAAAGATGTCATAGAACAGAAAGAAAGCGATGGTGGCATCATATTGATTCAATGTCTTGGAATCTGCATCTTGTCACCTGGGGACACATTCTTTGATACAAAATGGAGGACCAGCTCATAGCTCCTGTGGTATTGAAAAACAAGTACTCCGGCCAGGCGTGGTGGCTCACGCCTGTAATACCAGCACTTTGGGAGCCCGAGGCGGGCGGATCACGGGGTCAGGCCATCGAGACCATCCTAGTCAACATGGTGAAACCCAGTATCCACTAAAATACAAAAAAATTAGCCAGGCGTGGTGGCGCACTCCTGTAGTCCCAGCTACTTGGGAGGCTGAGGCAGGGGAAATCACTTGAACCTGGGCGGAGGAGGGTGCAGTGAGCCGAGATCGCACCACTGCACTCCAGCCTGGTGACAGAGCAAGACTCCATCTCAAAAAAAAAGAAAAAAGAAAAAAAAAGTATTCCTTACAGTAAAGGAATGATATCACTGAAGAATATATTAGGTTCAAATATGTCTTTGTTTTACTTTTTCTTATTTCTTATTGAAATGGAAATAGAAAAAAAATTATTTTAGTATCAGGGTAATACCAACCTTGTATGATGAATTTAGAAGTATTTTCTCCTCCTCTTATTTTTGGGAATAGTTCGAGTAGGATTGGGGTTAGTTCTTTAAATGTTTGGTAAAATTCAGTAGTGAAGCCATTGGGTCCCAGGCTTTTCTTTGCTGGGAAAATTTTTATTACAGCCTCAATCTCATTGCTTGCTATTTGTCAGTTCAGGTTTTGGATTTCCTCATAATTCATCTTGGTAAGTTATATGTGTCTAGGAATTTGTCCATTTTTTCTATAATTTCCAATTTTTGGCATACAGTTGATCATAGTAGCCTCTAATGATCCTTTGAATTTCTGCAGTATTGGCTGTAAAGTCTTCTTTCTCACTTCTATTTTATTTGGTTTATCTTTCTTAGTCTGGCTAAAGGATTTTTTATTTTGTTTACTTTTCAAAAAACCAATTTCTCGGCCGGGCGTGGTGGCTCACGCCTGTAATCCCAGCACTTTGGGAGGCCGAGGTGGACAGATCACGAGGTCAGGAGTTCGAGACCAGCCTGACCAACATGGCAAAGCCCCGTCTGTATTAAAAATACAAAAATTAGCCGGGCATGGTGGTGGGTGCCTGTAATCCCAGCTACTTGGGAGGCTGAGGCAGGAGAATTGCTTGAACCCAGGAGGCAGAGGTTGCAGTGAACAGAGATCCTGCCATTGCACTCCAGCCTGGGTGATAAGAGCAAGACCCCATTTCAAAAAAAACAAACAAAAAACAAACAAACAAAAAAAATCATTTTGTTGAACACATTTGTATTGTTTTCTTTGTTTCAGTTTCATTTATTTCTGCTCTAATCTTTATTATTTTATTTTCCTTTTTTTTTTTTTTTTTTTGAGACAGAGTCTTGTTCTGTTGCCCAGGCTAGAGTGCAGTGGCGTGATCTTGGCTCACTGCAACCTCCACCTCCCGGGTTCAAGCAATTCTCCTGTCTCAGCCTCCTGAGTAGCTGGGACTACAGGTGCCTGCCACTACGTCTGGCTAATTTTTATATTTTTAGTAGAGATGGAATTTCACCTTATTGGTCAGGCTGGTCTCGAACTCCTGACCTCCGGTGATCCACCTGCCTCAGCCTCCCAAAGTGTTGGGACTGCAGGCGTGAGCTACTGCGCCCAGCTATTTATTTTCTTCTACTCACTTTGGGTTTGGTTTGCTCTAGCATCTCTAATTCTTTAAGATGCATTATTAGGTTGTTTATTTAAAGTTTTTTTTTTTACTTTTGTAATGTAGGCACTTATAGCTATAAACATTCTTCTTAGTACTTATTTTTCTGTATCCCACAGATTTTGGCATGCTGTGTTTCTATTATCATTTGTTTCAAAAAACTTTTCTTTTCTTTTTTTTTTTTTTGAGACAGAGTCTTGCTCCATCATCCAGGCTGGAGTGCAGCGGCGCAGTCTCGGCTCACTGCCACCTCCACCTTCTTGGGTTCAAGCAATTCCTCAGCCTCATGAGTAGCTAGGACTACAGGCGCCCGCCACCATGCCCGACTAATTTTTGTATTTTTAGTAGAGACATGGTTTCACCTTGTTGATCAGGCTGGTCTCGAACTCCTGACCTCAGGTGATCCACCTGCCTTGGCCTCCCAAAGTGCTGGGATTACAGGCATGAGCCAATGCGCCTGGCCTCAAAAAACTTTTCAATTTCTTTCTTTTTTTTTTTTCTCTTTGAGATGGAGTCTCACTCTGTCTCCCAAGCTGGAGTGCAATGGCGCAATCTCCACTCACTGCAACCTCCACCTCCTGGGTTTAAGCAATTCTCCTGCCTCAGCCTCCTGAGTAGCTGGGATTACAGGTGTGTGCCACCATGCCCGGCTAATTTTTGTATTTTTAGTAGAGACAGGGTTTCATCATGTCGGTCAGGCTGGTCTTGAACTCCTGACCTCGTGATCCGCCTGGCTCCACCTCCCAAAGTGCTGGGATTACAGTCGTGAGCCATCATGCCCAGCCCAACTTCTCAATTTCTTAATTGACCCACTGGTCATTCAGAAGACGACTGTTTAATTTCCATGTGTTTGTAGCATTTTGAAAGTCCACTTGTTACTGATTTCTACTTTTATTGCCTTGTGGTCAGAGAAGGTACTTGATATTATTTCAATTTAAAAAAGTTTCAAGACATATTTTATGGCCTAACATATAGTATTTCTTTGAGAATGATCCATGTGCTGAGAAGAATAGGTATTCTGAAGCTGTTGGATGAAATGTTCTATAAATATCTATTAGGTCCATTTGTTCTATAGTGCAGATTAAGTCCATTTCTGTCTGGAAGGCCTGTTCAATGCTGAAAGTGGGGTGTTGTCATCTTCAGCTATCACTGTGTCAGACTCTATCTGTCTCTTTAGCTCTAATAATATTTACTTTTATATCTGGGTGCTCCAGTGTTGAGTGTATATATATTTACAAAGATTATGTCCTCTTGCTGAATTGATCCCTTTAGCATTATATATAATGACTTTGTCTCTTTTCACAGTTTTTCTCTTGAAATCTATTTTTCTGATATACATGTAGTTATTCCTGCTATTTCGTCGTTTCCAGTGGCATGAAATATCTTTTTCCATCCTTTTATTTTAATCTATGTGTGTCTTTATAGGTGAAGGGTGTTTCTTGTATGCAATAGAGCATTGGGTCTTTATTTTTATTCATTCAGCAACTCTGTGTGTTTTGATTGGAGACTTTAGTCCATTTATATTCAATGTTTTATTAATAAGTAAGGATTTACTGCTGCCATGTTGTTTGGTGGTCTTCTCTTCCTTCTTTCCTTCCTTCCTGTCTTCCTTATTGTGAAGGTGATTTTCTCTGGTTGTATATTTTAATTTCTTTTTAAAAAATTTTTTGGTATCTGTTGTAGGTTTTTGAATTTAGTTTACCATGAAGCTTCCATGGTAAACTATATCTTATAACCCATTATTTTAAACTGATGACAACACTGATCCCATAAACAAATAACAAACAAGAGAAAAACTAATAAAAACATTACACTTTAACTATGTCACCCAGCTTTTAAATTTTTTGTTTCTATGTATATCTTATTGTACTGTCTATGTCTTGAAAACTTGTTGGAATTGTTTTTGATAGGTTCATATTTTAGTCTTTCTACTCAAGATATGAGTTTACACATCACAGTTACATTGCTACTATATTGTTTTTTTTTTCTGTGTAGTTACTATTACCAGTGAGTTTCGTGCCTTCAGATGATTTCTTGTTGCTCATTAACATCCTTTTAGATTGCAGAACTCCCTTTAACATTTCTTGTAAGACAAGTCTGGTGTTGACAAAAATCTTTCAGCTTTTGTTCATCCAGAAGAGTTTTTATTTCTCTTTCATGTTTGAAGGATACTTTCAGCAAATACACTATTCTAGGATAAAAGTTTTTTCCTTCAGCACTTTAAATCCATCATGCCACTCTCTCCTGGCCTATAAGGTTTATACTGGGAAGTCTTCTACCAGGCATATTGGAGCTCCTTTGTGTGTTGTTTCTGTTCTTTTGCTGCTTTTAGGATCCTTTCTTTACCCTTGACCTTTGGTAATTTGATTACTAAATGTCTTGAGGTAGTCTTCTTTGGGTTAAATCTGCTTGGTATTCTACGGCCTTCTTGTACTTGAATATTGATATCTTTCTCTTGGAAAGATAATCCTTCCTAATATCTTTGGGAAATTCTCGATATTATCCCTTTGAATAGACTTTTTTAAAATTATTATTATACTTTAAGTTTTAGGGTACATGGGCACAACGTGCAGGTTTGTTACATATGTATACATGTGCCATGTTGGTGTGCTGCACCCAGTAACTCATCATTTAGCATTAGTTATATCACCTAATGCTATCCCTCCCCCATCCCCCCACCCCACAACAAGCCCCAGTGTGTGATGTTCCCCTTCCTGTGTCCATGTGTTCTCATTGTTCAATTCCCACCTATGAGTGAGAACATGCAGTGTTTGGTTTTTTGTCCTTGTGATAGTTTGCTGAGAATGATGGTTTCCAGCTTCATCCATGTCCCTACAAAGGACATGAACTCATCATTTTTTATGGCTGCATAGTATTCCATGGTGTATATGTGCCACATTTTCTTAATCCAGTCTATCATTGTTGGACATTTGGGTTGGTTCCAAGTTTTTGCTATTGTGAATAGTGCCACAATAAACATACACGTGCATGTGTCTTTATAGCAGCATGATTTATAATCCTTTGGGTATATACCCAGTAATGGGATGGCTGGGTCAAATGGTATTTCTAGTTCTAGATCCCTGAGGAATCGCCACACCAACTTCCACAATGGTTGAACTAGTTTACAGTCCCACCAACAATGTAAAAGTGTTCCTATTTCTCCACATCCTCTCCAGCACCTGTTGTTTCCTGATTTTTTAATGATCGCCATTCTAACTGGTGTCAGATGGTATCTCATTGTGGTTTTGTTTTGCATTTCTCTGATGGCCAGTGATGATGAGCATTTTTTCATGTGTTTTTCGACTGCATAAATATCTTCTTTTGAGAAGTGTCTGCTCATATCCTTTGCCCACTTTTTGATGGGGTTGTTTTTTTTCTTATAAATTTGTTTGAGTTCATTGTAGATTCTGGATATTAGCCCTTTGTCAGATAAGTAGGTTGTAAAAATTTTCTCCCATTCTGTAGGTTGCCTGTTCACTCTGATGGTGGTTTCTTTTGCTGTGCAGAAGTGCTTTAGCTTAATTAGATCCCATTTGTCAATTTTGGCTTTTGTTGCCATTGCTTTTGGTGTTTTAGACATGAAGTCCTTGCCCATGCCTATGTCCTGAATGGTATTACCTAGGTTTTCTTCTAGGGTTTTTATGGTTTTAGGTCTAACATTTAAGTCTTTAATCCATCTTGAATTAATTTTTGTATAAGATGTAAGGAAGGGATCCAGTTTCAGCTTTCTACATATGGCTAGCCAGTTTTCCCAGCACCATTTATTAAATAGGGAATCCTTTCCCCATTGTTTGTTTTTTCAGGTTTGTCAAAGATCAGATAGTTGTAGATATGCGGCATTATTTCTGAGGGCTCTGTTCTGTTCCATTGGTCTATATCTCTGTTTTGGTACCACTACCATGCTGTTTTGGTTACTGCAGCCTTGTAGTATAGTTTGAAGTCAGGTAGCATGATGCCTCCAGCTTTGTTCTTTTGGCTTAGGATTGACTTGGCAATGCGGGCTCTTTTTTGGTTCCATATGAACTTTAAGGTAGTTTTTTCCAATTCTGTGAAGAAAGTCATTGGTAGCTTGATGGGGATGGCATTGAATCTATAAATTACCTTGGGCAGTATGGCCATTTTCACGATATTGATTCTTCCTACCCATGAGCATGGAATGTTCTTCCATTTGTTTGTATCCTCTTTTATTTCATTGAGCAGTGGTTTGTAGCTCTCCTTGAAGAGGTCCTTCACATCCCTTGTAAGTTGGATTCCTAGGTATTTTATTCTCTTTGAAGCAATTGTGAATGGGAGTTCACTCATGATTTGGCTTTCTGTTTGTCTGTTATTGGTGCATAAGAATGCTTGTGATTTTTGCACATTGATTTTGTATCCTGAGACTTTGTTGAAGTTGCTTATCAGCTTAAGGAGATTTTGGGCTGAGACGATGGGGTTTTCTAGATATGCAATCATGTCATCTGCAAACAGGGACAATTTGACTTCCTCTTTTCCTGATTGAATGCCCTTTATTTCCTTCTCCTGCCTGATTGCCCTGGCCAGAACTTCCAACACTATGTTGAATAGGAGTGGTGAGAGAGGGCATCCCTGTCTTGTGCCAGTTTTCAAAGGGAGTGCTTCCAGTTTTTGTCCATTCAGTATGATATTGGCTGTGGGTTTGTCATAGATAGCTCTTATTATTTTGAGATACGTTACCATCAATATCTAATTTATTGAGAGTTTTTAGCATGAAGGGTTGTTGAATTCTGTCAAAGGCCTTTTCTGCATCCATTGAGATAATCCTGTGGTTTTTGTCTTTGGTTCTGTTTATATGCTGGATTACGTTTATTGATTTTCGTATGTTGAACCACCCTTGCACCCCTGGGATGAAGCCCACTTGATCATGGTGGATAAGCTTTTTGATGTGTTGCTGGATTCGGTTTGCCAGTATTTTATTGAGGATTTTTGCATCAATGTTAATCAAGGATATTGGTCTAAAATTCTCTTTTTTTGTTGCATCTCTGCCAGGCTTTGGTATCAGGATGATGCTGGCCTCATAAAATGAGTTAGGGAGGATTCCCTCTTTTTCTATTGATTGGAATAGTTTCAGAAGGAATGGCACCAGCTCCTCCTTGTACCTCTGGTAGAATTCGGCTGTGAATCCATCTGGTCCTGGACTTTTTTTGGTTGGTAAGCTATTAATTATTGCCTCAATTTCAGAGCCTGGTCTATTCAGAGATTCAACTTCTTCCTGGTTTAGTCTTGGGAGAGTGTATGTGTCGAGGAATTTGTCCATTTCTTCTAGATTTTCTAGTTTATTTGCGTAGAGGTGTTTATAGTATTCTCTGATGGTAGTTTGTATTTCTGTGGGATGGGTGCTGTTATCCCCTTTGTCTTTTTTTATTGCATCTATTTGATTCTTCTCTCTTTTCTTCTTTATTAGTCGTGCTAGTGGTCTATCAATTTTGTTGATCTTTTCAAAAAACCAGCTCCTGGATTCATTGATTTTTTGAAGGGTTTTTTGTGTCTCTATTTCCTTCAGTTCTGCTCTGATCTTAGTTATTTCTTGCCTTCTGCTAGCTTTTGAATGTGTTTGCTCTTGCTTCTCTAGTTCTTTTAATTGGATGTTAGGGTGTCAATTTTAGATCTTTCCTGCTTTCTCTGGTGGGCATTTAGTGCTATAAATTTCCCTCTACACACTGCTTTGGACGTGTCCCAGGATTGTGGTATGTTGTGTCTTTGTTATCGTTGGTTTCAAAGAACATCTTTATTTCTGCCTTCATTTCGTTATGTACCTAGTAGTCATTCAGGAGCAGGTTGTTCAGTTTCCATGTAGTTAAGTGGTTTTGAATGAGTTTCTTAATCCTGAGTTCTAGTTTGATTGCACTGTGGTCTGAGAGACAGTTTGTTATAATTTCTGTTCTTTTACATTTGCGGAGGAGTGCTTTACTTCCAACTATGTGGTCAATTTTGGAATAGGTGTAGTGTGGTGCTGAAAAAAAATGTATATTCTGTTGATTTGGGGTGGAGAGTTCTGTAGATGTCTATTAGGTCCGCTTGGTGCAGAGCTGAGTTCAATTCCTCGATATCCTTGTTAACTTTCTGTCTTGTTGATCCGTCTAATGTTGACAGTGGGGTGTTAAAGTCTCCCATTATTATTGTGTGGGAGTTTAAGTCTCTTTGTAGGTCACTAAGGACTCGCTTTATGAATCTGGGTGCTCCCGTATTGGGTGCATATATATTTAGGATAGTTAGTTCTTCTTGTTGAATTGATCCCTTTACCATTATGTAATGGCCTTCTTTGTCTCTTTTGATCTTTGTTGGTTTAAAGTCTGTTTTATCCGAGAGTAGTATTGCAACCCCTGCCTTTTTTTGTTTTCCATTTGCTTGGTAGATCTTCCTCCATCCCTTTATTTTGAGCCTATGTGTGTCTCTGCATGTGAGATGGGTTTCCTGAATACAGCACACAGATGGGTCTTGACTGTTTATCCAATTTGCCAGTCTGTGCCTTTTAATTGGAGCATTGAGCCCATTTACATTTAAGGTTAGTATTGTTATGTGTGAATTTGATCCTGTCATTATGATGTTAGCTGGTTATTTTGCTCATTAGTTGATGCAGTTTCTTCCTAGCCTTGATGGTCTTTACAATTTGGCATGTTTTTGCAGTGGCTGGTACCAGTTGTTCCTTTCCATGTTTAGTGCTTCCTTCAGGAGCTCTTTTAGGGCAGGCCTGGTGGTGACAAAATCTCTCAGCATTTGCTTGTCTGTAAAGTATTTTATTTCTCCTTCACTTATGAAGCTTAGTTTGGCTGGATATGAAATTCCGGGTTGAAAATTCTTTTCTTTAAGACTGTTGCCTTCTTTAGAATATTTATTTAGGGTATTGTGACAAAGTCAAAAGGTGATGCAGGACAAAAATCATTATATGCAGGACATGTCCTGTATGTATAGGAATCTTGGAAATTTTATTAGTGATGTCTTTCATGCTACTAACACATTTGAAAAACACCTACTGAGAGCTCGTATGTGTTCCTTGGATGTGTATTTTAACAGTGAATTATCAAGACAGCACAACTTCACTGTTGATTTTTACCATTCTGATATCTTCTTTACAATTGCTCAGCATTTTCAGGAAAAAAGAGTCACATTTTGTTGACAAAGTGTGGTCAAGATCACAACACAACCATATGCTTAACTTCATTCTTTCACTTATACTTTAGTATTCAGGCTCAAACTTTACTGAGATCTTAACTTTGTCCATCTATCACAGATATTTCCTTAGAGCAATTTCTTTCATTATCTTCAAATAACTACGGAATCATTATTAATAGCTGTCAGGATTTTTCCCCCGGGGATAATCTCACCTCCTAACACAGACACCATACTTACAATGACAATGACAGGTTAAATGGTAATTGCACTGTGTTTTGCTGTGATGGAGACATCACTGATTACCCAGGCAGGAAGAGTTTTCTGAAGAAATCTGTCCACTGGTTTCAGGGAGACTCCACATCATCCCTCTTCCTTCTTCCACTCCAAGGCCTTGTTTGGAATATTTTCTCTTCCGTCTCTGACCAAACTGAAGCTCACAAAAGTTACTGTAAAGCTTGAGTGCACACATATTTAAAAAGCAACAAGGTAATAGTTATTAGCTTCTAGCTGTGAGTGTACGCAAAGAGACATTGTGGTGTGGTGTATCTATTTAGTTTTGCAGCTTTGGGGAACATCTGAAATGTCTCAACATTTCTGCGATCGGTGCATACTACACTCCAGGGAATCTAGGTCCAGGCCTTTTAAGAGGACAGAAGTCAGCCGGGCACCATGGCTCACTCCTGTAATCCCAGCACTTTGGGAGGCCGAAGCAGGCAAATCACAAAGTCAGGAGTTCGAGACCAGCCTGGCCAACATGGTGAAATCCCGTACTCTGCTAAAAGTACTAAAATTAGCCTGGCGTGGTGGCGGGCCCCTGTAGTCCCAATTACTTGGGAGGCTGAGGCAGGAGAATCGCTTGAACCCGGGAGGCGGAGGTTGCAGTCAGCCGAGATCGCGCCACTGCACTGCAGCCTGGGAGACAGAGCGAGACTCTGTCTCAAAAAAAAAAAAAAAAAAAAAAAAGAGGACGGAAGTCCTGTCAGCCCTTTGAAACTCGGGTTACTTTTCCCAAACAACTTGGCCCTCCTACTTCGAGTTTTCCCAAGAGCCCAGGCCGAGAATCCCCTGCCTTGAAGGATAGCTCAGTGGGAACCACACTCTACCCACAAACCTATACGTTGCATACCCAATGAGGGCCCAGGAGAGGGGTGTTTCAGTGCCTGCGGGGGGTGCGTGGGCGGGACTTCCGGCTCCTCCTTGTAGCGGACATTTTGTTTCTGTCAGGCTGTCCCTGGCCGGGGTTCTGTAACGCTTGTGTGGGCCGCAGGTGGAGGTGTTGGGAAAGCGCGGAGGAGATGTTGTCCCCAGTGTCCCGAGACGCGTCTGATGCTCTGCAGGGACGGAAGTGCCTGCGTCCCCGATCGAGACGCCTGCCGCTCCCGGCAGCTGTCCGCGCCCACGGTCCTATGGCGGAGCTAACGGACTCCGCGCGGGTGGGTGCTGCGTCCTCCGGGCCCTCAGTCACCCTTTCTCCGACTCCGAATCGTAAAGTGCCTGCAGCCCCTGTGTCCCAGGACAGCGACGCACTCTTGGGGCGGGGTCCTATCTCGGTGTGGGTGGGTGTGGGAGAGTTACGGGCGGAGGGGACGGCGCAGGTAAAGGCTCGGGGGTGCTGCTGACCCCCAAACATTTGGGAGACAGGGTTCTCATCAACACAGAGCAGAGTTTGAGGAACTGTGACTGGAATGGCAGGCTGAGAAGTTGTCGCTTCATTCTGAGGGCGTTGAGATTAACTGAGGGTTTTGAATAGAAGGACGTGATCTTAGCTGGGATTTTAAGTGTCTCGAAATTTGCTCAGGGGAGAACATTAGTTTGGGGTGGGGACTGCGAGGATGGATACGAGGAGACCGGTAAGGAGGCTACTGCAGTGGATTCCAGGAATGCTTTGGTGGTGGATGTACCAAGAGTAATGGCAGGTGAGTGGGTAGAAGTGATCATATTCTGGGTAGGTTTTAAATTTGAAACCAACAGGATTTTCTGCTCCATCATATGCAGCTATGACTGAAAGTAAGGCATGAAAGAGCAAGGTGTTTTTGTTGTTTTTCCATGAACGTTTGGATTTTGGAATGGTGACTTTGAGATGTCTCAGAGTGGAGGCTTCCTCACTTAGGCAACTAGAGAGGAAGGTCTGAAGTTGTGGGGAAGGGGCTGGGCTTAGAATATCTTTGGGGTGAAGGGAGCGGTCTGGAGTAGGTCAAGGCCAGGAGGTCAGATTTAAGTGGGGCAGTCTTAAGTATGTTATTTCATATCTCTGGGGTAAGAGATGAGAAGGCTGGGACTGCAGGGCAGGGAAGAGGGAGTGGGCATTCTTGAGACTCCCCCCAGAAGAGAAGGGTCCTGCCATTTGAAAGGGTTCTTTTCAGTGTTTGCAGGAGGAGAGAGCTGTAGGGTATGAGGAGTTTGGCCTGGGATGGCAACGATGGGTGGTGTGCTATTGCTACTATCTGATTATCTCACCCTCATTTTGTGTGTTTTCTTTTAGTTTTAGTTTATTTATTTTTTTTATTTTTTTTGAGACGAAGTCTCACTCTGTCGCCCAGGGTGGGATGCAGTGGCTTATTGCAACCTCTACCTCCCGGGTTCAAGAGATTCTCCCGCCTCAGCCTCCCAAGTAGTTGAGATTACAGGTGCCCACAACCACCCCTGGCTAATTTTAGTATTTATAGTAGAGACGGGGGTGGGGAGGTGGGAGGGGTGGGGTGGGGTGGGGAGGTGGGAGGGGTGGGGTGGGGGCGGGGGAGTGGGGGGGACGTTCACCGTGTTGGCCCAGGTGGTCTTGAACTCCCGACCTCAACTGATCCACCGGCCCCAGCCTTCCAAAGTGTTTGGATTACAGTTGTGAGCCACTGCACTTGGCTTTGGTTTTATTTTATTTATTTATTTTTTTTTTGGAGACGAGTCTCGCTCTGTCACCCAGGCTGGAGTGCAATGGTGCGATCTTGGCTCACTGCAGCTTCTGCCTCCCAGATTCAAGTGATTCTCCTGCCTCAGTTTTCCCAGTAGCTGGGATTACAGGCATGCATCACCATGCCCAGCTAATTTTTGTATTTTATTAGATAGAGTTTCACCATGTTGGCCAGGCTGGTCTCAAACTCGTGACCTCAGTTGATCCACTCCCTTCGGCCTCCCAAAGTGCTGGGATTACAAGAGTGAGCCACCATGCCTTGGCCAGGTTTTGTTTTGTTTTGTTTTTTTGAGATGGAGTCTTGCTCTTGTCACCCAGGCTGGAGTGCAGTGGCGCGATCTCGGCTCACTGCAACCTGTCTCCTGGGTTCAAGCAGTTCTCCTACCTCAGCCTCCCGAGTAGCTGGGATTACAGGTGCCCACCACCACACCCCGCTAATTTTTCCATTTTTAGTAGAGACGGGGTTTCACCACGTTTCCTAGGCTGGAGTGCAGTGGCACAATCTCGGCTCACCGCAACCTCTGCCTTCTGGGTTCAAGCAATTCTCTTGTCTGCCTCCTGAGTAGCTGGAATTACAGGCACCCGCCACCACGCCCAGCTAATTTGTTTGTATTTTTGGTAGAGACGGGGTTTCACGATGTTGGCCAGGCTGGTCTCGAACTCCTGCCCTCAGGAGATCCACCCGCCTCGGCCTCCCAAAGTGCTGGGATTACAGGTGTGAGTCATCATGCTTGGCTGAGACCCCATTTCAAAAAAAAAAAAAAGTTCACTACTTCTCCCAGTCTTGCCTAGTGTAGTAGAAGGATCTCACGAATCCATCTGGCCAAAGATTTAAGGTGCTTCTCTAATCTTTGTGTTTGTCCAGAATGCTGTCTCTGTTTTTGGTAACTCTCTGGAACTTAGGATGTACTACATTCTGTCATTATCCTAAGGCCAGAAGGTAGGAACCAGACTCTTTTGATGTAGCTGGAATGTGTTGAGGGTGTTGAATGTGTTCCAGTTTCTTCCGTTTTCATGATGCAGCTGAGCATGGGTATTTATCTCCTGCTGCCTGCATTAAGTTAGTTAGAGATCTGTGTCAAATGCCTAAAGTCGGCCAGGCGCAGTGGCTCACACCTGTAATCCCAGCACTTTGGGAGGCCGAGGCGGGTGGATCACGAGGTCAGGAGATCAAGACCATCCTGGCTAACATGGTGAAACCTTGTCTCTACTGAAAATACAAAAAATTAGCCGGGCATGGTGGTGGGCGCCTGTAGTCCCGGCTACTCGGGAGGCTGAGGCAGGAGAATGGTGTGAACCTGGGAGATGGAGCTTGCAGTGAGCCAAGATCGTGCCACTGCACTCCAGCCTGGGCAACAGTGCAAGAATCTGTCTAAAAAAAAAAAAAAAAATTGTTATGTGTCTTCTGACTGCCTCACTGACCAGCTGATCCCCATCCTTCTCCCTCTCTTTAAGCGTTCCTATTCCCTGACACACAGCAATATTGAAATCAGGTCAGTTAATAACCCTACAGTGGCCTCTAAGAGTTCAAGTTAAAGGAGTAGTTACACATCTCTCACTTTAAATCAGGGGTGTCCAATCTTTTGGCTTCCCTGGGCCTCCAGCACTAGGGGTTGCATTTCAACATGAGATTTGTAGGGGATACACATCCAATCCATATCAAACAGTGGTACAATGTGCAACAAAGAAATGGAAGAGGGTTGAGGATACCTGAGATCTGCATGTGGTTTGAGGTGCCTGTGATTGAAAAAAGGAACAGGGCCAGATTGGGAGGCTTTCAGAGCAACAATAGGGCTTTCCTTGGCAATGGGGCCATTGATGGTTTGGAGCAAGATGGGATACTGATTGTTGGCAAGCACTTTTTTTTTTTTTTTTTGAGATGGAGTCTCACTCTGTCGCCAGACTGGAGTGTAGTAGCATGATCTCAGCTCACTGCAACCTCTGCCTCCCAGGTTCAAGCAGTTCTCCTTCCTCAGCCTCCCAAGTAGCTGGGACTACAGGCACACACCACCATGCCCAGCTAATTTTTGTATTTTTTTTTTTTTTTTTTTTAGTAGAGACGGGGTTTCACCATGTTGGCCAGGATAGTCTCGCTCTCTTGACCTCGTGATCTGCCTTCGGCAAGCACTCTTAATGCTATGTGTAGAGTGACATTTGGGGAGTCCAGGGAGATGGGGTGGGCCAGTAGGGTGGGGGGGAAGCTGGAGATGTGAGGGAGACATAGTCCAGAGTGATGTGTATGAGAGGAGGGAGTGTGAGCTGACGGTCCTGTGACTTGGGGCTTAACTGAGAAAAATGAGCCTAGGTTCATACCTGGGATTTGTGATCTTGGGTACCCCAGGGGAGTTGGCTGGCTCAGAGTGTAAATGGCATTTATCTGTCAGCCTGTCTGTTGTTGTGGTGGGCTGACACAGTGATTGCTGGGGTGATCAGGAGAGAGTGAGGATCAGTGGTACTAGTGCCTGGTATCTCTGACTTGGGAACCTGGGAGGTTAGTTAGCAGGATGTTGTGGGTAGGTAGACTGGGGATCATTGGTCAAGAGACTTTTTATGGTCCTTCCTGTCCCTTTTGTTGCAGGGCTGTGTGGTCTTTGAGGATGTGTTTGTATACTTCTCTCGGGAAGAATGGGAGCTTCTTGATGATGCTCAGAGACTTTTGTACCATGATGTGATGCTGGAGAACTTTGCACTTTTAGCCTCACTGGGTAAGGTCCTCATGCTTTTCTGCCTTTACCACTCTGTTCTTCCTATGGTGGGATCATGAGCACCGCTTCCTTCACCAGTTTCCTGGAGTAGGTGCTCAAGATGCCAGGGCTAAGCTGTATGGAGTGTCCTCCCTACTTGCTGAGTAGTCCTGAAGCCGTGCAGCCAAGGGTTTGGGGTCATGAGACTTGTGGTTTGCCCAGTGGATCTCACTAGGTCTGTTCGCTTTCTGTACTGGTGACTCTGTCCAAAATTATGATGCCTCTGTGCCCAAGGTTCTGTCCCTTTCTCCAGGTGACATTTTCTTTTCTTTTTTTTTTTGAGTCAGGGTCTGGCTCTGTTGCCCAAGCTGGAGTGCAGTGGCATGATCTCAGCTCATTGCAACCTCTACCTCCCAGGCTCAAGCCATCCTCTCATCTCAGCCTCCTGAATAGTTGGGACTACAGACACACACCACCACGCCCAGCTAATTTTTCTGTAGAGATGTGGTTTTGCCATGTTGCCCAGGCTGGTCTTGAACTCCTGAGCTCAAGTAATACCCTGACTTGACTTCTGAAAGTGTTAGATTACAGGTGTGAGCCACTGCGCCCAGCTCAGGTGACATCTTCTAGGGCCTGACCTTGTCAGGAGTTATAGGCACTTACATAGTCACTTATAGGGACCTTTGGGTTATTCCTGCACAACTCCTCCCAGGTTATTTTTCTTACCTGAAGTCCATCATAGGGTGGTTTGCCATGGGCCAGTGCTGGCTGCTCACCTGTTCTGACTTTCCCTTAGGAATTGCATTTTCCAGATCACGTGCAGTCATGAAACTAGAGCGAGGAGAAGAGCCCTGGGTGTATGACCAGGTGGATATGACTTCAGCCACAGAAAGAGAGGCCCAGAGGGGACTTAGACCTGGTGAGTGGACATCGGGGAAGGGCACGATGTCAAAGCTGGGTTCAAAACTGGCAACATTAACTGTTCACATCAGTGTTTGTTTCCAGGGCCAGTGGCCACACAGCGTTTCTATCTGTCCTTTCCTGTTCTTGACACGAAGATATATCATTTCTAGTTTGTTAGCCCCTTGCCACCCTCACCTCTGGCCTTCACCTTACACCCATGTTTCACCACTTCTCTGTCTACATTTTTTGGCAGTATTGACCTGCAATTAATGTTCACAAGATGTGCATATATTCTTAAATAGTCTTTGAACACCAGCTGCTCACTTGTAGTTGGATTTTCCTGGGACTGGATACATTTTTCATAGCACTCACGAGTCACTAACAGTCAAGGCCCTACTGGAAGCCATTTGTTTGGTTCCATTCTTATATCCTGGCCCTTCATTGGCACTCCCCCATGGTATGACCTCCAGAGGCTCACTACCTCAAAGCCATTCCTTCCTCACTCTGACCATGCCTCTCATTCTGAAAACAGTTTCATGAACTTATTCCTGCATGTGTCAAATGCACATATACAATGAGGTTGCCCCTTCCCACCCGTAAATATGCATTTAATCAGCATTTGTGTGTTCTTCAGGTTGTTGGCATGGAGTGGAGGATGAAGAGGTATCTTCTGAGCAGAGCATTTTTGTAGCAGGAGTGTCAGAGGTCAGGACTCTCATGGCAGAGCTGGAGTCTCACCCATGTGACATATGTGGCCCAATATTGAAAGATACCTTACACCTGGCTAAATACCATGGGGGAAAAGCCAGGCAGAAACCATACTTGTGTGGGGCATGTGGAAAGCAATTCTGGTTCAGTACAGACTTTGACCAGCACCAGAACCAGCCCAATGGAGGGAAACTTTTCCCAAGGAAGGAGGGCAGAGACTCTGTGAAAAGCTGCAGAGTCCATGTGCCAGAGAAGACCCTCACATGTGGGAAAGGTAGGAGAGACTTTTCAGCCACATCTGGCCTTCTTCAGCATCAGGCCTCTCTCAGCAGCATGAAGCCCCACAAGAGCACTAAGCTTGTGAGTGGCTTTCTCATGGGACAGAGGTATCACAGGTGTGGTGAATGTGGGAAAGCCTTCACCCGCAAAGACACACTTGCTCGGCATCAGAGAATCCACACTGGAGAAAGGCCTTATGAGTGTAACGAATGTGGGAAATTCTTCAGCCAAAGCTATGACCTCTTTAAACACCAGACAGTTCACACTGGAGAAAGGCCATACGAGTGCAGCGAATGTGGGAAATTCTTTAGACAAATCTCCGGCCTGATTGAGCACAGGCGAGTTCACACGGGTGAAAGACTCTATCAGTGTGGCAAATGTGGGAAATTTTTTAGCAGTAAGTCTAATCTCATTCGACACCAGGAAGTTCACACAGGAGCCAGGCCTTATGTATGCAGCGAATGTGGGAAAGAGTTCAGTCGGAAACACACACTTGTTCTGCACCAACGAACTCACACTGGAGAAAGGCCTTATGAGTGCAGTGAATGTGGGAAGGCCTTTAGCCAAAGCTCCCACCTTAATGTACACTGGAGAATTCACAGCAGTGATTATGAGTGTAGCAGATGTGGTAAAGCTTTCAGCTGCATCTCCAAACTCATTCAGCACCAGAAAGTTCACTCTGGAGAAAAGCCTTATGAGTGCAGCAAGTGCGGGAAAGCCTTCACTCAAAGACCCAACCTCATCAGGCACTGGAAAGTCCACACTGGGGAAAGGCCTTATGTGTGTAGTGAGTGCGGGAGAGAATTCATCCGGAAACAGACACTTGTTCTGCACCAGAGGGTTCATGCTGGAGAAAAGCTTTAAGAGTGTAGCAAATGTGGGGGAAAGTCTTAGGCCAATGCCCCTGACTTACTATATGGTGGGGAACTAGCAGTAGTTAATGAGTGCAGCAGATGCAGGAAAGCCTTCCCCTGGAGGCTGAACCTTACCCGCCATTGGGAATTTCACACCGGACACAGGCCTTAGCAGTCTAAGCAATGTGCTGTCTCTGTTCAGCCCAACAGCTCACCCTAGAGTGGAACTCTGGGAGCAGCCATTGGGAGGGAACCATCAGTAAGAAGTGAAACTTCATAGATATGGACATTCCCACTGGGGAGATTCCCTGTGAGTGTCAAGTATGTGAGATGCTTTCAGCAGCTGTGTTGCACTTTTTAAATGGCTATTGGCCTTTGCTGGGGCAGGAGCCATCTGCTCCTACCATCTGGCAGAATCATACTGCGTTTACCATTTACCCCAGCATGCTTGTGACGGGCAGACCTCTCTTCTCTCCCCAGTCCCTAAAAGGTGTTGTGAGTGGTCTCACAGCCCACTAGGGGTCTTAATTTCCTCTCTTTTGATGTAAATGGCATGGAAATAATCAGCTTTGTTCAAGAGGACACAGAAGGATTCTGCAAATAGCCTGCAGAGACTTACCTGTGTTGATTGATTTCATATGATGCTCGTTATGGATATATCCAATATCCAAGTCACCCAGCTCTGGAACTGCCTGCTTCACATTGCTCATGATAATAAAGGCCTGTTCTTTAAGCCACCATTAATGTTGTGGGTTCTGTTTATTGTTTGGAGTCTATTGAGGAAACAGGTGTGTTCTCAGCATGAACAAGTTAACAGCTTTTGTGGGAGTCCTTGTTTTCTGTCCCTTAGAGCAAATGGCAGAGAACAGCTCTGATTACAGCTTTGACCTAATTTGTGTTGCTGTTCAAGCCCTTCTAAGACAGACTGCAGGGCTTTGGGAGACAAATCATGTGACCTGGATGCCAGTTTTACTGTAGGTTTGGAGGTAACCATGAAGAGAGATCAGTTGTAACAACTTCTAGAGCACCTGGGAGCATGAGTTTGGTCACTGGTTCCCATCCAGTGTTCCATATTTCCAAGCACTTATTGGGAAGCTGGCCCCTGCTTCTTGTCAAGGAGTCTGTGTTCAGAATTTAATAGGCAGGTGTCCTTGTCTGGAGGACCTCTAGGAGCCAGGTGGTAATTATAATTGGTATAGAAACACTGGGTATGACTAATAGGGAGTTGAGGAGATTGCGGCACACTACAAGGGATGTGCCACTTCTTTTTTTTGAGATGGAGTTTCATTCTTGTTGCCTAGGCTGGAGTGCAATGGCGTGATCTTGGCTCACTGCAACCTCCACCTACTGGGTTCAAGTGACTGTCCTGCCTCAGCCTCCTGAGTAGCTGGGATTATAGGCATGCATCACCTATGCCCGGCTAATTTTGTATTTTTTTTTTTTTTTTTGAGACGGAGTCTGGCTCTGTTGCCCAGGCAGGAGTGCAGTGGTGCAATCTTGGCTCACTGCAAGCTCCACCTCCCAGGTTCTTGCCATTCTCCTGCCTCCACCTCCCGAGTAGCTGGGACTAAAGGTGCCCGCCACCACACCCGGCTAATTCTTTTGTATTTTTTAGTAGAGACGGAGTTTCACCATGTTAGCCAGGATGGTCTCGATCTCCTGACCTCGTGATCCGCCCGCCTTGGCCTCCCAAAGTGCTGGGATTACGGGCGTGAGCCACTGCGCCCAGCCCTAATTTTGTATTTTTAGTAGAGACAGGGTTTCTCCATGTTGGTCAGGCTGGTCTCAAACTCCCGACCTCAGGTGATCCGCCTGCCTCGGCCTCCCGAGTCCTGGGATTACAGGCGTGAGCCACGCACCTGGCCTGGGATGTGCCACTTCTAAAGGTACATGCTCAGATGTTCCCATACTATGGCTATATAGGATGAGAGTATACAGAAAGTTTCAGAACTTCCACAGCTATGTCTCTTTTGTGGTCAGCATCACTCCCAGGGCAAATCTAAACATTTTGTGGATTCCCATAGACTCTAGATGGCTCAACTCAAGACCACTGCTGGGGCTGGGTGCAGTGGCTCACGCCTGTAATCCCAGCACTTTAGGAGGCTGAGGCGGGCGGATCACGAGGTCAGGATATTGAAACCATCCCGGCTAACACGGTGAAGCCCCGTCTCTACTAAAAATACAAAAAATTAGCCAGGCGTGGTGGTGGGCATCTGTAGTCCCAGCTACTTGGGAGGCTGAGGCAGGAGAATGGCATGAACCCAGGAGGCGGAGCTTGCAGTGAGCCGAGATCGCACCACTGCACTCCAGCCTGGGTGACAGAACGAGACTCTGTCTCAAAAAAAAAAAAAAAAGAAAAAAAAAAAGACCATTGCTGGGTGTGTAAGTGGGTAGGAAAACCAAGATTGAAAGAAGGAAGATCTAGCATTTCAGGGACATGGCTTTGCAACTTAGCCAGTGTTCCTGGTGAATCATGTGGAAATAGCTTTCTTGGTTGCCACTTTTTGCTGTCACTGAGGCAGGGCTGCTCCTGAAGCAAGAGGCAAGAGAGGATAGAGTCTATATAGGGTTGCCTATAGGATTTGTCTGTGTTTTCCCAGTTTTCTTTTTTGTTTTGAGACAGGGTCTCTCTCTGTCAACCCAGGATAGAATGCAGTGGCACTATGATAGCTTACTGTAACCTTGAACTCTTGGGCTCAAGTAATCCTCAGCCTCCTAAGTAGCTGCGATTACAGGCATGTGCCATCACACCTGGCTAACTTTTTTGTTTGTTTTTGTTTTTGGAGATGGAGTCTCACTGTATTGCTCAAGCTGGTCTTGAACTCCTGGCTTCAAGTGATCCCAAAGCACTGGGATTACAGGCATGAGCCAGCATGCCTGGCTGGTTTTCCTAATTTCTTAAAATGAACTGTCATTTATTTGTGAACTCTCTTCTTGTATAATAATATAGGCTATAAATTTCCCTGTAAGTACTGCTTTAGCAGTATCCCCCAAATTTTGATATAGTGTGCACTTGTTTTGTGTGAGATGGAATTAGTTTAAAATTGGACTGGAAAAGCTCTAGTTTTGTCTGTAGGGACTTTAGGTATCTCATTTTGACATTTAAATGCAGTGAGCTTTATTATTATTGTTTAACATCTGGAAGATCCCATGACAATATGGAGGGCAAGTTTGACTGCTGATGGTTTCTGGTTGGCATACATGATTAGGTAGGCACTCTGGCTCAACTGTGTTACCCCAGAAGGGTATAAAATCCCTGCTGGGATCCTCTGACTTGAGCTCTCCTGAAGCCAGCATTTCTCTCTCAGATATTGGTGGCTTGATCTGGAAGTGAATCATATCAGTGTATGAATGGGAGTCTGGAAAACTGCCTGGATTTGTGTCTGACATAGCATATGGGCACGCATTCTTTCTCTTGCTGCACCATATCCTTTGCCTTAACAAAACCTCACGCGAGTATTCTCTGTGGAGTTTTGTGAGTATTTTCAATTACATTTTTGAAATTTTTTCATTTGGTGATGAAAATGGGATATTTGCTATGATCTCTGAGTCCATTTTAAATAATAATGGCTAAGGAGTTATTGGGCAGAATGAAATATGGTAGAGGCTGGTGAGGAAGATTTTTTGTGAATAGGTTGGCTTCCAGTCCTTGGATTGAGATTGCACAAGTTATGTGATTCACTCACAAACAGGAGGAAGAATATAA
Organism: Homo sapiens; assembly: GCF_000001405.40. Lineage (NCBI taxonomy): Eukaryota > Metazoa > Chordata > Mammalia > Primates > Hominidae > Homo > Homo sapiens. The sequence goes on along the minus strand of NC_000019.10, from coordinate 57,716,784 downwards.
GTAGGACCTGGAGTCTGTGGGTCGGAGGGGATAACTAAATGTCCTGCAAAACACCCAAACACCTCCCATTAGGCCCACCTCCAACACTGGAGGTCACATTTCAACATGAGATTTGGAAGGGACACACATCTAAACTATACCAGCTGTAGATTCTAGCCTGTAGTTAAGTACACTACCATACCTTTTCCTAACTCCATCCTGCAGACCCAGCTAATTGATGTCATGGTAAAAGGGGAGGCAACATGATATGAGGCTTGATGTTATGGACCTCCTTATTGAGCTGTCTTGAATAAGACTTAATACTGGAGGGGGAGGGAAAAGTAAGAATCATTCAGAAGAAAAGTAACTAAAAATAAAAGAGATGAGATAGCCTGGCGCGGTGGCTCATGCCTGTAATCCCAGCACTTTGGGAGGGTGAGGTGGGCAGATCACCTGAGGTCAGGAGTTGGAGACCAGCCTGACCAACATGGTAAAACCCCATCTCTACTAAAAATACAAAAAAATTAGCCGAGCATTGTGGCGCGTGCCTGTAATCCTAGCTACTCAGGAGGCTGAGGCAGGAGAATTGCTTGAACCTAGGAGGCAGAGGTTGCGATGAGCCGAGATTGCACCATTGCATTCCAGCCTGGGCAACAAGAGTGAAATTCCATCTCAAAATAAATAAATAAATACATACATAAATAAATAAAAAGAGATGGAAGAAACCTCAGGAAAACAGAATTGGATAAAAATGTTTAGATGGTTGATCAAAAATGACCTTAAACAAGAAAGGAAGATGGAGTAGTTACTAAAAATATTGAATCCCTGTAAAAATAACTGGTCTACTGAAAGATCTGGAACTAATTAATTCACCCTAGTCTTGATAATTTTTCAAAATGTCAAAATTATAAAAAGGTGACAAGTATAATCTCTTCAGAGCCTGCTCTGATTATAACCAGGGAGAGAAATGGGGAGTATTATGACTGAATGATGATGTCAATTGAAGAAAATGACAAGACAAGTCTCAATCATTTTGGAGACTTATTTGCCAAAGTTAACGACCCACCCGGGAGACAAGTCTATGCTTTTCTCTGAAGATGATTTTTAGGGCTCCAAATTTAAAGAGGAAAGGGTGGGATATTGAGAAGCACACAGTTTTCACATTAAAAAAGGGGGCAAAAGAAAGATGTGGGGAATCTGCATTTTACATAAGATAACACAGAGGAAATGGGGTAGGCATTTTGTGTCTGACAGGCTGGGGTGACCGCACCTGTAAAGATAAACTATCAGTTTGCATTTCCATGGTGAAGTTTTTTGTTTGTTTCTTTTTTTTTTTTTTTTTGTTTTTAGATGGAGTTTCACTTCTGTCGCCCAGGCTGGAGTGCGGTGGCATGATCTCGGCTCACTGTAACCTCTGTCCCTTGGGTTCAAGTGATTCTCCTGTCTCAGCCTCCCGAGTAGCTGGGATTATAGGCACCTGCCACCACACCTGGCTAATTTTTGTATTTTTTTTTTTTTTTTTTTTTTTTTAGTAGAGATGGGGTTTCACCATCTTGGCCAGGCTGGTCTTGAACTCCTGACCTCGTGATCCAGCCGCCTTGGCCTCCCAAAGTGTTGGGCTTACAGGCGTGAGCCACCACGCCTGGCCACCATGGTGAAGTTTTAACAGCTCACCAGTAATTTCCTTGTGGGTAAAATATGGGGAAAGTGGGTAGCTTTTCATCTTGCAGCCATTTTATTTAGGAACCAAAAGGTAGAGGCAAGTTTGCATGACCCAGTTCCCAGCTTGACTTTTCCCCTTGGCTAAATGGGTTTGGGGTCCCAAAATTTAATTTCCTTTGACAATGGATCTCATGACCTTGTTAGGGTCTCATGACCTCTAGCTGGGACTTCAAGTTCACTTTCATTGGAATGAAGTAAATGGTCTGCAGGCAGTGAGAAAACTTTACTACAATTGATGATCGATGTCGCTATAACTTAGTTAGCTAATGTAAACTTAAAAGGAAATACAATTACACGAACATAGTGATACAGCTAGAGAAGGCTTGCAGCTGGAGAAATATGGTCTATAGAGGCATTTATGGACAGAAATTATGTATGATTTTTGCTTCACCATTACCACAAGGCATTATTGGAATTGATAGGATGCCATGTAAATCTGCTTTTAGTCCTGTGTTAATTGAGCATGCTAGATGGAATCTTTAGAATCAGCTAAGCTCACTCAAGTGATTATAACACCATAGAATTCCTGGGGGAAATAAATGTTGACTTGAATTAAGGATCTTTTAGATGCAGGTATATTACTAAAATTCCCTATTTAGTAGTCTAGGATGGGCTGGGTGCGGTGGCTCACACCTCTAATCCCAACACTTTGGGAGGCCAGGGCAGGAGGATTACTTGAGCCCAGCAGTTTGAGACCAGCTTGGGCAACATAGTGAGACCTCCTCTCTACAAAAAATTTGAAAACGTATTAGCTGAGTGTGGTGGAACATGCTTGTAGTCTTAACTATTCAGGAGGCTGAGGGGAGGATCACTCAAGGCCAGGAGTTTGAGGATGCAGTGAGCCATGTTTGCACCACTGCACTCCAGCCTCGGTCTAGGATGGCCTGGAAGAAAAGCTGATGGATCTGGTAAATTAACTATAGATTACGGAAGACTTGATAAATTGATGTCACCCCATTTGATCAGCTATATCTGATATGGCATCAACAACTAAAGCTGTGCTGCAAGCTCAGAGAGATCAGTATTCTGTACTAGATTTGGCTCATGCCTTCTTTTCCATTAGGAAGCCAAAGCCAATTTTCATTCATTAGGGATAGTCCCCAATATGCATTTACTCTGCCCTCAGAAGAACATTTAAATTCTCTGGATGGGCTGAACATGGTGGCTTATACCTGTAATCCCAGCACTTTGGGAGGCTGAGGCTGGTGGATCACTTGAAGTCAGGAGTTCGAGACCAGCCTGGACATCATGGTGAAACCCCGTCTCTACTAAAAAAAAATACAAATATTAGCCAGACATGGTGGTGGGTGCCTGTAATCCCAGCTACTCAAGGTGGAGGCAAGAGAATCACTTGAACGCAGGAGGCAGAGGTTGCAGTGAGTTGAGATCGTGCCACTGTACTCCAGCCTGGGTGACAAAACGAGAGTCAAATAAATAAATAAAAATAAATTCTCTGGATGATACTTGGCCCTGGATTTAAACCCTTTTGTAGGACAATATGTGGTATATGAGCTGCTACTTGGGAGGCTGAGGTGGGAGGATCAGTTGATCCCAGGAGCTCGAGGCTGCAGTGAACCATGATGGTGCCACTACACTCCAGCCTAGGTGACAGTGAGAACCTATGTCTAAAAAACATATATATTTGGTATACGGGCAAGAACCCCAATTTGAAGGAAAGGTGGAGAATATACTGTAATTTTGACTTATTTTGTAATGATCATGATCAGACTCATAATGTTATCTGCTATTTGGTGTAATACTGGTATATCTGGTAAAATTAATTTGATGTGTTCTGATATGGTTTGGATGTAAGTTCCTTGCAAATCTCATGTTGAAATGTGACCTTCAACGTTGGAGGTGGGCCTAGTCAGAGGTCTTTGGGTCATGGGGGTGGATCCCTCATGAATGGGTTGGTGCTGTCCTCATGGTAGTGAGTGAGTTCTCACTGAGTTCATGCAAGATCTGGTTGTTTAGAAAAGCCTGGCCCCTCCTGCCTACCTCTCTTGCTCCCTCCCTCACCATGTGACACGCTGGCTCTCCTTCACTTTTTGCCAAAATTGTAAGCTTCCTGAGGCCCTCACCAAAAGCAGATACTGGCACTTTCCTTCATGTACTGTCTGCAGAACTGTGAGCCAAATACATCTCCCTCTTTTTTTTTTTTAAATAAATTACCCAATCTCAGATATTCCTTTATGGCATCACAAATTGACTAACACATTTCAAACAAAGCTTATGATAAGACTGATACAGATTATAAAATGAAGTGAGAAATTGAATTAAAACAACCACAAGATGTTCTATCCGTGGAAAATATTGGCTAGGAGAGGAACTAGAATTAACTTTGAATTGAATGGGTCTATTGATACTGTTATTAAAGTTGATGATGGAAGGAGGTAAAATAGTAGCCAATCTTGTGCATGATTATGAACCTTTGTGCTGGGCTATTTCATTTTCTGAAATATTTTGAAGCAATACCCACTTCTCAAATAATGCACACAAAGTATTTTGACAGCTGCCCTTTTTGCTTGTTCTGTTCTATAAATAGTGAAAATGATGTAGGGTAATATTAAGAAGGAGTGATTTGTAATTAAAAATACCCAGCCAACAAAGGGATGACTGTGGAGAACAGATAACACTTTATAGCTGGAATAGGACAATTTTATGCTTATCTCTGGGGACATCTGGATACCTAGTTTGACTTTTAGCAAAGAAAGGCAGTGGGAGTTACAATGTGCTGCTTAAACTCTGAAATTTTTTCGTGTCTTTACAGCTGGCTTTTACCTGGCATAAATGGCTAGGTTGGCTTGGGTCATGCAGCCAGAGGGACATAAAAGTCCCTATTGGAAATTTCTGTTATTAATTCTTCTGAAATCAAGCTCCATCCCATATATATTAGTGGCACAGTCCAGAGATGAAGCATGTCCACTTGTGAATAAGAATCCTGAGGGTCATGGGTCCAGATCTTTCTGAGCCCTGATGCCTGTTCTGTCTTTCTCTAGCTGTACTGTATGCTTTATATTTAAATAAAAGCCTTATGAGAGAGTGCTTTCAGTCCCATGAGTCATTTCAAATATCTGAATTTTTCAAGTCTTTGCAGATGTAAATATAGATGTAGAAATAAATTTGTATAGAAATGTGTGCAAGTGGCCGGGCACGGTGGCTCACGCCTGTAATCCCAGCACTTTGGGAAGCCGAGGCGGGCGGATCACGAGGTCAGGAGATCGAGACCATCCTGGCTAACACGGTGAAACTCTGTCTCTACTAAAAATATACAAAAAATTAGCCGGGCGTGGTGGCAGGCGCCCGTAGTCCCAGCTACTCAGGAGCCTGAGGCAGGAGAATGGCGTGAACCTCGGAGGCTGAGCTTGCAGTGAGCCGAGATCGTGCCACTGCACTCCAGCCTGGGCGACAGAGCAAGACTCTGTCTCAAAAAAAAAAAAAAAAATGTGTGCGTGCATGTGTATGTATCTGCTTTCTCTCCAAGAGGACCTAATAATCAATGATTTACCAGTAGAAAAGAGCACAGCTAATGCTTACTAATATTTACAAGCATTGTTATCTATTGAAGAAAACCAGAGCTCCTTGAAAAAGAGGCTGATTCTGGGGCTGGGATAGCAAGGGTACAACATGAGCCTGAAAATATTTTTGGATTAGAAAGTAATGAAATTATCAATAATATTGACATAAAAAAGCAGAGAGCACAGCTTTAATGAGTTCCCACTGTCCAAACATCTGGGAGAATCTGAACATTAAAATAAATGTTGGGGCCGGACGCAGTGGCTCACGCCTGTAATTCCAGCACCTCGAGAGGCCGAGGTGGGTGGATCATGAGGTCAGGAGTTCAAGACTAGCCTGGCCAAGATGGTGAAACCCTGTCTCTACTAAAAATACAAAAAATTAGCTAGGCATGGTGGTGGGCAACTGTAGTCCCAGCTACTCGGGAGGCTGAGGCAGGAGAATGGCGTGAACCTGGGAGGCGGAGCTTGCAGTGAGCCGAGATCGCGCCACTGCACTCCAACCTGGGTGACAGAGCAAGATTCCATCTCAAAAAAAAAAAAAAAAAAAAAAGTACATTACCTTGCTGAGAATTAAAAAGAAAATTTTATATTCGAGTGCTATTTATTTTGCGGCTCCAAAACTTTATAACAAAGCAGCAGAGATTTCTCGGCCAGGCTCGGTGGCTCATGCCTGTAATCCCAGCACTTTGGGAAGCCGAGATGCGTGGATCACCTGAGGTCAGTGGTTCGAGACCAGCCTGGCCAACATGGTGAAACCCCGTCTCTTCTAAAAATACAAAAATTAGCTGGGTGTCATGGCGTGCGCCTGTAGTCCCAGCTACTTGGGAGGCTGAGGCAAGATAATCGCTTGAACCCAGGAGGTGGAGAGGTTGCAGTGAAACAAGACTGCGTCATTGCACTCCAGCCTGGGCAATAAGAGTGAAACTCCATCTCAAAAAAAAAGAAAAAAAAAAAAGAAGAGATTTCTCACCTATATACCCTGAGTGTCTCTGCAGCCAGCAAAGCAGATGAAGGCCTGCTGGGTTGGAGCCCTAGGCCCTCCAATGCTGAAATGCCCTGTGAAGTCTCCATCCATCCAGGCACTCTAGTAACCTGCTTCTTCTGCCTGGAATTTATTCTAAAAATACCCACATGGCTCATTTCTCACTTCCTTCAAGTGCATTTCACCGGCTTTCTGATTAAGAAGTCCCACCTCTCCCCTTTGTCTCTTATCAAAGTAGCATTTCTTTCATTGTTTTTTGAGATTGATGTTAGACTTCTAGAAGGAATATATCTCAGATATCAAGTAAGAATTATGAAATGGATAAAAGCGTTGCTCAGTGAATTGGACACAGTTATTGACTGGACACAGTAATTGGACACAATAATTGACTATGCAGGCAAAAGATGTTTTCTGTTGGAATCAGACAGAATTCTACCTTTGTACTACTGTTTCAAGGTGATCTAACATTTCTCTTCTATCTTCTAGAAGCACTATCATGCCACTATCTGAAGTAGTTTTTCACCTGTCCCTGACCAAAAGTGCACAGACTGACTTCAATGCTTCGGAGTGCATACATTTGAAATGTAATATGATAGAGGCTGGGTACGGTGGCTTACGCCTGTAATCCCAGCACTTTGAGAGGCCGAGGCGGGCAGATCACCTGGGGCCAGGAATTTGGGACCACCATAGTGAAACCCTGTCTCTACTGAAAATACAAAAAATTAGCCTGGCGTGGTGGCGCGCGCCTATAGTCCCAGCTACTTGGAAGGTTGAGGCACGAGAATCGATTAACCCGGGAGGCGGAGGTTGCAGTGATCCCAGATGGCGCCGCTGCACTCCAGCCTGGGGGACAGAGGGAAACTTTGTCTTAAAAAAAAAAAAAAAGGAATAAACTTATATGGTAATGTTTATTAGCTTCCCTACTAGTGGATATATTTCGTGTCTGAATGGCTCTATGGAATGATGTACATATTTGGATTGGCAGCCTTAGGGAGCGTCTGATAATAATTTTAGCCTCTGGGAGCCTGCTGAACTTTATGAAGTTTGAAATAATATTCCCCAAACACTTGGGTGATCAGTTGCAGATGGCACCTCTAATATGCTGTCTGATTACGACCCATTTAAGAAAGGGCGAAGTCCCTCCACTGCCCTAGGACTTGGATAAGCCATTTCTCATCGCCCAGCGCCCTGGAGCTTCGCTTTTACTCCAAGAGGTTGGTGCAAAGGGTCCCCGGCACCCACCTCGGGATCTATGAAAACTACATTACCTAGAATGCTCTGCGTTGAACGCCACGCTACTAAGCCAGTAAGAGCTCAGAAAACCGACTTTCCTTGAGAGTCACAAAAAGAAAGGACGGGACTTTTGGGGGGGCCTCTTCGTGGCGGCCATTTTAGCTTCTCTGAGGTGTGTTCACCGGATCAGAGATAGCAGAGCGCCGAGTTGGGGCCACGAAGGCGTGAGGGGAGTCGTCGTCCCTCCTGCACGAAAGCGTCTAAGCCTTGGCGACGCCGCCCTGGGGGACCCACGTCAGGCCTGGGATAGGGACCGCTGTCCCCGGGTCCCTACCAATGTCGCCCGTCGCTCCCGGCCCAGCTCTACCCGCAGAGTCTGATGGCAGCGGCCACTCTGAGGACGCCAACTCAGGTGAGTGCGGCGTCTTCCCGTCCTCACACACCTTCCCCCACCCACGTTCTAAAGCCATCAGTGAGGGGCGCCTGCTCGAGTCCCCGCTGCCCAGGGTCGGGGACACTGAGGCGTTCGTGGGTGGGGCCCTTTTTTTGACACTGCGTGTGACGAGGTGTGGGAGAGCGTGACAGGCGGAGGAACCGGCGCGTGCAAAGGTTGAGGCGCGACTGAGCCAGGAGAATTCGGAAAGCTGTTTTCTGCAGGGAACGAAGAATATGAGGCGGAGTTACTCCTAGGGTTGTACTGTCATTGTGAGGATGCTAGAAGCCACGGAGAGTTCTGAACAAAGGAGGGACGCCATTTATGTTAGTTTTTTTTTCTTTGAGACGGAGTTTCGCTCTTATCGCCCAGGCTGGAGTGCAATGACGCGATCTCGGGTCACTGCAACCTCCGACTCCCGGGTTCAAGCGATTCTCCTGCCTCAGCCTCCCCAGCAGCTGGGATTACAAGCCTGCAGCTGGGATTACAACGTCCGGCTAATTTTTTGTATTTTTAGTAGAGACGGGATTTCACCATTTTGGCCAGACTGGTCTGGAACTCCTGACAAGTGATCCTCCTGCCTCGGCCTCCCAAAGTGCTGGGATTACAGGCGTGAGCCACCGTGCCCGCCCTATGTTAGGGTTTAAAAACTTTTCCAAAGACTGTTCACAGGAAGAGCAGCGATGGGGCGATGAGGACATTGAGATAGTGGGAGGCTACATCTTTTTTTCATTGCCCTACAGTTGGCAAGAGGTGACAGCACTGAGACCAGAAAGTAAAACAGCCAGCCTGAGTTCAGGGCCAGGCAGGGCTACAGGGAGGCTTGAGCTCATCTAGCCTCACCAGGGATGCATTCCTCTTTCCCTGGTTCTCCCAGTTGTAGAAGGGCGTATGGAACTCACATAGGGAAGTGGAGAGTGTTCGGTCCCTCAGTAGCCTCTACCCCCATGTTCTTGGGATTGTGGTTTCCTAGTATTCTTAAGTGCTGTTACCCCAATCCTGGGTCTGGTGCCCTGGAGAAATTCCAAGCCCAGGGCTCTTAAGTCCATGCCAGAGGTTACAGGGGTTATACTGAGGTGTTCCCATTTTTGTCAGCCAGTGGAAACTTGTGAAAGGTTATCTCTGGCACTGGTATCAGGAGGCGCAAGTGCTTAGTAAAACTAAGCTGAGATTTTTGAGGAAACCATAGATCTGTTTCCTTTTAGCTGGGAACAAAGAGCAGGGGGAAGGAGTCAGGACTGCAGTGGCTGCCTGAGAAGTTGGGTACCTATTCTGGAGGTAATGAGAGATTTGGGTTACAAGAGGGAGGTGATCTTACCAAAGTCCTAACAGGGTCCATCCCGTTAGCGTGGAGAGCAGACTGTGGGGTTGAGGGAAGAGGAAAGAAGATCAGAGTGGAAGCTACAGCCAGTCCAGGGTAATGGACCAGAGTCATTGATTAGGAGATGTGTTGCATTCTGGATGCAAATTTTTAAAGGGAGCAACTAAATTTTCTGATGTAGACAGCGAGGGAGTGAAACAGGATTCAGCGATGACCCCATGGTTCTTCAACTGAGATGGAGAAGTTGGTATTAACAGTAATATTCACTGGAGACAACAGGAGCTTTATTTGGTCATGTAAGAGTTTGAGATGTTTCAGAGACATTAAGTAGGCATTAAGTAGGTGGCTGAACACCCAGGTCTGGAAATCTGGGGAGTGCTTCAGAATGGAGACATCCAAAATGTGGTGGTCATTGTGTGGACTAAGGTGAGTGAGCTGTGGATTACATTTAGAAGGGTTGTTCTATTTTTTTTTTTTTTTTTTGAGATGGAGTGTCTCTCTTGTTGCCCAGGCCAGAGTGCAATGGCGCGAGCTTGGCTCACCACAACCTCCGCCTCCCGGCTTCAAGCAATTCTCCTGCCTCAGCCTCCCGAGTAGCTGGGATTACAGGCATGCGCCACCACGCCCGGCTAATTTTGTATTTATTTAGTAGAGACAGGGTTTCTCCATGTTGGTCAGGCTAGTCTTGAACTCCCAACCTCAGGTGATCCACCCGCCTCAGCCACCCAGAGTTCTGGGATTACAGGCGTAAGCCACCGCATCCGGCCTACAAGGGTTAATCTTTAGGCATGGTGGTACAGGTTATTTGGCCAGGAAGGGCAGAATGGGGGCTAAGGACCAAGCCTTTTGGTTGGATAAGTGGGTGATATTCTTGGGCTTTCTAAACAGAGGTAAGGGAGGTTAGTGGCTATGGAGGTAGGGTGTTTGGAGAGGATAGTTGGGCAGGTGGCATACACTTTCAAGGGAAGAGTGGATATAAGGTGGATGCAGAGGCATAGGTGTATTTGAGGCAAATGGCTGTCCTTTTTTTCCTTTGTGCTTATTCAGCACTCTGTGGAATCACCAGGATTTTTTGATGACTTTGATGGGGCCTAGGGTGTTTATTCAACCTGGAGGATAAGGCCAGGTGCCAATGTGGTCATCTGTGACAGTCACTTGGCCTGGGGTAGGTGATCAGTGGAGCTAGTCTTTGAGTGTTAAGTGGACAGAGGAAGGTTGTTACTGCTGAGGGGCTAGCAAGTGCAGCACGGAAGTGGAATAGGGCCATGGGTATCTGAGATGCACATGTGGTTCTGTGTGGCCTAAATCTGAGGCAAAGAATGGAGCCAGCCAGGGAGCCCTCATAGGATTTGGGGCTGCTACCACTAGTGGATGCCCTGGGAGATCTAGGGTAGTATTAGATCCGTTTGAATCTGTCGAGCATACTCTGGACGCTGTGTGCTAAGTTATGGTGTAAAGTCTAAAATTAAGGCCCAGTATGACATCTGGTGAAATCAGGGTGGCATCAAATGGCCTGAGTACAAGTTTCCCTCCCTACTCTTCTCCCAAACAGACAACCCTTTTAATCAAGGAGACCAGGCACAATTTCTGCCTATCACTTTGTAGCAGATTTCAGCTCCCTACCAGGTCATGGAGTTTTCCAAACAAGCCCATTGTGGGAACCAGGGGGCAGTTGATCCTTTTGTTCTCAAAGTGCTTGCATCCCACAGTTTTTGGTTATTCACTTTTTTTCTGGACTAGACCCCCATGTGACCCTGTGTGGTACATGTTGTCCTCATCTCCCAGGTTCTATGTACATATGATTAATAAACTGCTATATCATCTTTCTTTTTTTTTTTTTTTTGAGACGGAGTCTCGCTCTGTCGCCCAGACTGGAGTGCAGTTTCGCAATCTTGGCTCACTGCAACCTCCGCCTCCTGGGTTCAAGCAATTCTCCTGCCTCAGCCTCCTGAGTAGCTGGGATTACAGGTGTGCTTCACCACGCCCGGCTAATTTTTGTATTTTTAGTAGAGATGGGGTTTCGCCATATTGGTCAGGCTGGTCTTGAACTCCTGACCTCGTGATCCACCCGTCTTGGCCTCCCAAAGTGCTGGGATTACAGGCATGAGCCACCATACCCAACTGCTGTATCGTCTTTCTAGTGTCAGGTATTGTGTGTTTGTCCATATCCATAACCCTAGTGTGGCAATCCTGCCTTCGCTAATGGGGTAAAGAGGAAGAGATTAAAACAGTGACATGGGAGGTAAGAGCAGGGAGATGCCTATGGTGTGGGCAGTGAGGTGGCAGCCCTGGGCTTGGGGCTGTGGTGTCTGGAGATAGGAGGGATGTGTATTCTGAAGAATGATGTGCATCTGGAAAGGGAGTAAGTGACAGCTGCAGGGCCCTGGTATTGAGACTTAGATGACCTTGGACATTTCAGGGGGATTTCATGATGGGATAGTATGGATCCTTCCATGCCAGGCCCCCAGCTTAGATGCCTATTTATCCATGTGCTGGTTTCTCCTCTCAGTTGGGGAGCTTGGGAAGAGAATGGGCATGGGGTAAAGATGTGGGGGTATGCATTGTGGGTCCTTGGGATAGGGGCTCTTGGTGGTTTCATCTGTTCCCATTGTGGCAGGGCACTGTGACCTTTGAAGATGTGGCCGTACACTTCTCCTGGGAGGAATGGGGTCTCCTTGATGAGGCTCAAAGATGCCTGTACCGTGATGTGATGCTGGAGAACTTGGCTCTTTTAACCTCTCTAGGTAAGGTTCTTTTACCCTTTCCTGTGCCCTGAGCTAGTCTGTGCCCTTCCTCTTTTCTCTATAGGCAGGTCTGTCCTTCTCATGACAAGACTATGGGCTCTGCTTCTTTCTCAGTTCCCTGCATAGTTCTGTCATTGGTAAGACTAAGGTGTGCATACTGTCTTCTCCTCTCCTTGAGGAGCCCCAGTACCTGTTTCCTCACAGCCTCACAGGGAAGGATTCAGAGTCTGCAGTCTTGCAGTCACCCTAGTGGATCCCACCTTGATTGTCCCCTCCATGTCTGGGTGACTTTTTCCAGATTTGAGGATCCTGTGTGCCCCAGCTACTACTTCCATCCCGAGCTGGCATTTCATTATGCCTGCCTATGCCAGGAGTTATTGTCACTGACATGGTCACTACTTATGTAGACCATGGACTCTTCTTACAAAGTATTCCTCTGAAATTTTCTTTGTAGTATTTGTGTGTGTGTGTGTTTTTCCTGTGGGCTGTCATGTGCTGAGTTTTTTGTGGGACAGTGCAGGCTGCTCTTCTGTTCTTTCTTCCCTTAGTACTTACATTATCCAGATGCTGTATCAGAGCAGCAACCTGTTCTGTTTGGCGAGCATTTTGGTGCCAATGCCAGTGGTCACAGCTCACTTCCGGTTTCCCTTCACCATTCTTGACATTTTGCTGACAAGTCAGCTCTACTACTTGTCACTTCTGCTCTTAACATCCAGCCTGGGGCTAATCCTCACATCTCTGGACTCCGTATCTTATCTGTTTTTCTCACTGCTACACCTGCAGTTCTTTCTAACGTTAGCCTCTATATAGTGTGTCATGAGGTATGCACATACTCTTTTTTTTTGAGACGGAGTCTCACTCTGTCACCCAGGCTGGAGTGCAGTGGCATGATCTCGGCTTACTGCAACCTCTGCCTCCCAGGTTCAAGTAATTCTCCTGCCTCAGCCTCCTGAGTAGCTGTGATTACAGGCGCATGCCACTGCACCTGGCTCATTTTTGTATTTTTTTAGAGATGGGGTTTCACCATCTTGACCAGGCTGGTCTTGAACTCCTGACCTTGTGATCCACCCACCTTGGCCTCCCAAAGTGCTGGGATTACAGGTGTGAGCCACTGCGCCTGTCCTTGCACATACTCTTAAACAGTCCTTGAAGGCCAGCTGCTGCATTGCAGTCGTATTTCCATGGGCTTGCATATACTATTCTACATAGCACTCATGTGTCGCCAGCAGATAAGCTTCTGCTAAAGTTGTTTGCAGAGGATTTAGTTTTAGACCCTGCCTCTCTCTTTGTGATACCTCATGGTTGTGGCCTTTACCTCTTGAGATCTCCCACATTCCTGTAATCTTTTTTTTTTTTTTTTTTTTTTTTGAGACGGAGTCTCCTTCTGTCACCCAGGCTGGAGTACAGTGGTGCAATCTTGGCTCGCTGCAACCTCCGCCTCCCGGGTTCAAGTGATTCTCCTGCCTCAGCCTCCTGAGTCCTGGGACTACAGGCACCCACCACCATGTCCAGCTAATTTTTGTATTTTTAGTAGAGACGGGGTTTCACCATATTGGCCAGGCTGGTCTCAAACTCCTGACTTTGTGATCCACCCACCTTGGACTCCCAAAGTGCTGGGATTACAGATGTGAGCCACCGCACCCGGCCCATTCTTGTAATCTTTATCCTAGAATTGCTAAACAGCCTCATCTGCAACTGAACCCAACTCTACTGTCATGCAAACGATCCCATGGACTTGTTCCTGGGTTTGTCATACACACACTTGTATAAGGGCTGCCCCCTCCCACCATAGTTAATGTGCACTTCACTAGCATTTCTTGCTTTTAGGTTTTTGGCATAGAGTGGTGGATGAGGAGGCACCTTCTGACAAGAGCATTTCTTTAGAAGGAGTGACCCAACTCAGGACTTCTAAGGCAGATCTTTCTCCCTAGAAGGCCCACCACTGTGAGACGTGTAGCCTGGTCTTGAGAGACATTTTGCTCTTGGCTGGGCCCTAGGGGACACATCATAGGCAGAAATTATATAGAGGTGGGGCATGTGGGAAATAATTGTATTTCATTGCAGATGTTCATCATCAGAAGCAGCACCTTGGAGAAAAACATTTCAGAAGCAATGTGGGCAGAGCCTTGTTTGTGAAGACCTGCACATTCCATGTGTCAGGGGAGCCTTCCACCTGCAGAGAAGTTGGGAAGGACTTCCTGGCCAAGTTGGGATTTCTCCATCAACAGGCTGCTCACACTGGGGAGCAATCAAATAGCAAAAGCGACGGTGGGGCCATCAGTCACAGAGGAAAAACTCATTACAACTGTGGAGAACACACAAAAGCATTCAGCGGTAAACACACACTTGTTCAGCAGCAGAGAACCCTCACTACAGAAAGATGTTACATATGCAGTGAATGTGGGAAATCCTTTAGCAAAAGCTACAGTCTCAATGACCATTGGAGACTTCACACTGGAGAAAAGCCTTATGAATGTCGAGAGTGTGGGAAGTCCTTTAGGCAAAGCTCTAGTCTCATTCAGCACCGGAGAGTTCACACTGCAGTACGACCTCATGAATGTGATGAATGTGGAAAATTATTTAGCAACAAGTCTAACCTCATTAAACATCGGAGAGTTCACACTGGGGAAAGGCCATATGAGTGCAGTGAATGTGGGAAATCCTTTAGCCAAAGGTCTGCACTCCTTCAACATCGGGGAGTTCACACTGGGGAGAGGCCTTATGAGTGCAGTGAATGTGGGAAGTTTTTTACATATCATTCCAGTCTCATAAAACACCAGAAAGTTCACAGTGGATCCAGGCCTTATGAGTGCAGCGAATGTGGGAAGTCATTTAGCCAAAACTCTAGCCTCATTGAACACCATAGGGTTCACACTGGAGAAAGGCCTTATAAGTGCAGCGAATGTGGGAAATCCTTTAGCCAAAGGTCTGCACTCCTTCAACATCGGGGAGTTCACACTGGGGAGAGGCCTTATGAGTGCAGTGAATGTGGGAAGTTCTTTCCCTACAGCTCCAGTCTCCGAAAACACCAGAGAGTTCACACTGGATCAAGACCCTATGAGTGCAGTGAATGTGGGAAATCCTTTACTCAAAATTCCGGCCTCATTAAGCACAGGAGGGTTCACACTGGGGAGAAGCCTTATGAGTGCACGGAATGTGGGAAATCCTTTAGCCATAACTCCAGCCTTATTAAACATCAGAGAATTCATAGTCGATAAAAGCCTTATGAGTGGCAAATGTGGAAAATCTGTTAGCACCCTGGAGAAAGTCCTTGAGTACACAGTGAATGTCAGAAAGCTTCAGCTGAAGGCCATATCTCATTGAGTGCCACACAGTTCACAAGGGAAAGACACTTTTGATATGTAGGGATGTCCAGTTGATATAACAGCTCTGAAGGAGATCCCTTATGAGGGTGGCATCAGCCTGAATTGAACATCCTATATCTGAACATCTGCATAAATTCCAGGTATGTGTGAACTGCATTGCACCTTTTGCCCTGCCCAGGGCCCATGTCAGATTTATGTCTCTGCTGATACTATAGTGGAAGCCATTTTACCTCTACTGCCTGGCAGGTGACCACCAGTGTGCACCACTCACCCATCCCAGTGTATTCAGGTAAGTGAACCTTGGTGTTCTGTTCATGGGAGGAATTTGTAAATAGCCTAAGCATTTATTCCGTTTTTTTTTTTTCCTTTCTGATGAGTTAGGCCATGGACCTGACCCAGTTTGGCCCAGAGGACTCTGCTGGTGACCTGAAAAGAGGGACTACATATTTCAGGATATTGTTGGTCTCACATGACTCTTGATAGAGTTTGCCAGCCTTCAAATCACCAACTGTGGGAACCAACTGCCTCTTATTGCCTTGGTTTGTACAATAACAAAGGCCTTATTAATCTTGGGGGTTCTATATGTATGGGTTGGTTTGAAAACAGTTGGGTTCTGCTAACATGAAGGGGTGAATAACTTTTTTTGGAGATCCCAAACATTGTGTAGCTCAACAGGGACAGGGACAGGGACAGTAGGATGGCAGAATATAGCTCTCTCTCTAGTTTGAGCCTAGTTTTCATTGCTATTCAAGGCCTCTGAGAAAAAACTACAGGGTATTGTCCTAATTTATATCCTGGATGCCATAGAGGTCAGCCTGAGGAGGCAGCAGTTACTTGACATCCTTTGATGTTTCTGAAAGCAACATGAAATTGTTCTCTTGTTCACAAGGAATACTGCATCGTGTTCAGTGCCAGTGGGGGAAATCTGTTCCCCAGGTCCTGTATGCCTTGATATCCTGAATTCCACAGGGTAGCACCACAGGTGGTAAGATTATAGTAGGAATTATAATTGTTATAGAAGTACTGGATTGATAGAGAGTGGAAAACTGCAATAACACTGCAATAAATAGAATGTGCCCCTTTTACAGAGGTTTCCATGATGTTCGTTATTATGGCTCTTAAGGATGAGCAGGTACAGAAATCCTCAGGACCTACAGAATTGTGTATCTTGTGTAGCTGAGGTCATTGTCAGAAATTTTATGGAATCCTGTAGCCTCTGGGATTTTCACCTCAAGGTCATTGCTATGCAGGCAGGAAAACAAGGATAGAGAAGGGAGGTCTAGGCCATTGATACAGCCTTTGTGATCCAGCCAACATTTCTGTTGAGTCAGGTGGAAATGGCCTTCACTGTTCACTTGTATTTGTGATCACTGAGGCAAAATCCTCTCCCAGGACATGAGGAGAGAGATGGTGGAATCAACATAGGGTTGTCAAACCTGATTTTCCAAAAACAATAGGAAATTCAGACTTTTATTTTGAACCATATTTTGTTAGGTTGGTGCAAAAGTAACTGTGGTTTTGAACCATGATTTATTTTTATTTTTATTTTTTTTTGAGTCAGAGTCTTGCTCTGTTGCCCAGTCTGGAGGGCAATGGCACTATCTCAGCTCATTGCAACCTCCGCCTCCCAGGTTCAAGCGATTCTTCTGCCTCAGCCTCCCAGGTAGCTGGGATTACAGGCACCCGCCACCACGCCCATCTGAGTTTTGCATTTTTAGTAGACATGGGGTTTCACCATGTTGGCCAGGCTGGTCTTGAACTCCTGACTTCATGTGATCCACCCACCTTGGCCTCCCAAAGTGCTGGGATTTACAGGCATGAGCCACTGCGCCCAGCCAAGCTTTTTCACCATTCCAATTTCCTTCAAATGCTGAACAGCCGTGGAATGGTTGACATTGAGTTCTTAGGCAACTTCTCATGTAGTTGTAAGAGGATCAGCTTCTAATATTGCTCTCAATTGGTCATTGTCAACTTCCAGTGGCTGGCCACTACTTCTCTTCAAGGCTCTTGTCTCCTTTGCAAAACTTCTTGAACCACCACTGCACTGTACATTCGTTAGCAGTTCCTGGGCCAAATGTGTTTATATCGTGAGTTGTCTCTGCTGCTTTACGACCCATTGGGAACTCAAGTAAGAAAATCTCAGCCGGGTGCGGTGGCTCACGCCTGTAATCCCAGCACTTTGGGAGGCTGAAGTAGGTGGATCACAAGGTCAGGAGTTAGAGACCAGCCTGACCAACATATTGAAACCTCATCTCTACTAAAAATACAAAAATTAGCCGGGCGTGGTGGCATGTGCCTGTAGTCCCAGCTACTTGGGAGGCTGAGGCAGGAGAATCACTTGAACCCGGGAGGCAGAAGTCACAGTGAGCCAAGATCACGCCACTGCACTCCAGCCTGGACGACAGACAAAACAAGACTCCGTCTCAAAAAAAAGAGGCCAGATGCGGTGGCTTACACCTGTAATCCCAGCACTTTGGGAGGCCGAGGTGGGTGGATCACAGGTCACGAGTTCGAGACCAGCCTGGCCAACATGGTGAAACCCCGTCTCTACTAAAAATACAAAAATTAGCTGGGCATAGTGGCATGCACCTGTAATCCCAGCTACTGGGGAGCCTGAGGCACGAGAATTGTTTGAACCCCGGGAGGTGGAGGTTGCAGTGAGCCAAGATCATGTCACTGCACTCCAGCCTGGGCAACAGAGCAAGACTCTATCTCAAAAAAATCGCTGAAATTTGAGTTTTGTCTAACATTTCCATAGTCTAAAATAAACATAAACAGCAAGTAGTAAGTCAGCAAAAAAACATAAAGCGAGAAATGCCTATTAAAATGATGTATAACCACATTTATTTAAGAATGTTTTCCAATATAAAATGGCAAAATCCAACATGCAAAAACGGCAATTACTTTTGCACTAACCTGATAATAATTTTAATAAGAATAAATGGTACATATTTAAACTATATAATTTGATCAGCTTTGATATTCATATTAACCTGTAATTGCTCCCACCATGCCAATTTTGAAACTGCCAACATGTTACTGAATGTAGAATTGGGAAGAGTTGCTGATAGCATCCTAATATATTCTGTTTCTACCATACTGATACAGTGGCCACGAATAACCTCAAGAATGTAGAAAATAAAATGTAGTGAAATGATTAGGAAGAAGTTGTTTCTTCACAATCATGACAATGAACGTGTCATTCCACAAGTTACCTCATTGTCCTTTAATAATTATCTGCCTATAGGCAACTATTGATTTACTTTCCATTATAATACATTAGTTTTCATTTGCTAGAATTTTATATGATTGAAACCATAATGTATTTACTCTTTTTTAATCCCTGGGTATAGTCACGTATTTATTTTGAGATTCATCATTATACCTCTATGAGTAGTTTCTTTTTTTTGTATTGCTGAGAAGTATGATGTTCTGTGGATATACCAGTATTCGTTTATTCATTCATTCATTTGTTATGGATATTTTGAGTAGTTTTTTAAAGTAGTTTGAGGTATAATGGAACTTAAAGTGCTTATATTTAAAATGCATATTTTGATATTTTCATACATGCTTACACCCTGGAACGCAGTTTCCTTCTGTCTTTTTAGTTCATTCTCAACATATAAAATTAATTTTCATTGTGTAAAATTACTGGTACAATGACATATTTTGTCTCCTGTTACAGCTGTGTTCAATTACAAAAAAAGATGGAAAAGACTGTTATGAAGCCAGATGAACCTTTCTCCAGTCTTCCTTCACTATTTTTTTTTCCTTCACCATTTATCATTTCATAGTCATTTATGTTTCATCGGTCCTCATGTGTACTAGTGCGTTATTTTACTTATACTCCCGGATATCATATTATTTAATGCATAGCCTCTTCAGAATGCAATTTTAAAATGTAAAGGCTCTTTTATAACCCCCCAAAAAATCACACAAATATATTTTAAAATGTAAATATTTTATCGCTTCTGTTTTCTCAGTTGTCTAAAACAATGTGTTTCTTAAGGAAGATCATTTTTATTCAGGATCCAAATGTATATTTAATAGCTTTCAGTAGTTGTATCTCATAAGTCTGTAACCTACAGGTTCCATTTACCTTTGTTTTCTTATTTCTTGAAGTTGCTGAGTCATTTTTTAATTAGAATTTGCTGTATTCTAGATGTGGCTTATTGAATCTCTAACATTGTTTAACTTGTACACTAGATGTTGATGAAATCGGTGATTGAGATTTTGTCCCAGCAGACAGGTGTGTGATGGCAACAGTGAAATAAATACAAAACCTTCTCCCAACCCAGAAATCCTCTCCACGAAGGTAGAGACAGAAAACGCTTTTATTAAGCATTAAACCAGAATGTGATGCACATCACAGACAATCCACTAAGAAATTGCAAGGTAAGAAAAAAGCCTCACTCCTTCATATGGCCTAGCAGATGTAGCCCATTACACACGTTTTCAAGATAAACAACAACAAGTCCTCAAATACGAATTTGACAGCACCATTTGTCACACATAGTTCATCCTAACAGGTGATGCTCTATTACCTTACTGGCTTTACCTAGAGGAAAAGCAAACATCATATCTTTATGACAGAGGATAATGAGGGGAGCTGCCTTGGGGCTGCTGGATGATACATCGGGACAGGACAGTGCGAGCTTCCAGCAAGGCAGCTCTAGTTGGAGCCCTGATTTCTTTCCAAGGTGAGGAGAGGGTGATGATAGTATCCTTGGGAAGGGGAGTGAAAAGTGCTGAGGGACTGTATTTATAGCTGAGGGATTTCCTGGGTGCTGTGGGTCTCTTGTCTTTGCCACTCTGCCTCAACACTGAAACTGTCCATTCCCTACTTGGAGGCTGCACCCAAAACCTCCCTCTGCCTTCATGCTCTGGCCTCCCCCTGCAAGTTACCACCCTGGGTCTTGGTGCTTGCAGCACTTCCGGTGCCTGGCTGCCCCAGGCCCTCTGCTCCCTCTGCTGCCTGGGTTTAATCCCTCCTCTGCCACTGCCCAGCATCAGGACTCTGCTGGTTTTGCAGCCTCTTGGTACCTCAGTTTTATGTTTGTGGAATAGGAGTGCTCACAGTACTCTCTGGGATCCTGGCAAAAGGTGTGGTAGGCAGGTGGTAAGCAGGGCCGAGCACTATCCCCAGCACCTAGTGAGTTGATGCCTTATCATTTACCTGATCCAGGCAGGTCTTAAGGTACAAGAGAAAGAGAAATGGGGCTTCTTAGAACCCCCTGACCCCACAGCTTCTACTTGGATGGAATTTTTGGAAGAAGCACTGGCTGCAGAGTCCAGAGATCTCAGTGTGAATTTCTGAAGGACTCCTTCCCAAGGAAGTGACCTTGAGAAAGTCCCCAACAACCCCTGTCAAGGACTTGACTAACAGCTTCTCTAATGTTTGTCTCCCTTTCCAATTTAAGAACAAATGGATGAAATCAAGTATGTGTCCCTAACCAATGACAGAGTAGGCCCTACTTGTAGTTAGCCTGCCTTCGGCTTCCTCAGACCCACAGACTCCAATTAGCACACCTAAAGCCTTCCCTTTTTTCTACTCTGAAGAATTCCAGCTGGGCGGCGCGGTGGCTCACACCAGGGACAGGGGCTGAGTGGGCTGGGGCGGGGCTGGGTTAGTGACTAGAGACCCTCTTTGAACCTCAGTGGTTGATTAGAATAAAACGAAGGGAAAAAGAGGCTGGGCTCGGTGGCTAACGCCTGTAATCCCAGCACTTTGGGAAGCCAAGGCAGGCGGATCACCTGAGGTCAGGAGTTTTGAGACCAGCCTGAACAACATGGAGAAACCCCATCTCTACTAAAATACAAAATTAGTCAGGTGTGGTGGCACATGCCTGTGATCCCAGCTACTCAGGAGGCTGAGGCAGGAGAATTGCTTGAACCTGGGAGGTGGAGGTTGCAGTGAGCTGAGATAGTGCCACTGCACTCCAGCCTGGGCAACAAGAAACTCCGTCTCCAAAAGGAAAAAAAAAAAAAAAAAAGGAATTCCGGCTGGGCACAGTGGCTCACATCTGTAATCTCAGCACTTTGGGAGGCCAAGGAGGGTAGATCACTTGAGGCCTGAAGTTTCAGACCAGCCTGGCCAACATGGCGAAACCCTGTCTCAACTAAAAATACAAAAATTAGCCAGGCATCGTGGTGTTCGCCTGTAGTGCCAACTGCTCAGGAGGCTGAGACGAGAATGGTTTGCACATTTCCCTGGATGCTGACAATCAAGACTACTACTTTCTTTTCTTTCTTTTTCTTTTTCTTTTTTTTTTTTGAGATGGAGTCTCCCTCTGTCACCCAGGCTGGAGTGCAATGGCACAATTTCGGCTCACTGCAACCTCCGCCTCCCGGGTTTAAGCAATTCTCCTGCCTCAGCCTCCAGAGTAGCTGAGATTACAGGCGTGCACCACCACGCCCAGCTAATTTTTGTAGTTTTAGTAGAGATGGGGTTTCACCATGTTGGTCAGGCTGGTCTTGAACTCCCAACCTCAGGTGATCTACCCACCTCGGCCTCCCAAAGTGCTGGGATTACAGGCGTGAGTCACCGCGCCTGGCCAAGACTACTGTTTTCATGTGGAGCTAATATTGACCCACTTCCTAAGGATTACCTCCTTACTTATTCCTTCTTCCCCCCAAAAAGAGTAGAGAGGAATGATCATTCCTGTCTCTTAATGTATCTGCAGTTCAGAGAGGGCAAGCAACATCCATACACGACCACAGCTGCCAAGGGTGGGAAAATATTTTAAATAGCCCATTTTCAAGGCATGATAAATCTAAGTACTGGCAGCCAGCCTGCAAATGTAACAAACCACACAGCTCATGCATCTAGAAGGTCACAATAGGTACACAGAATGTAGAGGAGGGGTCAGGCCATGAAAGGGAAGAATGTTTCATTATTGGAAATCAAAACTTAAGCAGGGAAGGGGACCGGGGTTTAACGTTATAAGGGGGATAATGAAACTTAGACGACATCTGGGAAGACTGTAACCTCATAGTACTGGACCAATGAGTATCTTGGAGGAGGGACTTGCAAGCAAGGAGATAAATTACCTGTTGTGACTACCCTAGATATGCCTGCCTACACCAGTCCCCTGATCTTGCAAGACTGTTACTGAAAGTCTCACTTTCGCTGTTCTTCGTGTCTTTTAGTCCATTCTTTGGGTTTGGATGGGTGAGTGTGTTTCTCACACAAGCAGCTGAGGTCTACGCTGAACTGGGTTGGCTTGCCTTGGTCCCTTTACTCCTCTGACTGGAAATGCAGGAGACTCTGGACAGATTCCTCTCTGCCAAGTCTGCTAAGCCCAGAACATGAGTAACCACACTGGGACACTGCCACCTGGGGCCTCAAGTCCTTCTCCACAAACTTGCTTCCCATGGTCAGCATTGCCACTGCCTGAACACCTCCAACAGGGTCCCTGGTGTCACTCCAAACACATCGCTCTCTCACAACCCCATGCAATGATTCATTCCTGGGGTCCTTTCGGTCTTCCATCTAAACACCACCATAGGATGCTTCCTCCACACCATACTGAACTGTCACTCAGTTATCAGTCACTACTGCAGACATTGGGAGAGAAGATGAAGAACTGAGAATGTCCAGCGTGACCATCGCGCGTCTCTGTACCCATGGCTTTTGCCTCCCAACCCCTGTAGCAGGTGTCCTTAGTCCCAACTGCTCCTCCCCAGCCCTGTGTAAAATCAATGACAGACAATGAGTACTAATCCCCTAGAGTGTTCCTTCTCCCACCTGTACTTGACCAATTACTTCTGAAACTGGCTGAATCTGGCTGAGCCCTCCTATAAAGCCCATAAACATCCTATTCTCCTGCTTAGGTCAAACCTGCTCACACGTGTATTTCCAGGTTGTGCTGGGGTATGAACCAGTTCCCTCATCAGTACATCATCTAGTATGCAGTGATGTGTGTAGGGAGTAGTAGTATCACATCAGGTTGTGCCTGCCTCATCACAATTGCCCCACAAAGATAGTGCAATTGTGTTTGTGGCCCACACATCAGATTTTTTTTTTTTTTGAGACGGAGCCTTGCTCTGTTGCCCAGGCTGGGGTGCAGTGGCGTGATCTCGGATCATTGTAGCCTCCGCCTCCCAGGTTCAAGTGATTCTCCTGCCTCAGCTTCCTGAGTAGCTGGGATTACAGGTGCGCACCACCACACTTGGCTAATTTTTCTATTTTTAGTAGAGACGGGGTTTCACCATGTTGGCCAGGCTGGTCTCAAACTCCTGACCTTGTGATCTGTCCGCCTCGGCCTCCCAGTGTGCTGGGACTACAGGCGTGAGCCCCGCGCCTGGCCCCACATATCAGATTTTTGGGTATCCCTAGCATATGTCCGTCCCACAAGTCTCTGTGGAGACTGCTATGGTGTGTCAGTATCTCCATCCCGTCTCACAGGATCCTTGCGTGTTTTGCACATACCTGTGTGTGTGTTTCAGGTTTGTCATACATCTTTTCTGTTGCGGATGTGGCATACACAAATGGCTCCAGGCTGTGCTGGGGGGTGTCAGTTTCCTACATCTGTCAATGTATGCCACAGATGTATGTGTATCTTGCTAGGATGTGCTGTCACTACTGCACACCTGTCTCACAACCAGCACACACAATACCTGTAATGTTTATTTCCAGGCTGCTCATGTTGTGGTAGCAAAAGGCACACTGTGTTTCCAGGTTTGTCACCAACATAAACCTGTCCACTTGGAACAGATCTTAATCACTCATTTCATCAATATCTAGTATACAGGAAATACTGGGGAATGGGGGGCGGAGTGAGCGGTGAACACACTGAACAGAATCTGAGATTTAATAAGCCAAATCAACAATGTGGGAAGTTCGTTTTGTTTTTTTTTTTTGAGACGGAGTCTCGCTCTGTCACCCAGGCTGCAGTGCAATGGCACGATCTCGGCTCACTGCAAGCTCCGCCTCTCAGGTTCACGCCATTCTCCTGCCTCAGCCTTCCCAGTAGCTGGGACTACAGGCGCCCGCCACCATGCCCGGCTAATTTTTTGTATTTTTAGTAGAGACGGGGTTTCACCGTGGTCTCGATCTCCTGACCTCGTGATCCGTCCGCCTCGGCCTCCCAAAGTGCTGGGATTACAGGCATGAGCCACTGCGCCCAGCACAATGTGGGAAGCTAATGGACAAGCAGTTTAGCAACGTTACATAAATATTAAAGAAGTAAGCAGTACGTATAGGTTAATAAACTCAAAGACACACCTACTAAACATCAAATATATTTTGTATGCTGATAGCAATCTGTCTTAAATAAGCAGCAGTTGATACAATTCAGTACTGTATATAAAACATTTATAATTTTGTACACATACAATTTTTATTTTGTATGTTAATCTTATAGTTACGAAACGGTCTTTAAATTTTAGAAATGCAATCTGAAGACTTTATGCCTTTAACGAAATATCTGATTATAAATCCACATGGGGACAGATGAAACAAGAACAACCATGAATTGCTTGATAGTTTATGCTGAAAAAAAAAAAAGAGAATGACAAAATGATAAATCCACCACTACACTCCAGCCTGGATAACAGAACGAGACCCTGTCTCAAAAAAAAATAAAAATAAAAATAAAAAAAGATAAATGATAGAAGACTGGGAAAGGGTTCATCAGGTTTTATAATGATGTCTTCCATTGATGGACATTTGTAAATAGCCCCTACAAAAGGCAGAATATGTCCTTCTATCAGTAATTTATATGTTGCAAAGGATAAATTGAAAAGGGCTGGAAGAAACATTTGGTTTTGGGAATGTACGATGTATAAAAACATCAAAATATATATTTTAAAAATATACAACTGAATCCCTTCTAAGGTGAAAGATAAAAACCCATACAATTTAAGTCCATTATATCTCAATAAAATTGTTTAAAAAACAAATATTTAAAACTTGCCACTTCCTGATCATTTTACTGTTTTATTGTCGTCTTTATTCTTCTGGCTATCTTGGATACTCTACCAGTGTATTGGAAACAGAATACAAAGGTGTGTTACCAGAAATTCTTCCCAACTCCAGGTTCAGTGACATCAATATGGCAGTTTGAAATTGACCACGGTGGCTGGGTGCGGTGGCTCACACCTGTAATCCCAGCACTTTGGGAGGCCAAGGCAGGAGGATCACAAAGTCAGGAGTTTGAGACCAGCCTGGCCAATATGGTGAAACTGTTTCTACTAAAAATATAAAAATTAGCCGGGCATGGTGGTGGGCGCCTGTAGTCCCAGCTACTTGGGAGGCTGAGGCAGGAGAATCACTTGAACCCGGGAGGCGGAGCTTGCAGTGAGCTGAGATTACAGCACTGCACTCCAGCCTGGGTGACAGAGTGAGACTCTTGTCCCCCCCCAAAAAAAAAAGAAAAAACAAATTGACCACAGCTGGGGCTGGAAAGTAGGAAAAATGCTTAAGGCCAGGAGTTAAAAGACTAGCCTGGGAGACCCTGTCTGTGTGCGCGTGCACACACACACACATACATGCAAATTCTGGAATGGGTGGTGAGGAATTTTTAAAAGAAAATTTAATTTTACCAAAGAAGTTACACAGGTGGCAAATAAAAACATTAAAAAATGCTCAATATCAGGAAGTTTTAGGGAAATGCAATGAAAACCACAGTGAGATACCACTATTCATACATTCAAAGAGCTAAAATAAAAAAGATTAGCCACATGAAGCACTGGCAGGGATGTAAAGGAACTGGGACTCTCATACACCCTTGGTGGGACTACAATAGGAAACATCCATTTAGATCAAATTTGGCATTTCTTAAAATGTTAAACATTCACCTACATTGTAACTAAGACATTACAGTTTGAGTTATTAACACGAGGAAAATAAAACACATATCCATATAAAGAAATGAATTCAAGTATTTACAGCAGCTTTATTTGTAATATACAAAAATCTATAAATAATATAAATGTCCCTAAACACATGGATAAACACTGACTTATCCATAGAACAGCATGATACTCAGCAATACAAAGATTCATCATTTTTGAATCTCAAAATAATTATACAGCATGAAGAAAACCAGTAAGTATATATATATACACACACACATATATAAACACATATGTATATATATACGTATACGTATATGCGTATACGTGTGTGTGTGTGTGTGTGTGTGTGTGTGTATGTATCTCAGTAAAAACTCCAGAAAATGCAAACTAATTTACTGTAAAGGAAATCAGTTGAACCTGAAGAGCTGGGGAAGGGAGAAAGATTATAAAAAGATACAAGGTAAATATATGGGTGACACACAAATTCATTTTTATGGTTGTAATGATGGTTTCATGGCTTTACCAAACTGTACACTTTGGATACGTGTACTTTGTTGCATGTCAGTTATACAAATTAGACCTTCAAAAAGCTTTAAAAAGTGGCTCAAAATTAAGAGCCTAGATGTTCCTTTTTTTTTAATCAGGGTGGCAACCTGATATGGACTTCACCATCTCTCTCTCTCCTCATGCCCTGAGAGAGGCAACCTTGCCTCAGGGGCAGCAAATTTTGGCAAGCAATGAAGGCTGTTGCCACCTGAATTAATAGGAATGTTGGCTGAGTCACAAAAGCCACATCCCTGGACCGCGGAATGATCCTTCTCTCTATTCTTGTTCTCCTACCTGCATAGCAATGGCCTTGAGGTGAACAGCCCAGACAGGATACAAGGAGCCACAAAACCTTTATAGACTATTTTCTTTTTTTTTTTTGGAGACGGAGTCTCACTCTGTTGCCTGGGCTGGAGTGCAGTGGTGCAATCTCAGCTCACTGCAACTTCCGCCTTCTGGGTTCAAGCGATTCTCCTGCCTCAGCCTCCCAAGTGGCTGGGACTATAGGCGCATGCTGCCACGCCTGGCTAATTTTTTGTATTTTAGTAGACATGGGATTTCACCATGTTGCCCAGGCTGGTCTTGAACTCCTGAGCTCAGGCAATCCGCCCGCCTTGGCCTCCCAAAGTGTTAGGATTACACCATGCCCGGCCAGACTATTTTCTGATAATGATCTCAGCGATAGTAAACAGAAGATCCTGAGAATTTCTGTATGCACTGATCCTACACAACCATATTCACTGGAAAATTTGTAGATGAACTTTTAGAAGAGTCATTCCATCTAATTTACTGCAGTCTTCTCCACTCCCCATTTACCTGGAGTTTCTGTCCCAATTACTGTTGAACCTGTAATTTCACCTCCACACCTATAGTCTGACAACAAATGGCACCAGTCTACACTGACTTATATGCCATGGCACCTGGCTCCTTTGCAGGACCTGGGCAACAGATTCCCCTCACCAGTGCTAGGAATTATGTGGATCTCCTGTGGACAACTGAACAAAATTCACGTTCACAGAAGCACTGGGGATTGTCACAACTGCCTCCTTTTCATGGTGACCTCTGACCTGACAAAAATGGCACCAGGCCACAATACAGGAACACAAAGCCTGGCAGTCTTTACTTTGAGGCCTTGGGCAGCAGGCCAATTAGAGCAATACAGAACAAAGAGCTGTCTTCTGCCATCACATTGTCCCTTCTGAGTACAGAAAGTTTGAGATCTCCACAAAATCTATTCACCCCTTCATGCTGACATCACTATTCTGCTTACAAGTCATTCTATGCAATGAATAGAACACCCAAGATTAAAGGTGCGTAAATTTTTTTAAAACCTTTATAAAAACATTATAAATTAAAGCAATGTGCACCAAGCAGTTTCCAGGCTGGTGAATCAGAATGTGGAAAAATTCATTACAAGCATCATGTGAGACCGACAATGTTCCTTAAAAAAGTAATCCTTAGAAAGCTGACAGCACAACTCAGATTCTCTGGACCACAACTGGGTCAGGTGTATACTCTAAAGTCAGAGAAAAGACATGAAGACCCTACATGCTTGGGCTATTAATAATTTCCCCAAGCAAATGGGAGAGTACAGAGGTTTGCTTCTCTGAGCACTGTGGGGAAGTGACTCATGCACATGGTGTGCACCTGCCAGGTGGTAGGGGTGAAATGTGAAATGGCTTCAGCCTCAGAAATTGGCAGTGACATAAATCAGGCTATAGGCCTCGGCAGATTAGAAATTACAATGAACCTCCTCAGAGCTTCCCACATACCTGAAACTTATGAAGAATACCCCACTGTGGGTGCTCAAAGTTTAAATTTACGAAGATGGCTACCACAGTCTCCTCCAGTGCTATTATACTGAATAAAGAAATAGCACATTCCCTTCACATTTAAGGCCTTTCTTCAGTGTGAACTCTCCGATGTCGAATGAGGTTAGATTTGCGGCTAAAGGATTTCCCACATTCACTGCATTCATAAGGCCTTTCTCCAGTGTGAACTCTTTGGTGCTGAATAAGGTCTGATTTGTGGGTAAAGGGTTTCCCACATTGACTGCACTCATAAGGTCTTTCTCCAGTGTGACCTCTCTGGTGTTGAATGAGGCTAGAGCTCTGGCTAAAGGATTTCCCACATTCACTACATTCATAAGGCCTTTCTCCAGTGTGAACTCTCTGGTGTTGAATGAGGCTAGCACTTTGGCTAAAAGACTTTCCACATTCACTACATTCATAAGGCCTTTCTCCAGTATGAAGTCTCCGGTGCTGAATGAGGCCAGAGCGCTGTCTAAAAGATTTGCCACATTCACTGCACTCATAAGGTCTTGTGCCAGTATGAATTCTCCGGTGTTGAATGAGGTCAGATTTGCGGGTAAAGGATTTTCCACATTCACTGCATTCATAAGGTCTTTCTCCAGTGTGAACTCTTTGGTGTTGAATCAGGATAAATTTGCGGCTAAAGGATTTCTCACATTCACTGCACTCATAAGGCCTATCACCAGTGTGAATGCTGCGGTGTCGAATGAGGTTAGAGAATTGTCTAAAGGATTTCCCACATTCTCTGCATTCATAAGGTCTTTCTCCACTGTGAATTCTCTGGTGTTGAATGAGTTCCGATTTGCAGCTAAAAGATTTCCCACAATCACTGCACTGATAAGGCATTTCTCCAGTGTGAACTCTTCTATGTCGAATGAGATTGAAGATTTGTCTAAAGGATTTCCCACACTCACAGCACTGATAAGGCCTTTCTCCAGAGTGAACTCTCTGGTGTCGAAAAAGGCTAGAGCTTTGTCTAAAGGATTTCCCGCACTCGCCACATTCATAAGGCCTTTCTCCAGTGTGAACTCTCTGGTGTTCAATGAGGTTAGATTTGTAGCTAAAGGTTTTCCTACATTCACCACACTCATGACGCACTCCTCCAGTGTGACGTCTCTGGTGGTGAATGAATTCAGATTTATGGATAAAGGCTTTCTCACGATCACTGCATTCATAAGGCCTTTCTCCAGTGTGAATTATCTTGTGTAAGATTAGGTGGCACTTTTTGCTAAAGGATTCCTCACATTCACTACACTCAAACATCTTTTGTCCAGTGTGAATTTGCTGGTGCTGAACAAGTGTGTTCTTGCAAGTGAAGGCTTTCTCACATTTGCTACACTCATAAAGCCCTCCTTCAGAACAGACACTCTGATGCTGAACAAGTGTGTGTTTGTGGCTTGAAGCTTTTCTGTATTCACCCCACTTGTAATAACTTTTTGCATTGAAAAATGCCTGTATATGCTTGCTGCTGCTACTGTGTGGCTCCTCACCACTGGGAGTGGCTTCGTGTTGGAGTAGGTCCGTGGGGGCTGGGAAGGCCTCCCCACAGGTGAAATAATTCAACACATGGAATCTGCAGCCGGTCACAAATGTAGCCTCATCCACCTTCCTTTTCCAGGGCTCTTCTTCATTGTAATGCTTTTGATGCTGGTGAAGGTCAGCACTGAAGCAGAAGCCTCTCATGCTTGTGCTACCCAAGTATGACTTTTGCACAGGGGATGTGGTTTGGTGCTCAGCCGCAGGCAAAATGTCTTTCAAGACTGGGACACACATCTTAATCTCACTGAGGTGAGTTTTCTGGGTGGGTGTATTGCCCTTAGAAGTCCTGACCTGTATAGATACACTCTGCTCAGAAGCTATCGCCTCATTCTCCATTCCATGGCAATAACCTGAAAGCAGAGAAATGCTGATGAAATGCATGCTGACTTTCATGGAAGGAGAAAGATGTATCACAAAAATGTGTGAGACACAAGAACTGAGTGCATGGAACTGTTCTGAGAACAACGGAACTGGGGAGGAATAGGCTGGTTTGAAGTACTGGGTTTTTTAAGATTTTAGAGATGTCATCTCATCACGCAAAGGATACAAGGATGAGGTATAGCACAGGAGGAGAAGGAGGGTCTCCAACTCACTCTCTGCCAAAGCCCTCAGCAGGACTTTGTCTGCTAGTGATGTATGTGCTGTACAGAAGACTGCTGTTGTCCAGTCCTAGGAAAATCCAATTGAAACTTGATAGCTGGTGATCAAGGAGGACTATTTGAGGCTGTGTGCATACCTCACAACACAGTGAGTCAAGACTGAACAACACTGAAAAGAAGTGAGCTGTGGAGACGAACAAGTGACACACTGAGACCACGAGGGTGGAGGTAGCCAAACACTGGAAGTGACAGATGAAACAACAATTCAGCACAGTATTGTATAGGGAAGTAGAAGTAGAAACGAGTTATGGCCAGTGGCACTTGCACCAAAATACTGCTGGACACATCACAGGTTCCGGATATGATTCTAATACAACCATGATGTCATGCCCTTCCCCAGCTGCCACTCACTGGGGCCAGGCCTCCTCTGAGACCATCTTGCTTTGTTCACTCTGTGAAGCAACTAGGGCTCTCCCTGCAGCCCTCATTGTGCTACCACATAACACATGAATGATGTAAGTCTTAAGGAAAGAGAGGACAAGGGAGTGACCAGCACTCACAAAAAACACTCAAAGGAGAGTCTTGTAAAAAGAGCTCCATAGTTCACATAAGTAGTAACTATGACAATGCCTGTAATTTCTGATATAGGTGGACATAAGGAAATGGCAGCTAGAGGAAAAGGGCAGAAACTGGGCCACAAGGTACCATGAATCTGTACACAGTCATCCTGACAGGGGGAAGACAAGAAAAATAAGATCCACTAGGCTGACAGCAAGACTCCTGAGACAGAGGTAACTCTGGGGTCAAAAAGAAAAGCAGACACTCGGAGGGATGCTAGGGCCTTACCCAGGGATGTTACATGTGCAAAGTTCTCCAGCATCACATCGCAGTACAGGAACCTCTGAGACTCATCAAGGAGCTCCCACTCTTCTTGGGAGAAATAAATGGCCACATCCTCAAAGGTCATACCCTGTCACAGCAGGAATAGTTCAATCCACGATCAGACCCGGAGTTCATTATCCTCTTGCCCCCAACATCCATCCCCAGGTCACCCTATTGCCCACCTCAGCGGAGATAACCAGCCACAGTGCCACCGATGCCTACCCTCTCCCCACAGTTCCACTGATACTGAGTCCTCGAATAGCAACAACAGGCCTATGAACAGATAGATGCTATCTAAGCTCTGGGCATGGCAGGTAGGCTATACCTCTCGTTACTCACAAACACCAGCTAGAGAGAGAACTGGCCATAGACAGGGTGTGAGTGATCTGACGTTTGTCTTGTCAGGCAATACCCGTGAAGTCCCCAAGATTGATCTTCCAAGACACAACTAACACGGGCTTACCCTTTACCCCTCTGACTCCCGTTCACCCATATGGCCCTCAGTTTATTCTCTCTCTTCTCATGTACATCACTCTTTGAACCACACCTGTCTCACACAGCTGCATTCCCACAGCCACAACCTCAAAGGTCACACAGCTTTTCCATGATTGGGACAGTTCATTCCATTATGAGTATCTCTCCTAGGACCCCAAATTCATCCCTGCTGCATCTATCCCCTGTTCATCCTCCTCTCCATCTTCTCATTTGAAAGAATGCAACAGGGCCTGGTGACACTAATGCCCCCTCTCTCCTTATGGTCCCATTGGTCATTGTGTTCTCCCACAGCAACAACAGGCAGGTGGGCAAGTATCTAAGCTCTGAGCCTGCCATGCAAGGAACCATACTCTCTTGTAAGGAAACTCTCCTGGAAGACAACAGACCATGGCTCCCAAACACAACCAAGGGTCTTGGTTCATACTTCACCCTTGTGTCCTCAACACCAAGGAGCCACCACTTCACATTCTTGTCTCCATGTGCACAATACTCTACCACACTTCTCTCACAGTGTCACTCCCACAGCCACAGCTTACTTCCTGCCTCATACCATGAGCATCTCCTTGGCCTCCCAACTGGTTACTCAGCATATGGGGCCCAGAGAGTGGCTGGCAAATTCAAATACGGTTCAGTACTATCCCA
Organism: Homo sapiens; assembly: GCF_000001405.40. Lineage (NCBI taxonomy): Eukaryota > Metazoa > Chordata > Mammalia > Primates > Hominidae > Homo > Homo sapiens. The sequence continues at coordinate 57,684,212 of NC_000019.10, read as the reverse complement.
GATCTCTAACTGCACCTAAAGTTAGGGGCAGCCTCAAGTCATACCATGAAGGCCTTTCTACCTGACTATTCCTTGCTTCAACCTCACCCATCAAGAATCACCTGTGGATCTCAGATAACCAAGGCCTCTTCCACTTCTGGGCTGTGATTGCTGTCCCCCAACCAGTCACAGCCTTCCTCTCTCCAACTACCACTAATTCAAGGTCCAACCCCAGTGGCTCTCTACCCCGGGCCCATCGAGTCCCACAGATGGCCAATTATGCCCCTAAGATAACGTGACAGCCTGACTGAAACTTCCCAGATCCCACCAAGAGTTAATATAAAACCCTGGTCAGTCTGCAGAGAGGTGAATACGCACCAGTCCTAGCATCATCCTGTCTAACTCCTATGCCTCTACATTCATCTCATGTCTACTCACCCCTGAGAAGCCTTGGCCACATGCTAGATCATAATCTCTGTACGACCCTCACCGTGAACACTTCTGTCCAAGACCTGTGTTGCAACACCTCACACAACCAGGGGCTCACACAGGAGACCTGTCCTTGACCTTCCCCTCCCCTTCCTTGACAACTATTATTATCATTGTGAGCAGGCTTCCCCTCTACTAAATGTGATCCACAGCTCCACCCCGGCCCACAGATTGTCCACTACCTTTTGGAAAAGTCTCCATTCTGAATCTCTCCTCACTGTTCCTGACCTACAGTTCCAGCAGCCCATGAACCATTCTCTGAAAGCTCTCATACTCTTAGCAGGTCAAAAATAAAACTTCTGATATCCCAAATGAAAACTACTCCTACTATGTACTTCCCCATCTTAGTTGATGGAGCTTCCACACTTCTAACTGCCAAAATAAAACCTTTCAGTCATCCCTGACTCCACTCTCTTTCTCAAAACTAAAAATTCAGGCAGCCCTACTTAAAAAATGAATCCAGAATCCAACTGCTTCTCGCATCTTCACAGCCACCATTTTGGCCTATCACATTCTATCACATTCACCTGGCCTATCCCAGTAGTCTCCTCCCAGGTCTCCCCACCTCATCCTTCAGTTGGCTTCCCATGCTGCAGCCACAGGGAGCCTAATAAGACCAGAACCAGATCACCTCCCTCTTCCACTCCAAACCTCCCACTGTTACTATTAAGTAACGAATAGACAACTCAACTTCTCAGGGAACCATTCCGGGTCTGACTTCTACTACACTGCTCCCTGTTCTCATGAAAAGAAAATAATTGTAGGTTCCTGAACTATCTTAGCCTCCTCTCCAAACTTAGCATATACTGGTAACTTTGCCTTGGACAACCTTCTACATCTCCTTTCCCCCGGCTGCCAACAGCTTCATATAATCTAACCTGGACTTAAGACTCTGGGCTTTGTATTTGCTCAAAGTCTCAGGGCCCAAGGCTAGACGAGTGGCGAGGCTCAGGTCGCCCAATGACCCTGGTCCAGTTTTGGAGCCAGGTGGCCTGGGCTGGCTGCACTATCTCCGCACCTCAGTTCTCAGTGCTGACTTTACCAGCTGCGTGAGCTTGGACAAGAACTCAGTCTTCCTATGCCTAACTACTATTACCTCTCTTCAGCCTGTTCTTCCCCTGAGCAACTTTTGGATAGCTTTAGGAAATCCTAGCCCAGTGTCCCTATCTGTTCACAAATCTCGAAGGCTGCCAGTGTCCTCAGAATCGTCAAATTCGTCAGGTGCAACTCTGCCTCACTCTATGTTCCTGCAGACCCGAGACGGACCCCAGGCTCCTGAATCCCCCCCAGCTTAGTCGCAGCTCCAAGTTCTGCACGCGCCAGTCAACTGCCCGTCACATTTCCGTACACACTGGGCGTCACAAACGGGTCCAATCCACAAGCGCCTTCTTGTCCAGGGTACTGGGGCCTGGGCTGCAGGGCTGTGAGCAGGCATCCCTCACTGGGCCTTAAGGCTTCTGCTGGGGGAGGTAGGCGAGACCCGGAGGACGCACAACTCACCTGAGCCGAGTCCCTCAGCGCGACTGCCGCCATTGAGCTCCGTGGACTAGGCGGGGAGCGGCGGCCGACCGGGGCGGGCATTCGAACACAACAGTCCCTATCCCGGGCCTGGCGCAGCTCACCCGAGGTGGTGTCGCAGAACCTCTGGCCCACTTTCGCGACTTCTCTGTCCCGTCCCTCAGTCGCGACCTCCACTGCAGAAACTGGCGGGCTGGACAAACAGGACAGAGGCCAAAATGACCGCCACGAGGAGGACGCCGGAAGTTCCGGCCCGTCGCGCTGCGCGTGCGCGGAAGTGTTGCTATCCTGGGCTGTCATTGGCTCAACTCCGCCGCCGTTTTGCGCTCTGCACTCTGGATAATGTAGTTTCCAAAACTCCACGGAGCTCTTCGGAGTGTGTCCACTGCTTTGACCTCTGCGAACTTGTATTCTGAGGTGCTGTGCCCCGTGCAGGGAAATGGCGACTTCGGCCTCTAGGGGAGAAGGAGGTATTTACTCCTTCTTAAAGGGGCTTTTCCCAGATTTCTGGGAAGTGTTTTCCGTAACTGATCACTTAAGTGTTTAGAGACATTATTTCAGACTCCACGAAGCTCAGGGTGCCCCTAGAGGCAAACAAATATTATTTCAGGGGGTTGGGCGCGGTGGCTCACGCCTGTAATCCCAGCACTTTAGAAGGCCGAGGCGGGCGGATCACCTGAGGTCAGAAGTTCGAGACCAGGCTGGCCAACATGGCGGAACCCCATCTCTACTAAAAATACAAAAATTAGTCGGGCGGGCCGGGCGCAGTGGTTCACGCCTGTAATCCCAGCACTTTGGGAGGCCAAGGTGGGTGGATCACGCGATCAGGAGTTCGAGACCAGCCTGGCCAACATGGTGAAACCCTGTCTCTACTAAAAATACAAAAATTAGCCGGGCATGGTGGCGAGCGCCTGTAATCCCAGTACTTGGGAGGCTGAGGCAGGAGAATCGTTTGAACCTGGGAGGCAGAGGTTGCAGTGAGTCGAGATCACGCCATTGCACTCCAGCCTGGGCGACAGGGGGAGACTCCGTCTCCAAAAAAAAAAAAAGAAAAAAAAAATTTGGATTTTGGAGCATTTTGGATTTTAGATTTTTGGCTCAGGGATATTCAACCTGTATTTTGTTCTCATTAAATAGGTTCCTCTTTCACTTTGTTATTGTTTGATATACTAAAGTTTTAATTTTCATGAAGTCTAATTGGTCTATTTTTCTTTTGTCACATGTGTATTTGGTGTCAAATCCAAGAAATTATGGCCAAATTCAATGTCATAAAACTTTCACCCTATATTTTCTTTTAAGTGTTTTATAGTTTTGGGTCTTATGTTTAGGTTTTTAGTCCATTTTGAGTTCATTTGTGTTTTTGGTGTTAGGTAAGGGTTCACCTTCATTCCTTAGCATGTGAATATTTCATTTTCCCAGCATCATTTGCTGAAAAGATCATCGTTTCCCCATTGAGTGGTCTTGGTAGCCTTGTTGAGATCATTTGACCATATACATTACTATTGCAAATGATATTGTTTTCTTAATTTCCTTTTCAGATTTTTCATTGTTAGTGTATGGAAGGGCATATGAGTTTTACATGTTGACTTTTGCATGTTGACTTTGAATTCAGCTACACAGGTGAATTTGTTTATCAGTTCTTTTTTTTTTTTTTTTTCCCAGACGGAGTCTCACTCTGTTGCCCAGGCTAGAGTGCAATGGCTTGATCTTGGCTCACCACAAGTTCCACCTCCCAGGTTCAAGCAATTCTTCTGCCTCAGCCTCCCAAGTGGCTGGCACTACAGGCGCCAGCACCATGCCCGGCTAATTTCTGTATTTTCAGTAGAGCGAGGGTTTTACCATGTTGGCCAGGCTGGTCTTGAACTCCTGACCTCAGGTGAGCCACTGCGCCTGGGCTTTTTTGTTTTTGTTCTTGAGACAGTGTCTTGCTCTGTCTCCCAGGGTGGAGTGCAGTGGCGCGATCTCAGCTCACTGCAACCTCTGCCTCCCGGGTTCAAGCGATTCTCCTGCCTCAGCCTCCTGAGTAGCTGGGGTTACAAGCATACACCACCATGCCCAGCTAATTTTTGTATGTTTAAATTAATCAAAGTTGCCAGCAAAAAAAAAAAAAAATATTAATTCCTCCCTTAGAAGTTACAATAAACATCTTTTTAAAATTTTTTTGAGCCTGTCACCCAGGCTGGAGTGCGGTGGTCTGTTCTCAGCTCACTGCAACCTCTGCCTCCCAGGTTCAAGTGATCCTCTCATCTCAGCCTCCCAAATAGCTGGGATTACAGGCGCATGTCGCCAAACCTAGCTAATTGTTTTTTTGTATTTTTTGTACAGATGAGGTTTTGCCTTGGTGCTCAGGCTGGTCTCAAACTCCTGGACTCAAGTGATCTGCCCGCCTCAGCCTGACAAAGTGCTGGGATTACAGGCATGAGACACTGTGCCCAGCCTAAACATCTTTAATCTAATTCGACCTTCAAATAACTACTGGATTGCTTCACATGTAATGCAGGGACCCTGTAACAGGACCTTTGGGGATGAATTCTTTAGTATTTGTGTGAGAAAAGCTTTATTCTCCTCCACCTTTGAAAGATAACATTGCTGGATATAGATGTTAGGGTGGGGTTTTATTTTTTGTACTAAATTTTGAACTTTCACTCCATTCCCTTCTTGATTATCTGGTTTCTGACAAGAATTCTACTCTAAATCTCATCCTTGTTCCTCAGCAGGTAAAGTGCCCTCTCCCACCTCCATCTTCTTTCAAGAATTTCTCTATCTTTGGCCTTCTGTAGTTTGAATATGATGTACCTAGTTGTAGGTTTTTGGTATTTACACTGCTTCCTCTTCTCTGAGATTTCTGGATCTGTGGTTTGGTGTCTATGATTAATTTTGGACCTCCAAGTGGAGGTTGCAGTGAGCCAAGATCACACCACGGCACTCCAGTCTGAGCGACAGATCAAGACTCTGACTCAGAAAAAAAAAAAAAAGCCGGGCACGGTCACTCACGCTTGTAATCCCAGCACTTTGGGAGGCCGAACCACTGCGGCCGGCCCCATCTCTTTTTTTAAAAAAGGATATCAACATTATGGATTCATTCATTTATTCAACAGAAATTTATTGGTTCTTGGAAATGTTCCACTTTCCCAACCACTTGGAATACTTTAGTGAACAAAACTGACAAATTCCATGCTCTCCTTAGCCTTACATTTTAATGAAGCAAGACAATAAATTGAAAGCATAATCAGGAGATTATATCTTATATCCTAAGTAGATAAATACTATAGGAATATACATACTTGCATACATATTTATACACATTATCAGACCAGCAGCTTAGGAAGCTTCTGGTGTGGAGGGAACACTTGGCAGGGTAATTTTCTCATGAGTCCTCATATGGCGGTGGTATGTGGATGACTGGCGGTAGCTTGTCTTACAAAAGGGACATGTATAAGGCTTTTCTCCTGTGTGGATTCTCTCATGAGACCGCAGGTTGGTTTTGTGGCTGAAGGACTTTTTACACATGCTGCATGTGAAAGGCTTCTTTCCTGTGTGAATTATCTGATGCACCCGTAGGTCTGATATCTGGAAGAAGCCTTTTTGACACTCGGGACAAACAAATGGCCTCTCATTCCTGTGTCTTCTCTGGTGAGCTAATAAGTGACAGAGATACTTAAAGACCTTGGGGCATTCTTCACATTTGTATGATTTTTGGACTCCATGGGATCCTTTCTGATGTACCTCACATGTGGAATTTCCCTCATTGCTCTGGTGGGTAAGGGCAGACTCAGGGGAGGACTGCTCTGGTTGAGAGATACACCCTGCTCCCATCACCATAGGGACACCTTGGAAAGTGATTCCATTTATGGACCCTTCCTGAGATCTAGCAGTGACTAGCTCTGCTCTTTTTGAGTTGTATGGGTTGTCAGAAGAAACACCTCCCTCTTCAGGCCTAGGACCGTTCTCTTCCTGGATGATGATTAGGGAAACTATTTGATTGCCTTGATTAGTAATATTTTCATTTACTCGAGTAGTTTTCGAAGAACTGTTCCAGCCATCTTGTTCATCTTCATATCCTGTGAAAATAGACACTCAATGAAGTTGTACTTAAGAAGGGGTCCACATAGAACACTCCTCAGTTGTGCAGATTCACCTGACTTACCTTGTCCTGTTTCTAAGGAAGTATCTTGGGAAGTCTGGGAGGGTGTCCCCATGTTTGCTTCTCTTGTGGTTTGGGCATTCACTTGTTTTGTGAGATGAACAATGACATCTCTTAAGGGCATATCCTCAGAAAAGAGAGCTTCCTGTCCCTGCATGTGGACGTGGACCTGTAAAGAAAGCCAGATCACTGTTGTATCTGAATCTGTTGTGTAACAGAAGACTTTTTGGAAAAGTGGTCCTTAACAGGCTCTCACAAGCTCCCTCAAGTATTGGCTATCACATATTTTGTCCACCATCTCTGATGGTGTTATTCTTGTTACTACAAGCTCTTATGTTTAATAAAGTCACATGGACATTGAATTTACAAGTACTGAATCATTTCCCCTAGGAAAAATTCAGGGTTAGTTTCCTGTGAGCTTCTGGCTACATTATTTTTGTCAACTGATCAATACATGAGTTTGTTTTATGTGTGTATATGTTCAAAGACACCCCATTTAATATATATTATTGATTAATCCTGAACTCAGAGGATCCAACACATGTATTATCTCCATAATACATAGCAACTTTCCTGCACTTAGGAAGACTAGACAGTGTTTCAGCATTTTACTTCAGTGTCACTTTAAACAACAAAGTTATCAATAAAAAGCAAAAAAAAAAATGTGCCACTAAATAGACTGTGAAAAGGACACTTATTTACACTGTAGGAACCAAAATAGGAAGTGAGGTTGTGGCCTTGTTCAACCTCACCTGGAAACATGCACCTAAGGTAAATCAAATATTTTACCACCTGCACATATCTGAAAATGACGGAGAAGATGCCTCAGGTATTTATTTTAAGCTTACAAATAAATTTTAGCAATTTTGCAAATATGGGCTCTGAGAATAAGGATCTACCGTAATTGCTTCTTTAGAATGTCTTTCTTGATTAGAGTTCCCTGACAGAAGAACAAGCTCTTGTCAAGACATTTCTTCCTCAACCTTGATGTCTTCATTTAAATGTCAATTTCAGGCTGGTCTCACACCTGTAATCCTAGCACTTTGGGAGGCCAAGGCAGGCGGATCACTTGAGGCCAGGAGTTCGAGACCGCCTGGCCAACATGGTGGAACGCTGTCTCTATTAAAAATACAAAAATTAGCCGGCCTTGGTGGAGCACGCCTGTAATCCCAGCTACTCTGGAGGCTGAGCCACGAGAATGACTTGTGCCTGGGAGGCATAGGTTGCAGTGAGCTGATATCATGCCAAAAAGTCAATTTCTCAGAGTCTGCCATTATGCAGACTAAAATTAAGTTAATCAAACATCAATATGTTTGGCTCCTATATGTCCTACAGAATAAACAGATATATACCTTTTTGCTTTTTTTCTTGAGAACTTAGGACATTGAAGATTATTCTTTGTGAGAATGGTGGGAGAGTGTGAGCTGACTAATAACTGGACCTCCAATAGCTTCTCTAACTTCCAGACAACTCTAACTGACTGTGATTTATTCCTTACTTTCCTTTGTCTCTCATCCCAGAAGTTAGAACCCTGTACTCACTAAGGCAGGTGGATTTATGCTGTCATCAGTCAGGTCTTCTATGAATCTCTCCAAGTTTTTGCCACTTGATTTCCATTTCTCTTTCACACTGGCTTTGTCATTGCAGTGGCCACCAATCATAAACTGCTCCAGGACTAATAGAGAAATAATTTCATCCTTGCTGTGCTTTTCTGGTTGCAGCCATGAGTGAAAGATCCTATAAAGTCTTTGCAATTCCTGCCTTGCATATGAATTATTGCTGTCTTGAAATGAATTGAGCACCATTCTTGAGAACTCAGAAATCCCTTCTTCTCTCTGAACAGCAGGTCCTTGGCTTTGTTGAAACGCTGAATTTTCTGATCCAAGATTATTCTCGGATGGTTCACACTGAAATATGGTTCTTAGATCTAAAGCCATTCTTAGCAATAATTCTCAGAGAGACTTTACTTTGATGATTCAGTCTCTTGCCTTGTGTCTCTAGGGATTTGTTTCAACAGTTGGTGGATTCTTTAAAACTGCAAGCTAGAAATAGAAAAGAGATGAGTAATTAATTGCACCACTGGCATAATTAAAGACAAATCAACCAAAAAGTTAGGCCTACATGGCTCTATGGATGAATTCAAAGAAATAATTATAACTTAACATAAACTCTCCCAGAGCATATAAGAGGAAGCACTACCCACTTTAGTTACTGAGGTCAGCACTTCCTGATAACAAAATTTTACAAATACATTAAAATTATCCAAAACAAAATATTTGAAAATAAAATCTACTCACATATACATCGCAAATGGTGTTCATTTCCAAAATGCAGGAAGTTTGGGTTAAAATTCAAAAATCAATGCAATTTACTTCGTTAACGGGATATGGATACAAGAACATAATAAAATCATCTCAATGAATGCATTTAAAATGTTTAAATGCCAATGTTTATTCCTGAAAAAGGCACTTAATAAACTAGAACTATTAGGAAATATCCTTGGCTGGGCACAGTGGCTCACTCCTATAATCCCAGAACTGTGGGAGGCCGAGGAGGGCGGATCACTTGAGGTCAGGAGTTCGAGACTAGCCTGGCCAACATGGTGAGGCACCATCTCTACTAAAAATACAAAACTTGCCGGGTGTGGTTGCTCATGCCTGTAATCCCAACACTTTGGGAGGCTGAGGCAGGTGGATCACCTGAGGTCAGGATTTCGAGACCAGCCTGACCAATATGGTGAAACCCCATCTCTACTAAAAATACAAAAATCAGCCAGGCATGATGGCATGCACCTGTAGTCCTAGCTACTCAGGAGGCTGAGATGGGAGAATTGCTTGAGCCCGGGAGGTGGAGATTGCAGTGAGTCAAGATTGCGCCACTGCACTCCAGCCTGGCTGACAGAGCAAGACTCCGTCTCAAAAAAAAAAAAAAAAAAAAAAAAGCCACACGCACACACAAAACTTAGCTGGGTATGGTGGCACGTGCCTGTAAACCCAGCTACTTCAGTGGTGGAGGCAGGAGAATCCCTTGAACCCGGGAAGTGGGCGTGGCAATGAGCCAGGATCATGCCACTGAGCTCCTGCCTGGGTGACAGAGTGAGACTCTTAAAAAAAAAAAAAAAAAAAACTTGATGTGAAAAATATTTTATAAAGTAGTTACAACAAAATTTATTGTTAAAAGTTTTCTGCTTGAGCTATCATCTCTATGAAACATTGGATTGCTCCCTAACCAGTGAAATAAGGAAAGAAAATATTTCAAACATATTTATAGAGTCTTGATTTTGTTTACAAAGAGTATTCAATAAATTTGGTGGGGATGCAAATCAGTTAACCTCTATGGAAAACAGTATGGAGATTTCTCAGAGAACTAAAAATAGAACCATCATTTGATCCAGCTCAGTATCTACTCAAAAGGAAAGAAATCATTATATAAAAAAAGACACCTGCACTCATATTTTGATTGCAGCACTAGTCACAGGAGCAAAGTCATGGAACCAACCTAAGAGTCTACCAGTGGTTGACTGGATAAAGAAAATGTGAAATACATACCATGGAATATTATGCAGCCATAAAAAAGAATGAAATTAGTCCTTTGCAGCAACATAGTTGGAGCTGGAGGCCATTATCTTAAGTGAACTAACTCAGAAACAGAAAACCAAATACCGCATGTTCTCACTTATAAGTAGAAGCTAAACAGTGGGTACACATGGACATAAGGATGGAAATAACAGATGCTGGGGACTCCAGCGGGGGAGTTGGGAGGGAAATGGGTATTGAAAAATTACCCATTGGGTACAATGTTCACTATTTAAGTAATAGGTACACTAGAAGTCCAATTTCCACCAATATGCAGAATACTTTTGTAACAAACATGCACATGTACTCCCTGAATCTAAAATAAAATAAAATATTCACCAAATATTAGCCTAGGTGAATTTAGGGAGATGTCTATTACAATGCCAATAAACCAAAATGAACTGAATATTGTAATATTGTGTTATCACAAGCAGTTGAAATTAAAACAAAAAAACTCTTTTCACTGTGGCTCACACCTGTAATCCCAACACTTTGGGAGGCCGAGGCGGGCAGATCACTTGAAACCAGGAGTTCAAGACCAGCCTTGCCAACATGGCGAAACCCCGTCTCTACTAAAAATATAAAAATTAGCCAGATGTGGTGGTGCATGCCTGTAATCGCAGCTACTCGGGAGGCTGAGCAAGGAGAATGGGTTGAACTTGGGAAGCAGAGGTTGCAGTGAGTTGAGATTGGGCCACTGCACTTCAGCTTAGGCAACACAGAAACTCTGTCTCAATAATAATAATAATAATAATAATCATCATCATCATCAGAAAATAAAGTATTAGAAACTGAGAGTAGAAGGGTGGTTGCCAGGGGCATGGGGTGGGGCATATGGGAAGATGTTGATCAAATGGTGCAAACTTGATTTATTTTGAGACAGGGTCTCCGTCTGTCAGACAGGCTAGAGTGCAGTGGTGCCATGACAGCTCACTGCAGCCTCAGCCTCCTGGGTTCAAGCGATCCTCCTGCCTTAGCGTCTTGAGTAGCTGGGACTACAGGCACGCACCACACTCAGCTAATTTTTTAAAAATTTTCTTTTCGAGACTTGGTCTCGCTATTTTGTCCAGGTTGTCTTGAACTCCTGGACTCAAGTGACTGCTCCTCACTCTAGCCTTTCTGGGATTACAGGCGTGAGCTACTATGCCTATGGCAAACTTTCATTTATAAAATAAATATGTGGCCGGGCACGGTGACTCGCGCCTGTAATCCCAGCACTTTGGGAGGCCGAGACAGGCGTATCACTTGAGATGAGACGTGGTGAAACCCTTTCTCTACTAAAAATACAAAAATTAGCTGGCTGTGGTGGTGCACACCTGTAATTCCAGCTACTCGGTAGGCTGAGGCAGGAGAATCGCTTGAACCCAGGAGATGGAGGTTGCAGTGAGCCGAGATCGTGCCACTGCACTCCAGCCTGGGCGACAGAGTGAAACTCCATCTCAAAATAAATAAATAAATAAATTAATTAATTAAATGTCACCATGTCCTTCTCAGGCTAGGGAAAAAAAATGAATATGCTCTGGAGATCTGATGTACGGCATGGTGGCTATAGCTAATATATATTGTATGCTTGAAATTTGCTAGATTTTCAGTGTTCTCATGATATAAAAAAGATAATTGGCTCACCCCTGTAATCCCAGTGCTTTGGGAGGCAGAGGTGGGCATATCGCTTGAGGCCAGGAGTTCAAGACCAGCCTGGCAACATGGTGAAACCCCACCTCTATTAAAAATTCAAAAATGAGTTGGGTGTGGTGGCATGCACCGGTAATCCCAGCTACTTGAGAGGCTGAGGCACAAGAATCACTTGAACCTGAGAGGTGGGGGTTGTAGTGAACTGAGATTACGCCACTGTACTCCAGCTTAGGTGACAGAGCAAGATTCTGTCTCAAAAAAAAAAAAAAAAGATAACTATGTGAGGTGATGAATATGTTAACTAGCTTGATCGTGGTAATCATTTTGCAAAGTATACATATATATAGAGAGAGAAGTGTCACATTGTACACCTTAAATATATACAATCTTTGTCAATTATACCTCAATAAAGCTAGGGAAAACAAGAAAAAGAGAAAGAAGTGAATGAAATAGAAAAGACAAGCCAGAATCCATACAAATGACACCTTTCTCTGGCTGAAAACTTATTAGGCACAGACATCTGCAAGGCCACTACCAGCTACACCCACTGTGTTGTGAAAGGATACATTCCTTAGGAAACATTCTTAGCACCTTTTCTGCTTGAATTTTTTTCCCATTAACAGTTACCATTCCTTAGAACTTTACTGCTTTAACCAAAGCTACTATTTTATGTTTATCTGTTTTTACTCCCTGTCCTTTCCTACTGATGTTTAGGATTCAGAAGTAAAAGTGAGTTTGCATTGCTTGAAATTGATTTCTAATCCCAAATCAGATTATCTGGACAACTAGAGACACACCCTTTGAAATCCTGAATGGATAAAGAATTTAATCCCTTTTCTGTTAATATATCATTGCTATTTTTGTGTTTTTTCTCCAATTTTATATATGGTTAACATTTCAAAGATTTGTGCAATTTTGAAAAAAGCAAATTTCATGCCATAAAATCAGAAAATGGTAGGAGTAATACGTGGACACACAAAAACCTAACTGATTTCTGTTAGTTAATGTTATTTCCTGCTTTGTGTTAATCTCATCTGGTCTGATTAGACCAGATCTGCTACCCTGATCGCATCAGTTAATAAGGCAGAGGTGATCCTGGTAAAATCTCCTAGGAGACAATGGAACACATTCTTGCCTTTCCCTAACCCAGTTGTCATAATGCTTCCAGTCAACGTTTATAAAATGCTAATCTGCTCACATCATACCCCACTCTACTCTCTGGATGGCTCCCCTTTGCCCTCAGGGAAAAGCACTGAGTCCTTGTCCTACGAGGCTTTCCTGGGCCAGCTCTACACTTCTCAAGCTCCATCTTAGGTGTTGTGGCTGGTTCTCTATATCCAGGGACATTGGTCTCTCTCTCTCTCTTTTTTTTTTTTTTTCCTGTGGAACCCATGGCTTCCCCTTCATTTCACTTCCCTCCAAGTTCTCTTTTTGGATTACCCACCCTTTCTCCCCTATGACACACAGACCACATGTTCACACTTGGAGACATGCACTCCGTCCCACATAGACAAGACTGCAAAGTATTATGGCTTATTTCCCAGAACCTGGGAATTCAAAACAAGGCTACCGGAGCTCTAATCTGGAGTCTGGCAATTACAAACTGTGACGCAGGCATGCTACCCGTCAGGTCTGGGTCTGTATCCTGGGCTTTATGATCTCTAATGACACCCAGCTACATATTTCATATAATGCAATACAAAGGAATTACTAAGCTGGGCACAGTGGCTCACATCTGTAATCCCAGCACTTTTGGAGGCTGAAAGTGGGCAAATCACTGGAGGCCAGGAGTTTGAGACCACACTGGGCAACATGGCAAAATCCTGCCTCTACAAAAAATAGAAAAATTAACCTGGTGTGGTGGTGTGCGCCTGTGGTCCCAGCTGCTCAGGAAGCTAAGGTGGAAGGATCACTTGAGCCTGGGGAGGCTGAAGCTGCAGTGAGCTGTGATTGGGGCTACTAAACTTTAGCCTGGGTGATAGAGATCTTGTCTCGAAAAAAAAAAAAGAATTACTAGAACATAAAGTCATACGATAGACTTTTTGAAGAAAAATCTTCAGTCACACCAGGCCTTTATACAGAGTTCACAACATCAAGCCCTTTTGGGTCAGAGCTGTTGTAACAAAAGACCATTCCCTACACCTGGGAGACCCCCATATCTCTGTAGTTAGGAATTTTCCTGAAATAGCTATGCCTACATACACATGTATACACACTCAAAGACACAAAATTATGTATACACACTCAAAGACACAAAATGTATACACACTCAAAGGCACAAAATTTTCCTTCCATTATGGAAGCTTACCTCCTTGGTTGACTGGGTAATCCCGGGCCGAACACTGAGCTGATGTGTGACTAGCTTTCCACACTGGGTTTATCTGATGTGCCTCCTAAGGCTGCTCCCTTTTATAGGGGCTGGGATCAGTGATTGATTTAAAGACGTGATTGGATAACACTTGTCTGTTGATTGAATTACTGATGGAATCTTCATCCAGCCCCAGCTCCATGTCAGTGATTGATTTAAAGACGTGATTGGATAACACTTGTCTGTTGATTGAATTACTGATGGAATCTTCATCCAGCCCCAGCTCCATGTCTCTAATACAGTGTTCTATACCATCACTGGTCCTGGGTCAACAGGTCATAAACAAACACATTAATATTTCTGCAGGCTAGGTGCAGTGGCTCACACCTGTAATCTCAGCACTTTGGGAGGCTGAGGCAGGCAGATCACCTGAGATCAGGAGTTCAAGACCAGCCTGGCCAACATGGTGAAACCCTTTCTCTACTAAAAATACAAAAATTAGCCGGGCATGGTGGTGGGCACCTGTAATCCCAGCTACTTGGGAGGCTGAGGCAGGAGAATTACTTGAACCTGGGAGGCAGAGGCTAGAGTGAGCCAAGATTGCGCCACTGCATTCCAGCCTGGGAGACAGAGCAAGACTCTGTGAATCCCTAGCCTGAGCAACAAAGCAAGACCCTGTCTCTACCAAAAATAATGTTAAAAATGTTAGCCAGGCATGGTGGCATGTCTGTGTAGCTTGTTTGAGCCAGGGAGTTCATGGCTACAGTGGATTATGACCGCCCTACTGAACTCTGGCCTGGGAAATGGAAGGAGACCAAGTCTCTAAAAAAAAAACAAAACAAAACGAACAAAAAAAAAACCATGCCTGTAATCCCAGCACTTTTGGAGGCCGAGGTGGGCGGATCACGAGGTCAAGAGTTCGAGACCAGCCTGGCCAATATGGTGAAACCCCATCTCTACTAAAAATGCAAAAATTAGCCAGGCGTAGTGGCGCGTGCCTGTAGTCCCAGCTATTCAGGAGGCTGAGCAGAAGAATTGTTTGAACCACAGAGGCGGAGGTTGCAGTGAGCTGAAATTGTGCCACTGCACTGCAGCCTGGGCGACAGAGGTAGACTGTCTCAAAAACCAACAAACAAACAAACACACACAAAAATACAAAATCTGCGGTAAAATGTAACAAGGTCCACATTAAATGAAAATATAAAGACAGGCTGGGTGTGGTGGCTCGCGCCTGTAATCCCAGCACTTTGGGAGGCCGAGGCAGGTGGATCATGAGGTCAGGAGTTTGAGACCAGCCTGACCAACATGGTTAAACCCGGTTTCTATTAAAAATACAAAAATTATCTGGGCGTGGTAGCATGCACCTGTAATCCCAGCTACTCAGGAGGCTGAGGCAGAAGAATTGTTTGAATCCAGGAGGCAGAGGTTGCAGTGAGCCGAGATTACGCCACGGCACTCCAGCCTGGACGACAGAGCGAGACTGTGTCTCAAAAAAAAAAAAAAAAAAAAGGAAAATATAAAGACAAACGTTAGTCTCACAAATTCTGATCAAGTTTTATTATAAATTACTCATAGAAACATGACAAACTTTTGCTCAAACTTTTAAGTTTTCAGAGATTTATGAATTACAAGGGTGGCAGAGGGCAAGGCTAATGCTGTGACTCCTGTGCCAATTCCAGGCTGGTGAAACAGAGGGGGCCCGGGACCCAGAGAAGGCATTCCTAATCCATCAAAAAGATGACAGGGGTTGAGACTAGGATTATATCAGTGGAAAGGGAGAAATTGGTGCATATTTTATATTGAGAAAGCATATGATGTTTGATAGACTTAACATGAGGCTTGAGAGAGATGGAGGAGTTAAAATGGTGAGAAGCGCCTGGTCACCTAGTGTGGTGGAAGCTGTGCCTTCTTCCCTGCACTCTCCCTCCCCACTTTCCACCCTCATACAGGCTGAGGCTTTGGTGGAGTTGAGAACGTATCGAAGGGGTGGGAGCTAATTACAGCCATGTGTTTCATCTGCTCCATCAGGCATGCAGCCTCTTGGGGCTTAGATTGTCCCCCTATCACTGTTGGGTACAGAGTTTGAATCTCCTGGTACTCCACTGATGAAATGTCTGCTTGACTTCCCCACATTAGGAATTATGTTCTGAATCCTCACATTATAAGACTGTGTACTAGTCCATTTCTCCAAGGAGTTTCATCCACATATACTCCATACAGAGAAGTATCCCTGCTCCCATCAAGAGCCAATTTTCCACTGGTGGTTTAGGTCCTGTCACCAACTATGTCATTAAACCAACTGTGACAGGAAAATTGGCTCTTGATGGAAGCAGGGATACTTCTCTGCTACAACAATGAAAAATGGGCTGGGCGCAGTGGCTCATGCCTGTAATCCCAGCACTTTGGGAGGCCGAGGCGGGTGGATCACCTGAGGTCAGGAGTTTGAGACCAGCCTGGCCAACATGATGAAACCTCGTCTCTACTAAAAAAATACAAAAATTAGCCAGGCATGGTGGCAGGCACCTGTAATCCCAAGTACTCGGGAGCCTGAGGCAGGAGAATCACTTGAACCTGGGAGGCCGAGGTTGCAGTGAGCCAAGATCGCACCACTGCTCTCCAGCCTGGGCGACAGAGTGAGACTCTGTCTCAAAAACAAACAAACAAACAAACAAAAAACAAACAAAAAAAAAACAATGAAAAATGTAGACAATGTGAGTACCACTGGAGGCCAGTTGTTAATTTGTGGTGGGTTGAAAGCATTTCCTGTCTGCTTCTGCAGTCTCAAGGAGTTCCTTGAGCTCTGTAAGGAGCTGTAAGGAAAAGGTTTGGGGAAAAGCTGGCAATTTCTGTTTGGAGGAGGTTATTGGATTTTTGAGTTCAGATATACAGCCAGCTGTTGGACATGCTGGTGTGTAACTCTGGGAGCAGTTAGACCTGAGGCACGATGATATCAGTAAGAGTAGTAATAGCATCAGGGATCATAATAACTAACCTTTAAGCAGTCAGGGCATATTTGACTCTGTTCTCAGTGCTTTCTGTATGTTAACCCATTTCCATCACAACAGTCCTGTAAAGTAGATCCTAAATAACTCCATTTTAACATCAAAATAACAGAGGCACAGAGAAGTTCAGTACCTTGGCCAGTGCTACATAGCCTGTAAGTGGCTGGGCTAGGATTTGATACCTGGCTCCAGAGTGGGACTCTGAATGCTACATTAAGAAGGCAAAGACACACAGCCACTGTGTAAAACCAGCAGCTTTCTAGGGAATGGGCTAATGGAGGAGTGAAGGGCATGAGCAGGAGGATTTATCCTTGGGGAAACACAGATGGTGGAGGAAATGACCTGGTGATACCCCAACTTAGGCATAGAATAAACAGGCACAAAACAATAAAAATAAATGTGAAATCCACATAGTAATTTAATCAAATAAGGATATTACAAAGACAACTATCAAATGCTTTTCTGATCAATTGGGAAGGCAGGTAGTGCTGCCTTTGGTAAAAATAGATGACCCGTTTACATCCAGCATCATCTCAACTTGTGTCTGGTGAGTATCCCCGCTCCAGTGTGAGTGAGGAAAATAACCTTTGTTTCCAAGAAGACAAAGCCAATCCGCCTCAGTATGTAGGAAACAGTGATTTCAATTAGAATAATAATAATAATAATAAAAACCTGGTAGGAAAATAAACAAAACTGTTAACTTTCTATTTTTTTCGAGACAAAGTCTTGCTCTGTCGCCCAGGCTGGAGTGCAGTGGCACGATCTTGGCTCACTGCAACTTCCGCACCCAGAGTAGCTGTGATTAAAGGCATGCGCCACCACACCCGGCTAATTTTTGTATTTTAGTAGAGACGGGGTTTCACCATGTTGGCCAGGATAGTCTCAAACTCCTGATCTCAGGTGATCCGCCCACCTCAGCCTCCCCAGGTGCTGGGATTACAGGCGTGAGCCACCACACCTGGTGACTTTCTTTTCTTTTTTTTTTTTTTTTGAGAAAAAATATTTAGTCAATTTATTTATTATTTATTGATTTTTGGTTGTTGCACCTACTTTAATAACAACTTCAAAAAAGGAACAACATTCATCCGGTTCTAAATGTCTTTATGAACGCAAAGACTGGGGTCCCCTGCCAGCTTCCGAGGCAGCCCTGCACCTCCCGTAGGTGGCCGCACTTGGACCGCACCACTCCATTAGCTAAAAGCTACAACAGTCGTAAAGAGAAGGAAAGAACTGGAGAGCCAGCACGCGAAGCTTATCCAATGCTTCCAGTCATACAAGCAAGCTGCAGGATCTCATGGAGGTGCGTGGATCACCCCGTGGAAATTCTCCAGGGCGCATCGAAGCTTAGCATGTTTAGTGGAGACTTGGACAAAGCCCCGAGTCTGTACAGGACCTGTAGGAACCATGGCAGGCATCGGCTGCTTCATAAGGATCTGATATGGTTCCTTTTTAAAAAGCGCATTCTTCAAAAGGCAAACTACCCAATTTCCTTTTAAATATGAATACAATACAACTTATAATACATACACTTGTCAAAATTGTGTGCAAAGAACTGCCAAAGTGACTTTCTCAAATTAAAAAATTGTCCTAAGATGATTTTCTGTAAACCTACTTGGGCCTCGCAAAGATATTTTAAGTATCAGTATTATTATTGAGACGGAGTTTCACTCTTGTTGCCCAGGCTGGAGTGCAGTGGCACGATCTCGGTTTACCACAACCTCCACCTCCCGGGTTCAAGCAATTCTCCTGCCTCAGCCTCCGGAGTAGCTGGGATTACTGACGTGGGCTGCCCAGCTTATTTTGTATTTTTAGTAGAGATGGGGTTTCTCCATTTTGGTCAGGCTGGTCTCGAACTCCTGATCTGGTGATCCACCCGCCTCAGCCTCCCAAAGTGTTGGGATTACAGGAGTGAGCCACCGCGCCCGGCCTTGGATTAATTTTAGAAAAAGGGTGACTTTAGGTCAAACACACATTTACAAAAGAACAATGATTCACCCAGGAGCTGACAGGTGCAGACTGATGTCAGTGAACTTGTCTGCTGGCTGCTTTTGTATGAGCTTTAAAAAAAAAAGTATTAAAATTTAAAATACAAAATTTGACACCAAGTGTAAACATATTTGTGTCTGCAGACACTGGAGATACCAGGTGCCTCCCTGTATTTAGCAGCCTACACAAATGGTAAGGGGTGTGCTGCGGGATTTAGCCTGCTGGAGTGGCTGGGATGGGAAGAACCGCCAGAAGCCAAGTAGATACACTCCAGGAAAAGTATCAGAACTGAAGTTACAGAAAATGGAATCCTAGCAGCACAGTGGCAGCTAGATTCTTTTTGCTTTTGTCTGTAGCTTGCATTAGCAGAGTGCAATATGCAATTACTATCCACTTTACTATTCTAATCGTGCAGAGATCCCAAAAGGTAAAAGACCCCTATGCTTCCAGCCAGCAGCGGCTTTGCATGAGGACTGCCAGGCTCTCAGACCCCACATCCCTTGGCCTTCTTAGTGGGGAGAGCTCCCAGAATGCCGCTGGCTAAAAGCCTATTTTGCCCCTGGTCAGTCATGGAATAGCCCAGTTTAGCCTCATTGTTAATGAAGGACATCAATCCCAGGCCGGTCTCCATGAGGAGGGGGCGCTCCACGACCAGCACGCGTGCGCTTGTCCTGGAAAAGGACTTTCCTTTTTGGCGTTTTTGACCTTGGATTCACAGAGCCTTGAAGCTTTTCATCTGGCAGAGTTGCTGTGTTCTCATCCGCAGCAGCCATAGCGTGTTGTATGAAATTGGCACAGGGTACGTTTGTGGACCAGGGATTCCATCTGTTTAAGAAGGAAAGGCGACTTCGCTTGCCCCACTGAATTCGAATCCCAAAACCTTCTCGCTTGTTGAGCGATTTAGGGGGAAATTGGAATTCTCCGCAGGAGACGGCATGCCATCCGGGCCGCCTGCCAGCCCTGGAGTCAGATGAAGCCGTCTTTACCGCTGAGCGCTCCCTGCCCCGTGACTAGCTCCCGCCGCTGCTTCTCACTGTCCCAGGGGCCCCTCGGCCTGCAGCCGCAGCCCCGGGTCTCGCTGTCCTCCACGGCCGCACGACCGCGCCGACTCCTCCCCCGCCCCGGGTGCTGCGGGGCGGGAACACCAAGGATTCCCTGACCTGGGCGGCGCTGGGTCCCAGACGCTGAGCGGCCACAGCGCCTAGAGCCGCCCCGCGCCGCGCCCCAGCTCCTCGCCCGCCGCCAGCAGCGTCCTGGGGCTCTTGCTCGCCGAGTCCACCGAGCCCCGCAGCTGCGGCATCGCCGCGCCCGACCCCGACCCCCGACCCCTCACTTTCATCTGCCCAGGAATTTCTTTTCCCTCCCTCCCTTCCTCCCTTCCTCTCGTCCTCCCTTCCTCCCTTCCTCCCTTCCTTCCTTTCTCTTTTTCTTTTCTCTTCTTTTTCTTTTTTGACGGAGACTCTCTCTGTCGCCCAGGCTGTACTGCAATGGCACGATCTCTGCTTACTGCAACCTCCGCCTCCCGGGTTCAAGCCATTCTCCTGCCTCAGCCTCCTGAGTAGCTGGGACTACAGGTGCCTTCAGCTAGCCCGGCTAATTGTTTTTTGGTGTTTTTAGTAGAGACGGGGTTTCACCATGTTGGTCAGGCTGGTCTCGAACTCTTGACATCAGGTGATCCGCCTGCCTTGGCCTCCCACAGTGGTGGGATTACAGGCGTGAGCCACAGCGCCTGGGCTTCTCTAGTAATTTCAAAATCGTTTTATTACAATTCAATAAAATTTAAACAAATCAAAATTTAAAGCATGCAATGAAGAGGATTTGTTCAATAAAGATAAATTCAATTACCAATAGCTTTTTTTTTTTTTTTTTTTTGAGACAGGTTGTCACTCTTGTCACCCAGGCTGCAGTACAGTGGTGGGATCTGGGCTCACTGCAACCTTTGCCTCCCAGGCTCAAGAAATCCTCCCACCTCAGCCTCCCGAGTAGCTGAAAGTAGCTGGGATTACAGGCTCATGATACCACGCCCAGCTAATTTTTTTTTTTTTTTTTTTTTTTTTTTAGAGACATGGTTTTACCACGTTGTGCAGACTGGCCTCGAACTCCTAGGCTCAAGTGATCCTCCCGCCTCGGCCTCCCAAAGTGCTGGGATTACAGGCGTGAGCCACTCGCCCCCAGCCTATAGCATTTTCCTGACATAAAGGTCTACCATTATCTTAATGGTATAGAAAGGAAATGTGTGTGTATGTGTACATAAATGTAAATATTGGGACTTATTACCTAGTAATAAAATAGTATTAGTTGAAATATAGAAGTGATTTTTTTTTGCCTCAGGTCTTAGCTTTAAATAACATGTGGGATTCAAAGTGAAGAATAACAATCCCGGGTGCGGTGGCTCACACCTGTAATCCCAGCACTGTGGGAGGCCGAGGCGGGCGGATCACTTGATTTCAGGAGTTGGAGACAGCCTGGGAAACATGATGAAATCCAGTCTCTACAAAAAGTACAAAAATTAGCTGGAAGTGGTGGTACGTCCGTAGTTCCAGCTATTGGGGGTGGGGGGTGAGGGGCAGAAAAGGGGCTGAGGCAGGAGGATCTCTTGAACCCAGGAGGTTGAGGCTGCAGTGAGCTGAGATCGTGCCACTCTACTCCAGCCTGGGTGACAAATGACAGCCTGTTAAACAACAACAACAACAAAAAACCCAAAGTAAAGAATAGTCTTAGGCTGGGTGTAGTGACTCACGCCTGTAATCTCAACACTTTGGGAGGCCAAGGCAGGTGGATCACTTGAGGTCAGTAGTTCAAGACCAGCCTGGCCAACATGGTGAAACCCATCTCTATTAAAAATACGAAAATTAGCTGGGCGTGGTGGCTCAAGCCTGTAGTCCCAGTTTCATGGGAGGCTGAGGCAGGAGAATCACTTGAACCAGGAGGAGGAGGCTGCAGTGAGCTGACATTGTGCCACTGCACTCCAGTCTGGGCAATAGAGTGAGACTCCCTCTCAAAAAACAAAAACAGACAAACAAAAAACCAAATCTCTCAGCGGTAAAAATATTTGTATATTTTTACAATCTTGGATAAGTAAGCCATTAATATGTAAACACTGAAAAAAGGCAATTTTTAATAAAATGAAATATTAATGAAAAATAATTGCAAATTAAAATAATCTAAATAAGATATTTAAATACATAGAATGTAAAAGAGAAAGTTATCAATCACTTTACTATTGTTAATAGCCAGATAAAAGAAAAAAATACAACATATAAAAAGATATAATCCTGAGAAAAAAATAAAAACATAAAATGTTTGGCTCACATTCAAATGAAATTGAAATGACTTATTTTAATTGTAGCTTGTATTACTTTGCTCAAACTTTGTTATGGGTTAAATTCTTCTGTAAGAAATTTTATGTTTCTTTTATTTTCTATCATAAACTATAATTAAACATGATTTACAAATTTACAATTGGCAGTTCTTTTTTTCTTTTCCTTTTTTTTTTTTTGAGACAGAGTCTCGCTCTGTTGGCCAGGCTGGAGTGTAGTGGTGCAATCTCAGCTCACTGCAGCCTCTGCCTTCCAGGTTCAAGTGATTCCCCTGCCTCAGCCTCCTGAGTAGCTGGGACTACAGGCGTGCACCACCACATCCAGCTAATTTTTTTATTTTTAGTAGAGACGGGTTTTATCATGTTGGCCAGGCTGGTCTTGAACTCCTGACCTCAGATTTTCTGCCCACCTCAGCCTCCCAAAGTGCTGGGGTTACAGGCGTGAGCCACCGCGCCCAGCATGGTAGTTCTTTAAAGTAAGCTAAAACACTTAAAGATGTCAAAATTCTGAGTACAGAATATTCACAGACTTGTATTTATACAGGTCTACTTTTATCACTCACTTTTACCTCAATAGCATTTTTAAAGAATCTCTAATTTTTGTTTCTGGCACATTTTATTTAGGCTTTATAAAAATAAAAAGTTTTCCTTTTTGTGATTATAGTTTAGTAGTTTTTATTACAGTAAACCACTTATGCCATTGAATAAATAGAGCAAATGGCATTACTTTTGGGAGGAGAAAACTCCCTGTTGATAAATATATACATCAACCTGTGGAGACAGACGTGTTGGAGTTGAAAGCATTGATTCTACCAGTAACAATCATGTGTGATTTATGGTCACTGATTAGCACGTTACATGAAGGGAATATGGAGAAAGAATTTACTCAGCAGTAAGTCAAGCAGAGGTGAGTTAAGGGAGATCTTGCAAAATTTATGTAAATTAATGGAAATCTATCTGGAAGGATCCTCACCACTTGTAGACAGTGTTCCTTCCTTAGGTTGAGGTTGTGGAAGAAGGAGGGGTATAGTGTGTCCCAGTGAGTATTCACCATAGACACATACGTTTATTCCAAATATTCATTAAAATATTTTAATATTAAGAGAAGTTATGAAATTACTGGTAAAATAAAAATATAGGGGATCAATGAATCAAAAGAGGAGAATAACTGGAAAACTTTTGGAAGAGAAATCTTAAAATGAATTTAAGTAACAAAATGTAGGTCAGTAGACATAGTGTGGGCATGAATAAAGTTTCTCTAAAGTCCAAACACTGTTGCTGTGGTTATCAATCACACCAATTCTTCAAAAATCGTAGTAACTAGTAAGGAAGGCTCAATTTTATCCTGATCTGAAGGATTCTGTGTAGACAGAAGAGGAATCTACACTGGGGGCCAGGGGAGGTAAAAATGCCCTTCACTCACAGCCTCTAGTCAACACTTTTGTTTGCTAAAAATCCACTTAAACTAGGCAAGGAAGGGAGGAGGGAGGCAGAATAACAGAGGAGACAGGAACAGAGAAGCAATTCAGAAACTTTGAGGATAGAGAAGAGTACTGTGAGTACATGAGAATGAGAATGTCAAGACACTTTTAGAAATATAATTATCTGTTTGCAGGGTGAGATACTTAGGAATTTTTAAGCTCCATGAATTTTTCATGGCTGAAACTCACAACCCTCCTCTACTCCCCCATATTTATCTGTAAGTAAAATTTGCATTATTATAAATTGGATAATTGAGACTCATTTAAACGGTAGAAAAATGTTCAGAGTCTTCTGCTGATGACAGAATGTGGAGACATTACAGATTCCAGTTTGCACAACCTGCTGTTTCACAGAAGAAATGCACATATCAGCACCTCTCTCACAGACACCAGGTATCTGCACAGTACCAAGAGCTTACCATTGTCATCTAACTGTTCTTAACATGTCTGTAGCATCAAGTCTTTATCTGTGGCATATAGACAGGATGCTATGTGTGTCTAGTTTTCTCAGCAAATGACCTTCCTGCTATATAAACTCTTTCGTGTTCCAAACCCAGAAATGTTTTACAGAGAACAATTAATACTGAATTTTCTGAGATAGTTTCCATCTAAGGACCTGAAACTTACTTGAAAAGCATGAGTTACTCACTTGGCATCTGGTGTCAGAATGATGGAGTGACGGCATCTGTACAGGTGTGGAAAGGACATCTGAACCTGAGATAAAGATTTGGAACTCCCTGATCTCACCTTTTTGCTGGGAAGTGGTTATCACTTCACCTGTAATTGCAGCGACCATCTGTAAGGAGAATGGAGGTTATTTGCGAAGAACATTTGAGTATTGTGTATATTACTGAAACTATTAATGGTGAATCATAAAGATATCTAATAGGAATGACAGAAGTAGCTGAGGAGCACCCTATGTAGGAAAAAATGAAAAAGTAAAAATAAAATTGATCTGTAGGGTAGGTAAGCAGAGGACAGCAAGATCTAAGGAGAAAGAGAATGAAGGTGAGAATATGGCTCTGCTGGATTCCTGGCCGCTTTGAAGGTTTTGGTAGCAGAATATAGAGCTGTGTGTGAGTTTTTTAGTCATCCCATAGAACAAAGGTAACTTGAAGGTAGAGACAGTGAATGAATTAGACAGAATTTCTGGAGAGGTAAAAATGAATAGGAAATTGGTATGTCATATTTCTTCAGTGTTTCAAAAACTATTTATTGAGACCAGGTGCAGCGGCTCCCACTTGCAATACCAGCACTTTGGGAGGCAGAAGCAGGAGGATCCTTTGAACCCAAGAGTTTTGAGAGTTCGAGGCTGCTGTTAGCTGTGATCATGCCACTGAACTCCAGCCTGGACAACATAGCAAGGCTCTGCCCCTCAAAAAAAATTATTGCATATTTTTTGTGGGTCAGGTCATTTTTTCATTATATGGGGTATATCAACACACAAAATTAAAAAGAAAATTGCCTACATGGAACTTAGACTTAGTTGATAGAAACAGACAGTAAGCAGTAAGCAAAGCACCCATGTTATTCGGCTGATAGTGTATTAGAAAATGATGGGTCCTATAGAGCAGGATACAGCTGAGAAGTAAAGTTGGTAAGGATGGGGTGAAACAGTAAATCAGGTGTTCATAGTAGGACTTACAGTGAAAATGACATTTAAGATATATTTTAAGGGGGCGAGGAACTTAGCTTTCTTTCTTCTTTACAGATTATATATTTCTTGTCTCACCTAATTGCATGAGACAGGACTTTCAATATAATTGACTATATGTGCAGACAGTGACCATCCTCCTTTGGTTTCTGGTCCCGAAAATATTTTAATAATGGACCATGAGTTATTGTATTTACTCTAGGATTTTGCAGATGTTCTTTATAAGATTAAGGAAGAGTATTTTTGAGAGCAATTTGGGAATATATTACTTCTTTTTTTTTTTTTTTTTTTTGAGACACAGTCTCACTCTGCTGCCCAGGCTGGAGTGCAATGGCATGATATTGGTACACTGCAACTTCTGTCTTCTGGGTTCAAGTGATTCTCCTGCCTCAGCCTCCCAAGTAGCTGGGATTACAGGCACGTGCCACCATGCCTAGCTAATTTTTGCCTTTTTAGTAGGGACGGGGTTTCGCCATGTTGGCCAAGCTAGTCTTGAACTCCTGATCTCAGGTGATCTACCTGCCTCGGCCTCCCAAAGTGCTGGGATTACAGGCCTGAGCCACTGCACCCGGCAGGAAGTATATTACTTCTTGAGCCGTGAATATTTTTGGTGTGTATTATTATTTTCCTTAAACAAATTTAGTGCAGTATAATACAAATAGGATGATCCCCAATTTCCAGTGTATAATTTGATGAGTGCTGACAAATATAAACAGCATGTAACCACTACCACAATCCTGATAGAGAAGGTTCTCCTCACCCTATGTACTCTTCTGCCCTTTGCAGTCCGCCCCTTCCTCCTAGGCCCAGATCTGAGGATCACTCATTTGCATTTTGCCACTTGAGTTTTACCATTTCTAGATTTTTATCTGAAAGAAATTTTACTCTGTATAGACCTCTGAGTTTGGTTCCTTCACTTGTGCTTTTGAGATTCAGATTAATGTTTTTTTCCCTCCTTGACATTTATGAGGAATATTCTATTTATAAATGTAACACAGTTACCCATTCAGATGTGCATAGACATTTGTTTTTGTTTTCCAGTCTTTAGCTTTGAAGAAAATTGTTGATAACACGCAAAATCAGTTGGCTTTCTATATCCATGGGTTCTGCATCTATAGATTCAACCCACTGCAAATTGAATATTTGGAAGAAAAATTGCATCTGTACTGAACATGCACAGACCTTTTTTGGGTCATTACTCCCTAAACAATACAACTATTGTGTAGCAGCTATTTAAACAGCATTTACACTGTATTAGGTGACAATGTATAGCAACTATTTAAACAGCATTTGCATTGTATTAGGTATTATAAGTAATTTAAATTATAATTTAAATTATGTGGGAGGATATACACAGGTTATATGCAAATACCACATCATATTATATAAGAGACTAGAACATCTTCAGGTTTTGGTATCCTTGGGGGTCCTGGAATCAGTCCCCCATGGATACTGAGGAATGATTATACAAGTATTTCTATGGACACGTTTCCATCTCTTGAGGTTATACTTAGGAATGAGATTAATTTATCAAATGATAAGTGGACAACTAACTTTAATAACGGCTACAGTGTTTTCCAAATTTATTTATTTTGCATTTCCACCAGCAATGTATGAGAGCTCCAGTTTATTTCATACCTTCAACAGCTAGGTGTGATCATTCGGTTAATGTTACTCATCAAAATGAGTATGTAGTGGTATCTCATTGTGGTTTTCATTTGTAGTTCCTTAAATAGTAATAATTCTGAACTTATTTTCATGCATTTATATACCATTCATATATCATCTTTAGTGAAAAATGTGTTCAAATATTTTGCCTTTTTTTTTTTTTTGACATGGAGTCTAGCTCTGTTGCAGACAGACGGAGGGCAGACGGAGTTTCACTCTTGTTGCCCAGGCTGGAGTACAGTGGCGCGATCTCAGCTGACTGCAACCTCTGCCTCCCGGGTTCAAGCAATTCTCCTGCCTCAGCCTCTTGAGTAGCTGGGATTACAGGTGCCTGCCACCACTCCTGGACACTCCCGGATAATTTTTGTATTTTTACTAGAGACGAGGTTTCACCATGTTGGCCAGGCTGATGTTGAACTCCTGTCCTCAAGTGATCCGCCTTCCTCAGCCCCCCAAAGCGTTGGAATTACAGCTATGATATCTCACCCTGTTGCCCAGGCTGGAGTGCAGTGATTTGATCATAGCTCACTGAAGCTTCGACCTCCCTGGAATCAGTGATCCTTCCATCTCAGCCTCCCAAGTAGCTGGGGCCACAGGCACACACCACCATGCCCAGCTTATTAGCTAATTTTTGTAGAAACAGTGTTTTGCCATGTTGCCCAGGCTGGTCTTGAACTTTTGCCTATTTTTAAATTGTGTTGTTTATGCTATTTGTAGGGATGTTTTACGTATTCTGAATACTCATCATTTATTAGATAGAGGTTTCACAAATATTTTTCCCAGGCTGTAGTTGGCCCTTTCCTTTTTTTACAGGGGGTATATGGGTGAAGTCAACTTGCCAGTCCTGTTCTGGGAAATGGCCTCATGCCTGATGAGTGGAGAAAGGAGGTGGTTTAAGAGCCCCTTCAGGGGAAGTCTGACCACAAACTGGGCAGACTGGTTAAACATTCAAGGTTGGTTGTCATGGTGGTGGAGTGTGTGTAAGTTTTTAAAAACTGGGGTATGTGGTAATAACCAGCATGGAAGTGGTTGTGGATGTGGGAGGGAATAGAGAGTTCTTGAGATTTGGGCAGGATGAGTTTGTGTCAAGATAACATCAGCCTTCCCTTTGGGTAGCCCCAGTGTTAGTTTGACTTGTTCCTCCTGGGTGTATGAGGGATGTCTGCTGGGAAAATGGACAACAGTGATGGGATGTTGTGGGCCACCTGCCAGGCTGCTGAGTCTGCCATAATGTTTCCCTTGGTTATGGCATCTGTAGCTCTCTGGTGTCCATTGCAATGGATAATGGTGGCCTCTAATGGTAGTTTAGCTACCTCCAGCAACCTGTGTATCAGTTTGCCATTTACTATGCAGGTCCCTTTGGTACTAAGAAAAGCTCTTTCCTGTGAGATTAAGGCTTGGGAGTGTAGAATGTGGTATGCATACTTACAGTTAGTGTAAATATTGACCCTTTTTCCTATTGCTAGGGTGAGGGCCCTAGTTAGGTCGACTAATTCTGCCTGTTAGGAGGTGGTAGGGGATGCGACAGTATTGGACTCTAGGAGCTTGTGTTTGGCAACGATGGTGTAGCCTGCTGCAAGACATGGCTCTTTAAAGGAGCTCCCATCAATGAACCATGTAGGTGTCCCCTGTAAGGGGGTCTCTGATATGTGTCGGAAAGGGAAGGAAAGGGAATCTAAAAAGTCCAAGCAGGAGTGACAGAGTTCAGAGTCAAAGGTCCTTATAGGGAAGAGGGTGGCTGGGTTGAGAACTTTACATCTTTGGTAGGTGATTAGAAGGTTGTTTATGTAGGAGGTGTGTGTTTGTTGTAAGTAAGATAGCAGGAGGGAAAGAAGGGAGCAATGACTCATGAGTTCCTGTAGGTTATGAGAAGGTGCAATGGTAATGTATTGATAGAGGGTGAGTTTTTGAGCTTCTGAGGCCAGCAGCATAGACACACATAAGATCCTTAAACAGGGTGGCCAACCTTAGATGACTGAGTTCAGTTGTTTTGAGAGATATACAATGGCTTGTGGGGTACCGCTGAATGTTTGACAGAGTAGCCCAAGAACAAGGCCTTGGTTAGAATGAACATACAGAGTAAAGGGCTTGTTGGGGTTGGGTAGTCCCAGTGCTGGCGACATTGAAAGGGCATTTTTCAGTTTTTTGAACTGGGAGTCAATGGTACAGACTGGATCCAGGTGTTCTAGGATGGGCCCACGTGATGTGGTGTACAGCAGCTTGGTCAGCAAGTTGGGAATCCATAGCCAGAAGTATCCCACAAGGCTCAAGAAGGAAAGGAGGTTCTTTGTATGAGAAAGGGGCATATCCCGGATTAGCTTCTTCCATTGGGTTGGTATGGCCTGAATATTAGGGATTAGGATAAGTCCAAGGTAGGTAACCTGGGGTTGGGTTACTTGAGCCTTTGTGAGTGAGACCTAATATCCCCAAGAATGGAGAAAGTTTAGAAGCTGAATGATGTGTTGGATGGATAGATAGGTTAAGGGAGGGGCTACAGAGAAGGGTGTTATTGATGTATTGGAGGAGGGTGCTAGGAGCAAGGGGAAGTTTAGCCAGGTCCCTGGTGAGGGCCTGTCCAAATAAGCAGGGGCTATTCCAGCCCCCCTGTGGGAATATAGTCCATGTTAGCTGTGCGGATGTGTGAGTATCAGGATCTGTCCAGGTGAAAGCAAAAAGGCTTTGGGAGGCTGGATCCAAGGGGATGGTGAAAAAAGGTGTCCTTCAAGTCCAATACAGATAAATGAGTGGTGGAGGTGGGGGGATATGGGAAAGTAAAGTGTAGGGATTGGGGGCCACCAGATGGATGGGCACCACTGCCTGGTTAATAAATAAAAAATCCAGGTAGTTGGACCCATCAGCTTTCCAGATGGCCAGGATAGGGGTGTTGTGGAGAGATTTAACAGGCTTGAGAATTTGGGCTTGCAGGAATTTCCAACGAATGAGTTTGAGGTCTCTGAGGCCAGCTGGGCTAAGGAGGTACTGGGCTGACAAAGGAATGTAGAAGGGTTTTGAAAGGTTATTTTGTCTGGGGTGTGGTATGCTGCTATTGTTGGCTTGGAAACATCGCAAACCTTGGGGTTGACAGAGGCTAGCAAATTGGATAAGGAAGATGAGGGAGAGGAGAGGGAAGTGTCCAGTTGACAGAGTAAAATAAAAGGGGTAGAATGACAGGGGGTAAATTCTATGGAAAACTGGAATTGATTAATATATTCAGTCCCAAAATAGGGGTGGGACATTGAGGGATGACCAGGAATGAGTGGGTGAAGCAAGTGTTGACTAGGTTACATAATAGGGGGCCAGTCTGTTTATGTTTAGAGGGTATTCCATCAACTCCTAAAATAGTGATGGAAGAACTGAGGAGAGGTCCAGAATATTCTGGTAGAACTGAGTATGTTGCCCAGTATCCAACAGGAAAGACATGAGCTTACCAGAGACTGACAGTGTTACCCTGCGTTCTAAGGTGGTGATGGTAGTGGGTGATCCTGTCAGTCTTCAGTGGCCAGGCCAAGAATGCTTGCCAGACTGGGATCTGGAATGGGGGACCTGTTTGAGTTAGAGGTGGTCAAGCAGGATGAAGCGTCTTGCTGAGCACAGTCTGACTTCCAGTGTCCCTTGATACCACAGATGGGGCAAGGTTTTGAGGGCAGCCTGGGATTAGGGCAGGCTTTTGCCCAATGACCCTGTTGGCTGCACTTAAAACAGGCTCCTGGTGAGGGCTGTCCTGAGGTTGAGGATTTTTGTATGCATTGGGAACCCTGTTGTATGGCATCTGCCAGCACCTGGTATTTAGCCTAGTACCTTTTGAACTTTTGGGTTTTCGGTTCTTCCTCCCTATTGTTAAAGACTTTGAAGGCCACTTTGATTAAGTCTCTGGAGATTTTGAGGGCCATCTTCCAGTCTTTGGAGTTTTTTTCTGAATATCAGGGGTTGACTGGGAAATGAAATGTAAGTGGAGATAGATTCTGCCCTTGTTGGCCTGAGGGCTTTAGGTGGTGTATTTAATCATGGCTTCTGAAAGGCGAGAAAGAAAAAGAGCAGGATTTTCTTTCCTTTTTTTTTTTTTTTTTCTTTGAGATGGAGTCTCGCTCTGTCACCCAGGCTGGATTGCAGTGGAGTGATCTCAGCTCACTGCAACCTCCACCTACCAGGTTCAAGTGATTCTCCTGCCTCAGCCTCCTGAGTGGCTGGGATTACAGAGGCGTACCACCATGCCCGGCTAATTTTTTAGTAGAGGCAGGGTTTCACCATGTTGATCAGGCTGGTTAAGAGCAGGATTTTCATCAAGGCCTTGAATAATTTCCTTTATCTTTTCATAGTTGACTACCTTAAGAGTGGCTTTATTCATGCCTGCCAGGAGGCATGTTATCTTATGATCTTGCCTTTACCTGTCTGGGGAAGTTGGCTGATAATCCCACTGGGATCAGTTCTGGGGACAACGAAGGCCCCAACTGGGTTATGAGCTGCATCTTGGTGGTGGAGAGCATCAGTGTGAGCCTGAGCAGCTGTCCAGACATGTCCCCTGTCCTCAGGGGTAAGAGGGGAGGAGAGGATGACATAAAGGTCATGCCAGATTAGGTCATAAGATTGAGTGATGTACAAAAATCTCTTACAGAAGGAGGCAGGGTCTGTGGAAAAAGAGCTGAGTCTCTTTTCAATTTGGAAGAGGTCAGCTAGGGAAAAGGGAACATGGACTCAGACTATGCCTTCAGCCCCTGCCGTCTCCCACAAGGGAAGGACTCTGAAAGGGTTTTGGATGTGGGCATGGCCTTCAGCGGGAGGGTGTTAGGCACAGGACTGTGTATGCAGTGGAGAAAGAAGGGAGAATGGAGGATGATGGTAAGGGGGTGGAGGAGCCAGAGGGGGAGATGGAACCAAAGGAGAAGGAGGAGGATATGGTGGTGAGGAGGGGTTCAAGGGCAGAGGTTCATCGACTGGGTCAAAATCGGAGGAGGAAGGCTTGTCCGAAAGAGGAGGTGTTTTCGTGGGTCTTTTGTTGAAGAGGAGGATTTGAAAGGGTGAACAGGATTGACAGAGAGAGGACCACAAACAGAGATAAACAAAGGCCTGAATATAGGGCACCCCGGACGATTTACCATTGCATTGGAGAAAGCTTTTTAGATCACGTTGAATTTGGAAGTTCAATGTCCTGTTTTCCGGCCATCAACTATCATTGTCCAGCTTATATTGGGGCCAAGCCACATTACAAAGGAAAATAAGGCATTTGGTTTTAATGGAGTGCACCAAGCCCAGGGTTTTGAGGTTCTGGATGAGTATCTGAGAGGGGTGTCTTGAGGGGGTTTTTAGGAGCCCTGCCCCATATTGGTGGCCAGGAGGGTGAGATAGGTGTGTGGGGTGGTGAGTATCCTGATTCCAATCATGAGGAGGGATGGAGAAGAGCTGGGGCATCCCTGAAGCTTTTCACAGTCCCTTGGGGGTTGGAGCAGTGAGCATTCTGAGGACATCCCCTGAGAAGGCAGGTCAGGGTTACCCAGTGGTGACTGGGGAGTTCTCTCACCTGGCACTGGGCTTTTCTGGAAATATGAGAGGAATCCAGAGGGGGAAAGGGGGAACTCACCCAGAAATCGGAGACTGGTGTTGGATATGATGTCCAGTAATTGGAGTGATCCTTGCTGGAGCCTCCTAGTGGAAGAAGGAGAGAAAAGGGAAAGTGGTAGGAAGACGGGGCTGGGAGTGAAGGGTCTAATTAGGATCTGGGAATTCACCTGGGATGAGCTGCCGCTGCTCACTGCTTCCCAGGTTGCAAAAAGGGATTCCTCCAAGTGAACCCAAGCGTCGTCCCGGGTTTCAGAACTGAGAGCAAGGAAGGGAGAAGGAACGGAATGGAGATGGCTCTATGGCAACACAGGTTTATTGAACAAAGGCCTGTAGACGGGGACACCAGCTAGCGCTGGAGTCCACCCCTGCTTACAGATTGGGGTAATTATAGGTCTAGGCGGGAGAGGTCTGGGCTTGTTGTAGACTGGGGTGGGGCGTTGTGGTTAGCTGCTGATAAGGGAGGGATTTCCTGCAGTCAGGTGGTTAGGCTTGGGACTCGTCTGGCAGGATGTTTCTCACAGCCAAAGACCTAGTGGAATTTTCCACTCTGTCCAGGGTTTATGAAATGGCACCGTTTGGGCTAACATTATCTTTATTTATTTATTTATTGAGATGGAGTCTCACTCTGTCCCCCTGGCTGGAGTACAGTGGTGTGATCTTAGCTCACTGCAACCTCCACCTCCCAGGTTCAAGTGATTCTCCCATCTCAGCCTCATAGGCAGCTGGAATTACAGGTGTCTGCCACCATGCCTGGCTAATTTTTGTATTTTTAGTAGAGACAGGGTTTCACCATGTTGGCCAGGCTGGGCTTAAGTGATCCACTCGCCTCTGCCTCTCAAAGTGGTGGGATTACCGGTGTGAGCCCCTGAGGCTGGTGGAAATTCATGTTAAAACTTAATTTCTAATGCAATGGTATTATGAGATTAAGAGATAGGGCCTTTAGAAGGTGATTAGGTTGTTATGACAGCTCCTCCCTTAAGAGTATGATTAAGGCCCTTATAAAAAAGAGACTTTGGCTGGGCATCGTGGCTCACACTAGTAATCCCAGCACTTTGGGAGGCCGAGGGGGGCAGATCACCTGAGGCCAGGAGTTCGAGACCAGCCTGGCCAACATAGCAAAACCTTGTCTCTACTAAAAGTACAAAAATTAGCCAGGGGTGGTGGCAGGCGCCTGTAATCCCAGTTACTCAGGAGGCTGAGGCAGGAGAATCGCTTGAACCCAGGAGGCAGAGGTTGCAGTGAGTCGAGATCGCACCACTGCATTCCAGCCTGGGCAACAAGAGCAAGACTCCATCTCAAAAAAAAAAAAAAAAAGAGGCTTCATCCTCATTAGTATAGTGGTGAGTAACCTAACCCTTCTGAGTAGCTGGGATTACAGGTGCCCGCCACCACACCCAGCTAATTTTTGTATTTTTGGTAGAGAGGGGGTTTCACCATGCTGGTCAGTTTGGTCTCGAACTCCTGACCTCAGGTGATCCACCCACCTCGGCCTCCCAAAGTGCTGGGATTACAGGCGTGAACCACCACACCCGGCCGAAAATTATACATTCTGATGTAGAAATATACAGAACAGTGAACTATATACACTGTGGAAATATACGGAACAGTGAAAAATTTTTAAGAATTTATTTTGAAGTACAGATATGCAGGATGTTGCAAATGTAGTTGTGGGATCAGGAGCAAGAGCGAAGTTGGAGGTGCCACACACTTTCAAACAGCCAGATCTCATGATAACTCACTATCGTGAGGACAGCACCAAAGGGTGGTGCTAAACCATTCAGGGGAAACCACCCTCATGAGCCAATCACCTCCTGCCAGGCCCCACCTCCAACATTGGAGATTACATTTCAACATGAGGTTTGGGCAGGACAGATATCCAAACCATATCAATAGTGCAGAGTACCTTTCACCTACTTTCCCCAATAGTAACATCTTATATAACCTTAGTACATTACCAAAACCAGGAATGCGACATTGGTTCAATCCTCAGACCTCTTTCAGAGCTCACCATTTTATACACTCGTTGTATGTGTGTAGTTCTATGCTTTTTTTTTTTTTTTTTTTGAGACAGAGTCTCGCTCTGTCACCCAGGCTGGAGTGCCATGGGGTGATCTTGGCTCACTGCAACCTGCATTTCCTGGGTTCAAGCGATTCTCCTGCCTCAGCCTCCTGAGTAGCTGGGACTACAAGTGCGCGCCACCATGCCTGGCTAATTTTTTTTTTGAGACAGAGTGTCGCTCTGTCACCCAGGCTGGAGTGCAGTGGCATGATCTCAGCTTACTGCAAGCTCTGCCTCCTGGGTTCACACCATTCTCCTGCCTCAGCCTCCTGAGTAGCTGGGACTACAGGCGCCCGCCACCATACCCGGCTAATTTTTTGTATTTTTAGTAGAGATGGGGTTTCACCGTGATAGCCAGGATGGTCTTGATCTACTGGCCTCGTGATCCACCCGCCTCAGCCTCCCAAAGTGCTGGGATTACAGGCGTGAGCCACTGGGCCCGGCCATGCCCAGCTAATTTTTGTATATTTAGTAGAGACAGGGTTTCGCTGTGTTAACCAGGCTGGTCTCAAACTCCTGACCTCGTGATCTGCCAGCCTTGGCCTCCCAAAGTGCTGGGATTACAGGCATGAGCCACCACTTCTGGCCAGTTCTATGCAATTTTATCACGTGTGGAGATACATGTAATCACCATCACAATCAAAATACAGAACTTTTTTTGGCAGGATAACAAAAGGTTATATTTGGCCCCAAAATGCACATAGTGCAAGTCAAATTAAGAGAAGTCTGAGATTAAGGACTCAATAACTTCAGAAGCGAGGGGTATTTCGGGAAATACAACCAATAAGTTCTCAGGGGCTAAAGTCTTGGACTTGGTATTTGGTATGAATTATTGCCAGTGAACATTTTGGTCAGACATAATAGTGGGTCATCTTGAATAACTGGAGTTGGCATTTTTAAGAGAAGTCCAGGAGAACAAGTTTAGGTTTGAGGTGTGACCAGCCAAATAGATTATGTGTGGAGAGTGTGTGGAGAGTGCCATGGTAAGGCTTACAGTCAGCTGAATAAGCTGTGACATGGTGAGGCAGTTGAAAGGGAGCCTACGGCGCACACACACACAGGTGTACAAAACTGCCAATGAGGTAGGGGGAGCCTGCGTTCCTTAGTGGAGGATGCTGTTAGACAAATTCAGTTTTGGTCTTTGCTGGCCTGTTATTGACACGGTGTGGTTGTGGGTCTTGGAGCCATGATTTCTCTTTCCTGAGTGAGATCATTATGGGCATTTGTAATTAAGTATCCTTTATAACCAAGAATATTTGGCAAAACTCCTGCCTTAGGCGACTCAACGTTAGCAGGGTGCCAGATGGCTCTGGCAGGAAGCCAAAGGGGCATTCATTCATGAGGATCATAACTCACAATCCACCCTCAGTCTGTCTTTCTTTCCAGTCAGGATGGGGACTGAAAAGTGATAGCAGAAAGAGGAAGAACAGGAGGAATGCCTAGTTCAATATGATCTTTGTAAGCTCTGTTATGTGAAGTGTCACCACAGAGGGCAATGAAATCTAATGGAGATGTTTTCAGTGCATTTTGGCAGGGAATAGAGCTGGGAATTTAGTATAATAAGGTCTAATGGCAGGAAAAAGACCCATCTATAAGACCATATGCTATTTCATAATTTCTACTAAGTTTTAAGTAAGCCATTGTGGCATTCTATAAAACCAGCAGCCTGGGACTGATTGGAATGTCGCAAGTTCTCTCAAATGCTTTGTCTAAAATGAGAGCTTTGTTCACCGCTGTTGTCGGGAACTCCAAAGGGAATAGGAGCGTTTTGTGGTGCTGTATAGTAGCTTCAGCAGTGCCATGTCTAGTGGGGTAAAGTAAGATGTCGGCGGTAGGCATCAACCACAGTCAAAGCATAACAAGTGGCACTGGTAGACAGAGGCAGTGGCCTGGTAAAATCTACCTGCCACATGACTAAAAGTGGGATCCAGAATAGCACACCTCAGTTGTCTTGCCAATGACAGGTATTCCCACAGAGTGCACTGACCCGTCATCATGTTGGCCATGGTAGAGGGGTGGGGAAACACTTTGTGTTTAGCCCCAGTCTTCAAGATTGGGTTCCTCATAGAGGTTCCTCTATGACTGTTGTTTCATGGGCCTATTGGGCCAAAAATAAAGGAATGGGCCTGGAAGGTCATCCAACAAAGTTTTGGTCCTAGTTTTTGAAAATTGTTGTAATCTACCAGCTTGGGAATTAAGTTAGGCTTCAGCAGTCTGAGCCTTGGTGTGGGCGGAGACATACATGATCTTAATTTATATCTTTGATATCTGAGAGGCAAGAAATTCCTGAAGTTGTTTACCCCAAGAGTATGATCTTGAACGAGAAATTGTTGCCATTGGTTGCACCAAATGACTAGAAGTGTAATTGAGGTAATTTCTTGGCCAAGGTAGCCTCCAGCGCTAAAATGACTGCCTGCAGTTCCCATCCTTCAGCAGTGTGTCTTGTTTAGAAGAAAAGCAGCAGACCTCCAGAGAGCTCCAGCTCATGTAGTGGTGGCATTACTGTCAACAAAGTATGTGTTCTCCCCTTGTTGTTTACTTACTTGATTCCAGGGCTGCCAAGGGCCCAGGAGAGAGGAGACTTCCTTCACCATGGCATCTGGCAAGAGACTGAGGACAGAGAAGGCCACCTCTTTTTCCAAGTGAGATACACCAGGGGGCCCAGGTTTGGCTCCATCCTGTATCAAGGCCTTGGTGATCAGGCTGAGCTTGTAGGTGTTGCTTTCATGACCCAGGTAATAATGTGTAACTGGGTGGAGTGTGCCATGGTTCAGGTCCTGTGAGAGCTTCTGTTTCTAAGAGGTCCCAGTATGTAGCTGGCAGTTGTTGCTCTAATTGCATGTTACATGAGGACAAAACAGGCAGTTTTTTGCACCAGAAGCCCATGGGCAGCTTATGGCCAGATGTGTGGTCCAGAGTCTAAGAAGAGAGTCTAGTGGGTAGTCCACCATGAAGGAATCTCCAGGAGGCACTAAAGGAAATGTCTGTTATATGGTCATCTGAACTGACTCTAGGGCCTTCTGTTGTAAAGGCCTCCAAAAGTGGGCTGTTTTGTGGATGGGTGAATAAATAGGCCTGAGTGGTATTTGTAAATGGAGACTATGTTGCCTCCAGGAGCAAAAGAGACCCAATAGGTGCTTGGCCAGCTTGGGATTGGTTGGAGCTGACAAAGTTAGAAGTTGCCTTCTAACAGTATCAGAAATGGAGTAATGCTAAGCACACCAGATGATGTGCACCTCAAGTGATCTGCCCACCTCGGCCTCCCAAAGTGCTGGGATTACAGGCGTGAGCCACTGCGCCCAGCTGAGAACTGTTGAAATCACCTTCGAAGGTGAATGTGTATGAGAGGCTGTTGGAATAGGTAATGAATAGAACATATATAACAGGAAAGTATTTGCCAGTGGAATAATGAATGGCTTTGTTCATGTCAACTATGTGAGGTATAGGGGATTTAATGGGTGAGACCAAAGTAGCAGAAATCTACAGTGAAATACCGTTTAATTACATTCTCTTATTTTGTGTACTAAAACTTTTCTAGAATGTTCCTTCAGTTTTTACTTCATGCTTAAATTTTTCTTTCAAATACATATAAATTTAACATACTTTCTGTTCTACCTGTGTAACACTAGAAGTAAACACTTATCTATGATTGATGATCCTTCTGGAGATAGCCTGATTTACTTGAAAACAAACAGTAGCATCTCTTCTGATTCTCCTCCACCTGATTTCCTGGTTGTTTGATTCATCCCACAGTGCTCTTCCTGGCCAAATGTCTACAGACAGCTGTGTGATCAGTTAGTGAGATGTGCTCCTCATTATCTAGCCCTGGTTCTGTGGGAAGGAGGCAACAAGTAGCTATTTTCTTCCCCAAAACATTAGTGCTATTTGTACTTTCCGTTATCACAGAATGTACCAAATATATAATATGGACAACTAAAATGTGACTGAGAGTTCTTTATCAGTAAATCCTAATAAATCCCAATGTATTTGCACTAGAAAACTTTATGTTACAAAATCCCAGAGGATTCATAATGAAAATAGACTTTGATTCCAAAATAAATGTTGGCAAATTTCATCTCAATTGTTAACTTCCATTCTTTCTCATGTTTTGTCAAGGCATTTTCAGTTCATGAAGATGAATAGAGCAAGAACTGCCTGTATTTCAAATATGTTGCCTACTTTGTTTTTTGGACAACTGATGTATTTAACAGAATAACTTAACTGTTAACTGTTAACAGTATTACAGATTGTCTTTTCACTTGTTTTCAATGAAATTTTTGATTTTAAGGGTATAAGCGTGTATCAAAATATCAAAATGTACATTTAAAAATATGTGCAGTTTGCATTGTCAATTATACCTCTTTTATATTTTTTAAAAAACAAATATTCAAAATTTGTCACTTCCTAATCATTTTACTATGTTTTATTGTCTACATTCTAGAGGCTATTTGCAGGTAGTAAACTTGCAAATAAATTTATTTAGAAGTAAATTTAAATATGGATCACTATTATGGAAATGGTATGTTTCTGATGGCTCTTCCCAACCCCAAATTCAGTGACATGATGACAGTTTGAAATTGGCCACAATGGGAAGTTTTACACCAGGGAAACTGGCATCACTATAAACCATAGCTTGATTCACTGTACTACTAAGTGTCTAGACTTAAGAATGTGATAGAGAATATGTGAATAATACAGATTAAATTTAAAAGTGTGTGGTATATATGGTAATTACACTGTGCATAGCATGAAATTAATTGTGGAACAAAAACTAGTGATTTGTTAATGAAAAGCAAAATAGACACAATTCCTAACAAACAGATAACGTATATGAACAGACATTTTATCAAAGAAGATATACAGTTGGCAGGCTGGGTGCAGTGGCTCACGCCTGTAATCCCAGCACTTTGGGAGGCCGAGGCGGGCGGATCACGAGGTCAGGAGATCGAGACAATCCTGGCTAACATGGTGAAACCCCATCTCAACTAAAAAATACAAAAAAAAAAAAAAAATTAGCCGGGCATGGTGGCAGGCACCTGTAGTCCCAGCTACTCAGGAGGCTGAGGCAGGAGAATGGTGTGAACCTGGGAGGCGGAGCTTGCAGTGAGCCGAGATCACGCCACTGCACTCCAGCCTGGGTGACAGAGCAAGACTCCGTCTAAAAGAAAAAAAA
Source organism: Homo sapiens (assembly GCF_000001405.40). Taxonomy (NCBI): domain Eukaryota; kingdom Metazoa; phylum Chordata; class Mammalia; order Primates; family Hominidae; genus Homo; species Homo sapiens. The sequence continues at coordinate 57,644,669 of NC_000019.10, read as the reverse complement.
AAAAGTGTAAAAAAGAAGATATACATTTGGCAAATAAACACATGAAAAAATGTTCAACATCATGAATCCTTAGGGAAATGCAATTAAAACTACTGCACACTTATTAAAAGGGTACATTCTAAAAGATAGACCATGCCAAGTATTGGCAAGGATGTGAAACAGCTGGAATTCTCACACATTCCCAGTAGGTAAGCAAGAGCAAACAGCCATTTTAGATCAATTTGGCCATTTATCTTTTCTTTTTTTTTTTTTTGAGATAGAGTCTCACTTTGTTGCCAGGCTGGAGTGCAGTGGTGTGACCTCGGCTCACTGCAACCTCCGCCTTCTGGGTTCAAGTTATTCTCCTGCCTCAGCCTCCCAAGCAGCTGGGACTACAGGCACGCACCACCACGCCCAGCTAAGTTTTGTATTTTTAGTACAGATGGGGTTTCACCATGTTGGCCAAGATGGTTTCGATCTGTTGACCTCGTGATCTGCCTGCCTCGGCCTCCCAAAGTGCTGGGAGTATAGGCGTGAGCCACCGCACCCAGCCCATTTTTGGCCATTTCTTAATAAGTTAAACATTCATTTATCCTGTGTCTCAGGCATTGCACAAGAGAAGTGAAAAAAATGCACATATGAAGAATTGTACATTTCTAGCAGCTTTATTTGTAATAGCCAAAACTAGATAAAACCTAAATGCTTATAAACAAATGGATAACAAATAGTATATCCATAAAAAATATACCACTCAGCAATAAAAAGAATGACCACCACATATAAGCTCCATTGAAGAATCTCAAAATAATTATGCATCATGAATGAAACTGGAAAAAAAGACATTTTATTAATAAAATCATATATTATAGAAAATACAAACAAACCTATTATAAATGAAGGTATAAATCAATGGTTGCCTTGAGGGCCAGAGAGGGGAGGGAGAGCTTAGAAAAAGGCCTGAGGTAAATCCGAGGTGACTGATATGTTCATTGTAATAATTATAATGATGGTATAATGTGTTTTTGACTAGGTTTGGTAACCCTACATTAACTCTCTTTCCTGATGACCTTGGAGGGACACCTTGCCTCAGTGGGCAGCAAATACTGGTAATCAATGAAACTGATTTGAATTCATTTAAACACAGGATGATGGTAGGTTACAAAGTCACATTCCTGGAAGGACATCCCCCGCCCCTTCTTTCTATGCTTGTTTTCCTGGCCTATGCAGCAATGTTCTTGAGGTGCACATCCCAGAAAGGCTATTGGAATACACAAAACCTTTAGGTTGTTTATTATTTTTTGACAGTCACCTCAGCTACAAAAAATACACATGCCTGGAAATTCTAAGAATGTCTGTACACACTGATCCTGCACAATTACTAGAACATATTACAAGGAGCACATTCCATCTAGTTTGCTGCAGTCTCCTTCACTCCCTAGTAACCCAGTGTTTCCACACCAATTATGGTTCCCCCATCATTTTACAGTGACAGTAGCCTACTAAATTGTATTGGGGCACTTGGCTCCTTGGCAGCACTGGGGGTAGACTGCCTCAACAGTGCTGGGCAGTATGTAATAACCCTTGTGAATAACAACAAAATTCATCTTGTTCCCAGAAGCAATGGAATTTGTCACAATTTCCCACTTCCTCAGGGTGTCCTTTGAGCCCACAAAAAATCCTTGCATCCAGTCCACGAATTAAGACCATAATATCCTGCAGTATTTCCTAGAAGGCCTTGGGCAATAATTCAAATTCAGATTAGGCCAAAGCTGGAAAGACAGTTGTATTTTTCCATTATACTGTTGTCACTGAGGCATATGACACCTCCCTCTCCCTCCAAAGGTGTTTACTCTGTAAAGCTGGCAGGGCCCGATTCTGTTTTTGAACCACCTCAAAGAGTGAATCAAATGCCAAGATAAAGGTAGCTTAAATAATAATGCTTTTATTATTGTAAAAAACAAAGCAACGTGAGACAAGCAGTTCCCAAGTTGGTGACTTAGAGGCTGGAAAAAAATCCATGGAGGTGTCACATGAAACCAGTATGTCTTGAAAAAGACAGTCCTTCTTGGCAAGCTGCCAACAACACTCATATTGGGTTCTCTGGCACAAAGCTGGGTCAAGTCCATGCCCTAACTTGTCAGAGAGGAAGACTCAGACTATTCATGATTTCTTCTAGCAAATGGGGAGAAGCAGAGGTCTGCTTCCTTGAGCAGGTTCAGGAGGTAAATGATACACACTGTGTGGACCTCACAGGTGGTAGACATGATACGGCTTCTGCCTCAGAAACTGTCAGTGACATAAACGGCAAGAGCCATAAATGGCAGGTGAGAAAGTCTAACACTTTCTAAATGGCATGTTAGAAAGTGTAACACATACCTGGAACTTAAGGGGAATCCGCCCACTGTATATCCTTAGATGTTGGGGCTTCCAAATCAGGTACTTGTCTCTCTCACAGGTGTACTCCTTCAGTATAATTACACTAAAAGGAAATTGCATATTCTCAGTACAGCTAAGGCTTTTCTCCAATGTGAACTCTCTGGTGTTGAATGAGGACAGATTTGCAGCCAAAGGATTTCCCACATTGACTGCACTGATAAGGCCTTTTTCCCGTGTGAACTCTGCGGTGTTGAATGAGGCTAGAACTTTGGCTAAAGGATTTCCCACATTCACTGCACTCATAAGGCCTTTCTCCAGTGTGAACTCTCAGGTGTTTAATGAGGTTAGATTTACAGCTAAAGGATTTGCTACATTCACTGCACTCAACAGGTCTTTCTCCAGTGTGAACTCTCTGGTGGTTCTTAAGGTTGGAGCTATGGCTAAAGGATTTCCCACATTCCCCACACACATAAGGCCTTTCCCCTGTGTGGACTTTCCGATGTGAACTGAAGCTGGAGCTTTGCTTAAATGACTTCCCACATTTACTGCACTCATAGGGTCTTTCTCCAGTGTGAAGTCTCCGGTGGTGAATGAGGCTGGAGCTTCGGCTAAAGGATTTTCCACATTCATTGCACTCATGAGGTCTTTCTCCAGTGTGAACTCTCTGGTGGTAGATCAGGCTAAAGTTTTGGCTAAAAGATTTCCCACATTCGCTGCATTCATAAGGCCTTTCTCCAGTGTGAACTCTGCGATGCTGCATGAGGTTGGACCTTTGGCTAAAAGATTTCCCACATTCCCCACATTCATAAGGCCTTTCTCCAGTGTGAACTTTCCTATGGCTATTGAGGCTGTATATCTGACTAAACGATTTCCCACATTCAGGGCACGCATAAGGCCTTTCTCCAGTATGAACTCTCTGATGTATAATGAAACTGGAGTAGTAGGTAAAGAATTTTCCACATTCATTGCATTCATAAGGCCTTTCTTCACTGTGGACTTTCTGGTGCTGAATGAGGTTACATCTTCGCGTACATGCTTTCCCACATTTACTGCACTCAAAAAGTCCTTCTCTAGTGAGGATTCTCTGGTCCTGAACAAGTGTGTCTATGTGGCTAAAGGCTTTACTGCATTTTCCCCAGTTGTGATGACTTTTTCCACTGTAAAAGGCCACCGCACACTTGTTACTGTTATTTGGCTTCTCCCCTGTTTGAGTGGCGTCTTGATGGAGAAACCTCATGTTGGCCAGGAAGTCTTTCCTGATCTCCCTGCAGGTAAAGGGTTTCTCCGACACATGGACTATGCAACTCTGTGTAAACGAGGCAGTGTCCACATAACTTCTGAAAGGTGCCTCTGTAATGTGCTGCCTCTGGTGCTGTTGAAGATTTGCACTGATGTAGAATTGTTTTCCACATGTGTGTAGTTTCTGCCCGCAGTTTGTTCCTTGGTGTTCAGCCAAGTGCAAAATATCTCTCAAGACCAGGCAACATATTTCACAGGAGTCGGCATTCTGGGAAGATGAACCTTCTTTGGAAGTCCTGAACTGTGGCACTCTTTCTCCAGAAATTCTCTGTTCAGAAGGTGTTTCCTCATGTTCCACTCCACACCAACAACCTAAAAGTAAAGAGATCATGGTGAAGTACATGTTACCTTTATTAGGAGGAGACAATGCAATTGCAAATGCACATCAGTTACAGCAAAGAACCAGTATATGGGCCTGTTTTTAGGAAAAGTGAGTTGGGGGGTCAGGTTGAGGAAGCAGCTGTTGTGCATTACTTGTCCCTAAGGTTACGGAATAGGGTAGGCCCTCCCAGGTACAGTGCACAAGGCTAAGGTATGGCCCAGGACTAAGAGGCATGTTATACAATTAATTCTTCTGATAATAGCTTTTAGTGGGATCACATCTGCTGGTGACAAGTGATGCTGTGAAGTGTATGCCCAGGCCCAGGAAAATCTCACTGGAACAGTAACTGGTGTTCAGGGACTATTAAGGGAGATATGCACACTTCAGGACAAAATAATATTAAAGAACACTACAGAGGGAACAGTGAAAAGAACAGGTAGGATAAGGAGTCCAGAGAGGTGAGGATTAGCGTTAGCTAGAAGTCAAAATAAAAATGACAAGTAGTAGAAATAACAAGTTTGTAAACTGTTAAGAGTGAAGAGGGGAAGGTCGAAGTGAAGTGTCTCTGGCAATGGCATCAAGACAAGTCAAACAGGACAGGTTCCTGGTGCAATTTAAACACAGACCTGATGACATGCCTTTTCCCAAGTGCCATTCATGTAGGCCAGGCCCTCTCTGATCCCATCTTGCTGAGGCTGGAGTCATGAACATCCTGTGAAGAACAGAGGGCACTTCCCCTAGCCCTAGTTGAGCAACTACATGAGACCAGGATGATATAAGTCCTAAGGGAAAGACAGGACATGTGAGCAACTAACACTGGCCCAGAACAACACGGCACAAAAAAGAACAAGGAAAGTTAAAGAAGTTAAGTTTGTATAAATTCAAGTTAGAGTGTTGTAACTTTAGGATGTTAAATGTAATCCCCATGGTAACTATTTTAAAAAAAGAGCTACATGAAGTATACAAAGAACTGGGCGTGGTGGCTCACACCTGTAATCTCAGCACTTTGGGAGGCTGAGGTGGGTGGATCAACTGAGGTCAGGAGTTTGGGACCAGTATGGCCAACATGGTGAAACCCTGTCTCTACTAAAAATACAAAAATTAGCTGGGTGTGGTGGTGTGCGTTTGTAATCCCAGGAGGGATTACTCAGGAGGCTGAGGCAGGATAATCGCTTGATTATGGGAGGCAGAGGTTGCAGTGAGCCGAGATCGCCCCACTGCACTCCAGCCTGGGCAACAGAGTGAGACACCATTAAAAAAAAAAAAAAAAAAAAAAAAAAAAAAAGTACATAAAGGAAATGACAAGGGAAGTTTCACTAAAAAAAAAAAAAAAAAAAAGTGAGCCAAACACAAAAGAAGCAGTAATGCAGGAAATTAGGATCAAAAAAGCTATAAGGCTATAAGACATGGGGAAAACAAAGAGCAAAATGATAGAAGTCTGCCCTTCCTTATCAGTGATTACCTTAAACGTAAATGCCTTAAATGCTCCCAACTTTTAGCTTAAACTCTGCCAAAAGACAAAGATTGGCAGAATGGGTTAAAATAAAAACAACCCATGATCCAACTTTATGATGTCTACAAGAGATTTGCTTTAGATCCAAAGATGTAAATGAGGTGAAAGTGACAGCCTACAAAAAGATATTCCATGCAAATAGCAAGCAAAAAAGAGTAAGAATGGCTACATTAATATCATACAATAGAGATTTTAAATCAAAAAGGGTAACAAGAGATATAAAAGGATATTATATACTAATAAAAGGTTCAGTAGAGCAAGAAGATATAACACTTATAAACACTTATGCACCTAATAATAGACCATCAAAACACATGAGGCAAAAATGGACAGAACTGAAGGGAGAAATGGATAGTTCTACAATAACAGTTAGAGACATCAATACCTGACTCTCAGCAGCGGATAGAACAATCAGAGAGAAGAGAGAAAACAGAGGACCTAAACAACCAACTAGCTCTAACAAATATATAAAGAGCATTCTACCCAACAACAACAGAATGTACATTCCCCTCATGTGTACCAAAAACATTCTCCAGGACAGACCATAAATTAAGCCTCATTTGATTTAGACACACATCATACAAAGTATCTTCTCCAACCACAGTGGGATGAGGTTGGGAACTCTTAATAGAAGGAAACTAAAAAATTTACAAATCTGTAGAAATTAATACAATATTGAAAAACCAATGGGGCCATGAAGAAATCAGAAGGGAAATAAATTGGAGATGCAGTAAAAGCAGTACTAAAGGGGAAATTTATAGCTATAAACATTAAAAAGAAGAAAGATCTCAACTCAACAATCTATTTTTACAACTTAAGGGATTATAAAAAGAGGAACAAACTAAAACCAAAGCTGGCAGGAAAAAAATAATAAAGACTAAAGTCTAGATAAATAAAATAGAGAAGAGAAAAACAATATAAAAAAAAAATCAACAAAACCAAAAGGTGTTTCTTTGAAAAGGTTATCAAAATTGACAAACCTGGCCGGGTGCAGTGGCTCATGCCTGTAATTCCAGCACTTTGGGAAGCTGAGGTGGGTGGATCACCTGAGGTCAGGAGTTCAAGACCAGCCTGGCCAACATGGTGAAACCCCATCTCTACTAAGAATACAAAAATTAGCCAGGTGTGGTGGCATGTGCCTGTAACCCCAGCTAATCGGGAGGCCAAGGCAGGAGAATTGCTTGAATCCAGGAAGTGGAGGTTGCAGTGAGCCAAGATCACACCACTGCACTCTAGCCTGGGTGTCAGAGCAATACTCTGTCTCAAGAAAAAAAAAAAAAAAAAAGACAAACCTTAAAGAAAAGCCCTTGACTTGATGGCTTCACAGATGAATTCTACCAACCATTTAACTAAGAACTAATACTTATCCTTTTCAAATTCTCTCAAAAAACTGTAGCATACACACATCTAAACTCATTCTGTATGGCCAGCATTACCCTGATTCCAAATGACACAAAGATTGTGTAAGAAAATAAAACTACAGACCAATATCCTTGATGATTATTAATGCAAAAACCATCAACCAAACACTAGCAAACTGAATTCAACAGCATATTAAAAGGATTATGCACTACGACCAGATAGAATTTATTCCTGGAATGCAAGGATGGTTCAACAAACAAAAACTGATCAAAGTGGTGGCTTACACCTGTAATCCCAGCTACTTGGTAGGCTGAGGCAGGAGGATCGCTTGCGGCCAGGAGCTTAAGACCAGCCTGTGTAACATAGCAAGACCCCATCTCTAAAAAAATTAAAACGATCATCTCAGCTGATGCACTGAAAGCATTAGACAATATGCAACACTTTTTCGTGGGGAAAACACTCAGAAAACCAGGAATACAGGGAAATTACCTAAACATAATAAAATCCATATGCAAAAAAAAAAACCTACAGCTAAAATTATACTCAACAATGAAAGACTGAAAGATTTTCCTCTAAGATTAAGGACAAGATAAGGATGCTACTTTTAGCACTTCTGTTCAACATAGCAATTAGGCAAGAAAAAGAAAGAAAAGGGACCAAAATGGGAAAGGAGGAGTAAAATTATCCCTGCTCACAGATGATATACATGGAATACCATAAAGATTCCACTGAAAAACTGTTACAACTAATAAGGAAATTCAGCAAATAGGAGAATATAAATACAACATGCAAAAATCAGTTACGTTTCTATACACTAATGGTGAACAATTTGAAAAGTAAACAATTCCACTTATATCAAAAAGAATAAAACATTAAAGATTAACTTAACCAAACAAGTAAAAGCCTTGTACACTAGAAACTACAAAATTTTGCTAAAATGAATTAAATAAAACATTAATAAAATAGATCACATGCCTGCTCATGGACTAGAGTGCTCAATATTGTTAAGATGTCTATACTAGCCAAAGTAATCTATAGAAAGTGCGATACCTATCAAAATCCAAATGACGTTATTTTGCAGAAATAAAAAAATCCATCCTAAAATTCATTTGAAATATCGAGAGACACAGAATAGCTAAAACAATCTTGAAAAGGATGAAAGTTGGAAGACTCACAGTTCGTAATTTCAAAACTTACTGCAAGGCTATAGAAATTAAAACAGTGTGGTACTCCCATAAAGAAAGACATATAGATCAATGGACTAGAAGAGACCCCAGAAATAAACCCTCAAATATCTGGCCAAATGATTTTTGACCAGGAGAAAGAAGACAAATTTTTAACACATGATGCTAGGAAAACTGGATATCTACATGTGAAAGAATGAAGTTGGTCCCTTACCTGACACCACATATAAAAATTAATTCAAAACAGATCAAAGATCTGAATGTAAGTACTAAAACTATAGAAGTCTTAAAGCAAGGAAAAAGCTTCATGACATTGGACTTGTTAATGATTCCTTGGATATGATATAAAAAGCATAGACAATAAAAGTAAAAAAGTAAAACTGAATTCATCAAAATGAGAAACTTGTACATCAAAGGATCCTATCAACACACTAAAAACGTAACCCACAGAATAAGAGAAAACATTTGCAAATCACATATCTGATAAGGGAATATCTAGAACACACAGATAACCCTTAAAGCTCAATAAAAAATTATATTTAATACTTCTAATTATAATTAATAAAACCTAATTTAAAAATAGGCAAAGGACTTGAATAAGCAATATCATTTGAAGATATACAAATAGCCAATCAGCACATGAATAGATGCTCAATATCAGTAATCTGCAAATCACAACCACAGTGAGATATCACCTCACACCAATTTGGATGACTTATCAAAAAAATCAGAAAATAACAAGTGATGGTGAGGGTGTGAAGAAACTGGAACCTTTGTCAGCTGCTTGTGGGAATGTAAAATGGTGCAGCTGCTATGAAAAACAATTTTAGTGGTTCCTTAAAAATTAAAAATAATTACCTTATGATCCAGAAATTCTACTTTTGGGCCAATACCCAAAAGAATTGAAAGCAAGGACACAAATACGTATCTGTACACCCATGTTCACAGTAATATTATTCACAACAGCCAGAAGGTGAAAACAACCTGTGTCCACTGATGAAGGAATGGATAAACAAACTGTAATACATACAAAAGAATATTATTCAGCCTTAAAAAGAAGCAATTCTGATATATATTACAACATGGATGAATCTTGAAGATATTATGCTAAGTGAAGTAAGCCAGATAGAAAAGAACAAATATTGTGTGATCCCACTCATATGAGGTACTTACAGTAGACAAATTCATACAGACCAAAAGTAAAATGGTGGTTGCCAGGGGATGGGAAGAGTTATTATTTAATGAGTACAAAGTTTCAGTTTTATAAGATGAAAAAGTACTATAGAAGGATGGTGGTGATGGTTGCACAATAATGCGAATGTACTAAATGCGCTGAACTATATACTTGAAAATGATTAAAATGGTAAATTTTGTTATATATATTTTACAATTAAAAACAAAGAAAAACACCTTGAAGGAGGTTTCTATAAGAACAGTCTGTGTAATGTCTCTGCGGCACAATTTGTTAGAGTGTTCTGCTGTTAATGGAAAGGTTGGTGGTTGAAGAACAGTCTGTGTAAATAGTGGCAATGTCAGTGACTACATTTCATGTCACAGTCTAGCACAAATAAATGTTAGGTACACGAAGGGAGGGAAAACTGGGTGCCATAGATCTAGAAAGTCACCAGACAGGGAGAAGGCAAGTCAGGTGGGATCTATTAGGCTTACTGTAAGACTACTGATCCCAAATCCTTACCCAAGATGCTTTTGGGCTGGGACGATAAGGGAAGTAGGCTTGCACTCAGTCCACAACATCTACCCAGGGAACTGGGGAAGGAGGCAGTGCCTATAGTCCAGATATGAGGACAGAGCTGCTCCTGAGGAAAAGGAGAAACAGAGAGCCTAGTCCAGGGCACAAGGGTGAGTATGAGGGCCTTACCCAGGGAGGACGTAAGTGCAAAGTTCTCCAGCATCACATCGAAGTACAGGTGTTTCTGAGCCTCATCAAGGAGATCCCATTCCTCCCAGGAGAAGTACACGGCCACATCTTCAAAGGTCACACTTCCCTAGCATAATAGGGATTGATGAAACCATGAACAGTCTCAATTTGGAAGACTCAAAATCCATGTCCCCATACATTCTCCTCCCAAGATCCCCAAGTCAGAAGAGACACCAGACCTTGGTGTCATTGATCCCTGCTGTCTCTTCACATTCCCATTAGTCACTGTGTTCATTCTGTTTTCCACTCTGTATCCTGTCAACACTTGGGTTAGATAAATCTCCCTCCTCTGATCCCAAACTCCAACTTCCTCACAATAGATGCCAAACTTCACAGAAATAAAGGAAACCTGCAGTTCCCTGAACCAGCTCAGCCTCACCTCCAAGGAGTTCCAAAAGCTGGTACCTACCTGTTTCTATCATAAATTTTCACCCATCTTTCCATTGGCTGCTCCAAATGGAAACATTGGCCTGGACTCAGGGCCCTTAGCTCAGGGATTCTCCAGGGTTCCCAAACCAAACGCTGAGAGAATGGTAGGTGAGTCCCATGACACCACAAATCTAAAGAAAATATCTGTCTGGGGAGGGTGGAGGGACATTCCAGACCAGTGAGGGGCTGAGATACCTCCACTTACCTGTGTAAGTTTGAAAAGCACCTCTGTAGCTATGGGAACCTGTGGAAAGACGCAGGCCTCAGAGGAATGTGATCATGGCAGTGCTCCATGGGCACAGGCCTTCCCTGTACCCTTGCCCCGGCCCAGAGCCACGTAACTTTGGGTCGACTGTCTAACCTGTGCGCCTCGGTCCTTAGTGCTGCCTCTCACCAGTTGTGTGGCCTTGGAAAAATATTCAACCTCCCTCTGCCTCAACGTCCTCATCCATCTCTAAAGTCTTTTCTTCCACTGAACAGCCTGCAGAGGATTTTTCAAATTTAACTCAGATGGTGTCTCTCGTTTGCGCAAGCTCTCTATGGCTCCCACGGCCCTAAGAATAAAGGTAGATCTCTCTCAAACTTTGTTCCCTGCAGTAACAATGTGGAGCCCAGGTTCCTGAATGCCCCCTTCTCGGTTGCCCGTCCAAGCCCTGCACGCGCCGGTCCTGTCCCTTGTCCCCCTGCCCACCACATCGGATGTCAGAAATAGGGGCCCCACCCACGAGCCTCAGTGTCCCCGACCCTGTGCTACAGAGACGTGAGCTGGTGCCTCTCACTTGGGACTTAAGAATCTCGGCCGGGGGAGGCCCGGAGATCGCAGCGCTCACCGAAGCCGGGTCCCTCAGTGCGGTCGCCATCCGAGTCTGTGGGCGGAGCTGGACCGGGAGCTGCGGGCGACCCGGGGGGAACCCGAGCATCGCTATCCCCAGGCCGGCCTCGCGGGCGGCTCTGCCCCCGACCCTCAGACCTGACTCTCGCGCCTTCACGGTCCGTCACTTCGATCCCGATGCAGCGTACCAAAGCGGCTGACAGACAGAACGGACCTCCGGGAGGGCAGCCAAAATGACCGCTGCGAAGACGCCACAAGTCCCGCCCTGGGGGGGGCGGGGGTAGACCCACACGGAAATGCCCCTGTCTTGGATTTTCATTGGATCAAAGTACTGCCGCTCGACGCAAGGCTTTCTGGGTAATGTAGTCTCCCCCAGGCTGCGACGGAGGGCGCCTTGTGTGCAGACAGCTGGGAGCGCTAGGAAGCTGCGTCTGCTGCCTTCCAGGGCGACTGAGGGGCTTCGGTGTTTGAGGTCTTAAGTAGGTTGACACTTGAACAACACAGGTTTGAGCTGTGCGGGTCCATTTACACGTAGGCGTTTTTTTTCCCCAATAAACGTTACTTCGAGTGTGCTCCTTTTCCTGCCTCTTCCAGCTCCCCGACCTCTTGCCCCAGAGACAGCAAGACCTCATTCTCTTGCCCAGCATGAAGAACACAAGGATGAAGACCTTTATGATGATCCACTTCCACTTAATGATTAGTAAATGTATTTTCCCTTCCGTATTCTTTTATTTTCCTTTTTTTAATTGGGTGTAATGTCAACGAGCCTCTTACAATTTTCCTGATACCCTTTCTCTGGTCTGTTTTAGTACAAGTATAGTTCTTATACTAAAATATATATAATGCATATATCATACAAAATGCATATATCATATATATTATGCATATATCATGCATATATCATACAAAATGTGTTAATCGACTGGGAGTTTATGTAATTCATAAGGCTTCCGGGCAACTTCATAAGGCTTCCGGGCAACAGTTGGCTATTAGTAGTTAAGACCTAGGGGAGTCAAAAGTAATACAAGCATTTTCAATTCCGCAGGGGTCGGTATCCCTGACCCCTGCGTCGTTTAAGGGTCAGCTGTATATCAGTCTCTAGTGTAGAGGTTCACTTCAGTATTTAGACATCATTTCAGATTCCATGCAGCCCACCCCAGCAGATCTCCACTGGTAGTGGGAAGCGAAAAAACGTTATCTTATTGCTCTTCAAATGCATGCAGCCTGAAGTGTTAAAGTCACTTTTTGTAGGTTTTGTCAGGGACAAAAGACACCAGACAGGGCTACAATGGGAAGATAGTGGAGGGATAGTGGGCAGCCCTGAAGCCAACGGACAAGGGAAGTTCCCTGCTTCTGGTGCCCCCAGAAAACGCTCTCCTGCCTGCAAAGTCAGTTTTGTTCATAAAACATGAAGCTTTAATACATGAATGTTCATTTTCCTTGTATAATCAAAACATTTAATTTTTTTTTGAGACAGGGTCTCACTCTGTTGTCCAGGCTGGAGTACAGTGGAACAATCATAGCTCATTGCAGCCTCCACTTCCTGGGCTCAAGTGATCCTCCCACCTCAGCCTCTTGAGTAGCTGGCACTACAAGCACACCACCACACCCGGCTAGTTAAAAAAAAAATTATTGTAGGAATGGAGTCTCCCTATAGGGCCCAGGCTAGTCTCAAACTCCTAGGGCCATGCAATCTTCTTGCCTCAGCCTCCCAAACTGCTGAGATTACAAGCATGAGTCACCATGCCCAGACAAAAGTTTTTAATGCATAAAATATCAAATTATTATCATTATTTTAAACAGGGCCTCACTCCGTCGCCCAGAAAGTTTATATTATTTTAAGGTACATATATGCACATTGTTAAATGTACACATATACATTTTATATATATTAGATAGATCAAATTTTACGTTTCACAATAAAAATGATCCTTTAGGACAAATTAATACCAGTAAAATAAAATAAAATTAAAAGTTGTGAAATGATTTTATCAAATATATAATGTATTTGTTTACACATTTACTACAAAAATTTATAAGTGGAATGACTACTATTGTACATCTGGTTAGATCTCACAATGGGCTTGTCATTGTTTTTAGGAAAAAGGTTAGAGTTCTTGGCTGGGCCTATATTACAGAACCAACCATTACATATTGCTTCACCTCCTACCATGTATCTCCTCTATATCCTACACATGCTGAATTTCCTCAGATCCCTGAAAGCTGTGTGTGCATTCACATGCAGGGATCTTTCCAGGTTACCTTTTTCCTACCTGAGACTGCTGAATCCTATTGTGCTTTAAAAATTCATACTTTCAGGTAATCAACTGAGAAACTAGTGAAAAATGACATAACTGGCTGGGCACAGTGGCTCACACCTGTAATCCCAGCAGGTGTGATTGCTGCTCCCACCTTGGGAGGCCGAGGTGGGCGAATCACCTAAGGTCAGGAGTTCAAGACCAGCCTGGCCAACATGGTGAAACCCCGTCTCCATTAAAAATTCCAAAATTAGTCGGGCGTGGTGGTGGCACCTGTAATCCCAGTTACTCGGGAGGCCGAGGCAGGAGAATCAGAATCACTTGAACCTGGGAAGTGAAGGTTGCAGTGAGTCGAGATCGTACCACTGCACTCCAGCCTGGGTGACAGAGCAAGACTCCAAAAAAAAAAAAAAAAAAAGGACACAACTCTTTATGTCCAAATTCAATGTTTCCATCCATTGCACGTACTCAAAACTTCCCAGTACTCCTCATGAGGTAATGAAGCATAGGTTAAGTAAGTTTTGTATAATTGTGTAAATTTTTCAGGGCCGGGCTTGGTGGCTCATGCCTGTAATCCCAGCACTTTGGGAGGCTGAGGCAGGCAGATCACAAGGTCAAGAGATCAAGACCATCCTGGCCAACATGGTGAAACCCTGTCTCTACTAAAAAATACAAAAATTACCTGGGCGTGGTGGCGCATGCCTGTAGTCCCAGCTACTTGGGAGGCTGAGGCAGGAGAATCGCTTGAACCCAGGAGGTGGAGGTTGCAGTAAGCCGAGATCATGCCACGACACTCCAGCCTAGTGACAGTGTGAGACTCCGTCTCAAAAAAAAAAAAAAGAAAAAAAAGAAACATCTTAATTAAAAAACGAAATGGGCAAAGACTTTAGGTTTAGATACCTCACCAGAGAAGATACACAGATGGCAAATAAGTGTATGAAAAGATAATCCCCATCATATGTCATCAGGGAAGTAAAAATTAAAACAGCACTGAGATACCACTACACATCTATTAGAATGAACAACCTCTGTAACACTGACAACTGCAAATGGTTGAGAAAATGTACAGCAACAGGAGCTCTCATTGCTGACGGGAATGCAAAGTTGTACAGCCACTTTGAAATGGAGTTTGGTGGTTTCTTACAAAACTAAACACACTTTTACCATACAATACGGTAACCATATTTTTCAGAATTTATCCATATGAGTGGAAAATTTATGTCCACACAAAAACCTGTACATGTGTGTGTATAGCAGTTTTATCCAAAATTGGCATACTTTGGAAGCAACAAAAATGTCCCTCAGTAAGTGAATGGATTAGAAACTGTAGTATATCGCCAGGCGTGGTGGCTCACGTCTGTAATCCCAGCACTTTGGGAGGCCGAGGTGGGCGGATCATGAGGTCAGGAGATCGAGACCATCCTGGCTAACACGGTGAAACCCCCGTCTCTACTAAAAATACAAAAAAAAAAAAAAAAAAAAAAAATTAGCTGGGCATGGTGGCAGGCACCTGTAGTCCCAGCTGTTCGGGAGGCTGAGGCAGGAGAGTGGCGTGAACCCGGGAGGCGGAGGTTGCAGTGAGCCGAGATCACGCCACTGCACTCCAGCCTGGGCGACAGAGCGAGACTCCGTCTCAAAAAAAAAAAGAAACAAAGAAAGAAAAGAAACTGTAGTATATCTAGACAATGGAACATTACTCAATGCTGAAGGTAAATGAATCTTCAAGACGTGAAAAAACATGGAGGTACCTTGTATGCATACCACTAAATGAAAGAGGCCAATCTGAAAAGGCAATATACTGTATGATTCCAATTAATGACATTTGAGAAAAGGTAAAAGTATGAAAGAGTAAAAAGATCAGTGGTTGCTGGGGGTTTAGAAGGGTAGGAGGGATGAATTTGTGGAGCACAGAGGATTACTATTTTAGATGACACTCTAATAGTGGACACGTGTCATTGTACCTTTGTCCAAACACATAGAATGTACAACACTAAGAGTGAACCCTAAAGTAAAGTAGGGACTTTGGATGATAATGATGTGTCAGTGTAGGTTTATAATTGCTACAAATGTGCCACTGCGGTTGGGGTGAGGGGCGCTATGCTTATGTAGGTGCAGGGAGTATATGGAATATCTCTTTACCTTCCCCTTAATTTTACTGCAAACCTAAAAGTGCTCTTAAAAACCTAGTAATAAAAAAGATTGTGTCAGCACCATAAGGCAGGGTGGGAAAAAAAGATAAATTTCAAAAAAAAAAAAACAAAACAAAACTGTGGCTGCCTCAGAGCCATATTCTGCATCCTCTTGAAAGATAGTTGGGGATCAAAATTTTCCCCATAGGTGAAGTCACAAGTGGCATACCTTGTAAACCTTTTTATGAGGAGGAATAAGTGTCCAAAGAACAAGTATTTTACAGGATAGCAGTCCATGACCTGGCAATGTGATCAAGGGCAAGGAAGAATATGTTTGAGAAGACAGTTGACAAGGAGGTCTGAGATAATGGCATGTGAATGGATACATGGGTAATTGTGCACATTGGGGAGATTTTTGATGGTATAAAAACCATCACCAGTCACTCTTGAATTGTGCTTTGACCACATGATTTTTCACTTCCAGGCTTTTTGGACACTGTACTGGCTATTTCTTTTCCATAGCACATTTTCTCTGTGTTTACAAATCACTCTCTCTCTGCTGTGCTTTAAATATATGCTCAAATATTATCTCCACTATAAGGACAACCCTGACTATAGAAATTTCCTATAGAAATTCTACCTACTTCACGTGTTCGTTATTACTTGGTGCTGGTATTCTGATATTTTCCATAGAATCTGTCTCTTTATAACTTAGTGTATATTTTCCAATATTTTCTTTATTATTTCCAGACCACATCTCTTAATTTGAATAAAGCCTACTTGAGAATACATTTCTTTGTAGGTTGTTCACTGCTGTAAATACAAATCTAGATGAGCCTCTGAACCAGATAAGATGTTGAGTAATGCTTTCCCTCAACTCTTTCACCTTTGTACTCTCACTCTCTTTTTACTATTTCTTTCCTTCCAAGTTTGTTATTCCTCACCATTCATATGAATGAAAAAATGTCAGACTTTGTAGAAATAAGAATTTCGGCTGGGCGCGGTGGCTCACGCCTGTAATCCCAGCACTTTGGGAGGCCGAGGCGGGCGGATCACCTGAGGTCAGGAGTTCAAAACCAGCCTGGCCAACATAGCAAAACCCCATCGCTACTAAAAATACAAAAATTAGCCAGGTGCAGTGGTGGGCGCCTGTAATCCCAGCTACTTGAGAGGCTGAGGCTGAAGAATTGTTTGAACCTGGGAGGCGGAGGTTGCAGTGAGCCGAGATCGCGCCATTGCACTCCAGCCTGGGCGACAGAGCAAGACATCTCAAAAAAAAAAAAAAAAAAAAAAAAAAAAAAATTTCATAGGAGCCAAGATTCCAGCATAACCAAGGGTTCAACTTACATGTCCCATGTCTTAGAACTGTTTCCTCTATTTACCTTTATTTGTTCCCATTTCACAGATAATTTTCTCTTTTAGGTATGATGTCATTCTAAATGGATAACTCCAGTAATTAATGTTAATAACTTTCTACAATTTTCTAACTTCAAAAATTTTTTTCAGAGATCATCTCCAATCCTCTTGGAGACACTGTCACTGCAATTACAGGTGGAAGAATAAAATGACCATCACTTCCCAGCAAGGAGATGAGGTCATGGAATCCCAAACCTTATTCTCAGAGTTCAGATGCCCATGCCAAAAACTGATGCTACTTTCCTAGTAGCAAATACCAGTTTGGTAAGTAACCACTATTTCTACATAAATGTCATATTCTTCAAAAAGTAGATTATATCTTGGAGAATCCAGTAAGAAATGTTATACAAAAAATTGTAATTTTGAGGTTTAGAATACAAATACTCAGAAGGAACATACTATGAGGGACTCAGAAGCATAGACCACCTCATGCATTTGCTTTAGTGCCCCTAGAATCTCTATTCCATATTTTCTCTTATAACGTGTCTGGATTAGCCTCCATTTCATCCCTGACCTAATACTCTGAACTTCACACAATCACTCGAAGAGTTTATTTGCCTGTGAAGTGAAGAGCAATAAGACAATTTGTTTTACTCACAACTACTGAGTGGACATTTGGCATCTCTGTAGCAATTAATTGGAAATACACACTTTTGCTTTTTTTAAAACCATGATTCCAAAATAGAATCTGTAGGGGTATTTTACTAAAGATTCTCAGACACCTGCGAGACCAAACATTCTTTCTAATTTAGTGTAAGAAAAATATTTGTAAAAAGTAGTAAGTTACAAATAGATAATCCTGAATACAAGGACTCTGAAGCTATAATTGTTAGGCAGATTTGAAAGCATGGTTTGTTTTTTTTGTTTTTGTTTTTTTGACGGAGTTTTGCTCTCGCCGCCCAGGCTGGAGTAATGGCGCAATCTCTGCTCACTGCAACCTCTGCCTCCCGGATTCAAGCAATTCTCCTGCCTAATGTTAGTATTTTTAGTAGAGATGGGGTTTCACCATGTTGGCC
This sequence comes from Homo sapiens, assembly GCF_000001405.40. Taxonomy (NCBI): domain Eukaryota; kingdom Metazoa; phylum Chordata; class Mammalia; order Primates; family Hominidae; genus Homo; species Homo sapiens. The sequence goes on along the minus strand of NC_000019.10, from coordinate 57,626,615 downwards.
AGGCTGGTCTGGAACTCCTGTCCTCAGATGATCCGCCTGCCTTGGCCTTCCGAAGGGCTGGGATTATAGGTGTGAGCCACTGCACCCAGCCACAAGCATCTTTTATAAGTATACAGTAATGTAATTATCAGTGTTTTGCTATGTCCTATGTTGAAGTAGCTCAGGTAATTTTGAATCAGCATAAGTATTTACTGTGTCATCTAGACGTCGTAAGATGGCTTATTCTGGTCACATACACTCTCTGATGAATATCTAGTTTCCTAAAGACTGTAATTTTCTTTCTTTTTTTTTTTTTTGAGGTGGAGTCTTGCTCTATCACCCAGGCTGGAGTGCAGTGGTGTGATCTCGGCTCACCACAAGCTCCGCCTCCCGGGTTCATGCCATTCTCCTGCCTCAGCCTCCCGGGTAGCTGGGACTACAGGCGCCTGCCACCACACCCGGCTAATTTTTTGTATTTTTAGTAGATATGGGGTTTCACTGTGGTAGCCATGATGGTCTCCATCTCTTGACCTCGTGATCTGCCCGCCTCAGCCTCCCAAAGTGCTGAGATTACAGGCATGAGCCACCGTGCCTGGCCTAAATAACGTAATGTTAAGTTAAATCTGAACTGTGCTCCCATAGTACCTCTGTACCAGAAAACCTTGAGCCTTTTTGAAAACTTGAAGTTTGTAAGAGGCTTAGTGTTAAGCCTAATCTTAGGATTTGCAGACTCCTAGTCTTTTTCCCCAATTAATACACTCTTTGTTAATCTCACAAGTTAATTTGGCATGCTTGTATATGGCTTAAATTTATTTCATACATTTTGATATTAAGTAATTTCATTTCTTTCCTTTTCATTAGTCTCTTATTGTGCTTCATCAACCTAATTGTTTGTTGTTCTAATAGTATTTTTTTCAATTTTTACAGTGCTATATAATTTACTGTTTTAAACAAATCTATGCATATGTGGCATATTATCCTCTCTGAATTGCTTACTCTGTAATTTAGACTGAGATCACTATTGTTAATTTTCCCAGGAACAATTTTATTCATTTTCAAATATACTAGGAACTCCATTGCTAATCTCTGTGGTAATTGCTCAATTGTCTTCCACAGCTCTTTAAACCAATCCCAAAAGGCCAGGCACAGTGGCTCATGCCTGTAATCCTGGCACTTTGGGAGGTCAAGGCAGCCGGATCACCTGAGGTCAGAAGTTCAAGACCAGCCTGACCAACATGGAGAAACCCTGTCTCTACTAAAAATACAAAATGAGCCAGGCGTGGTGGTGCATGCCTGTAATCCCAGCTACTCAGGAGGCTGAGGCAGAAGAATCGCTTGAACCCAGGAGGCAGAGGTTGCAGTGAGCTGAGATAGTGCCATGGCACTCCAGCCTGGGCAACAAGAGTGAAACCCCATCTCAAAAACAAAATCCCATTTATGATTATGAAATTCAAAATGATCAAGGCTATTAACATGTTATCCCACACACCAGAACTGTTGTCGAGTTTTCAGTTCACCAATAGGTATTTCCCCTCAAAAATTTGATGCCTTTTACTATTTTATGATTTTTTTTGAGACAGTCTCGCTTTATTGCCCAGGCTAGAGTGCAGTGGCGCAATCTTGGCTCACTGCCACCTCTGTCTCCTGGGTTCAAGCGATTCTCCTGCCTTAGCCTCCTGAGCAGCTGGGACTACAGGTGTGCGCCTCCACACTGAGCTAAAGTCTCCAATTTCATCTAAATTGTCTAAGTCCAATATGGATGAGGCTCTAGGTATAATCCCATCTTGGGGCACAATTCTTCTCTGTGTTGCTGGGGGGTTCGGGGGGGTCTCTGGACATTGTTGGTGAGATCCCAGCCCCAGCAGCATCCAGGTTCTTAACACCATTGAAAGAATTCAGTGACGAGTCACAGTGAAGCAAAGGCAAGCAGCTTTTATTGTGAAGCAAAAGTACACACAAGAGAGAAGTGTGGGAGTGCCCCTGAGAGCAAGTCATGCAAAACAAAGTTTGGGTTTCTAATTGTATGGGTGTTCCTTTAATAGGGGTAATCATTAGGTATTCTGGGAAAAGAGGGGATTTCAGGGACCCCTGATTACCACCCCTCCTCCCTTATTTGGGTTTGCCTGGAAGAGTTACAGACATGTCACCCTGACTGGGGTTCTGGCAGTTTTCTCTTTTGTTTTGGGTTTTCTGTTATCCCACGGTTTCTTTGCCTAGTTCCCGTTTTAGCTGTTGTTTGGGTTTTTCTTTTTTTTTTTCAGCTGCACCAAAACCAGGGTGTTGAGATTTTCCATCCTCCTGTGACCACCCAGTGCTATTCCTGTCTCATTTGGATCTGTAAAACTAGAAAACTAGTTATCTGCTCCCAAACAAAAGGTTGGGAAAGACCTAGGATAATAGTTATATGTATATGCATTGTTTCAAAAGGGGAGGAAATGGAAGGGGGGAAAACAAAAAAAATGGAACCACCAATCCCAAGAAAATCTGAAATCTAGTTTGGCAAATGCCACTGGGAGTCAAGACATGGGAATATCACATGGTTCAGGACTCTGCCCACTGGACTCTCCTCTGCTCTGAGTCATCCTTCCTTTCTCATGAAAGGTAGCAAGGGCTTGCACCTGTTTCCGCAGCCAGTCCCATGTATAGAATATTACAACCTTTAACTTCACACTTTACATGCCTACACCCTTTAACTTCATACTTTCAAGGTCCCTTTAGACCCAAGGTGAGCATTTCCACTGGTATAAAATTTTCAAGAATTTTGTGAGTCTCCTGTACATCACTGAAATTCACAACATTAGAAAAGAGGTTTATGCAGATTATTCCTCCTAGGGAATCCCCTATCTATATTTTTGGCTTTTGCTGAGATGAGTGATAGTTTAAACTTCTTATAAATTGTTTGTATTGAGGGGATCTACAAGTCACATTTAATCTCTTCAAAGAGCTTTTTGTGTGACAGTGTTCTGATGTATGTTTTGATCCCGGTATCAGCAAACATCCTTGGCTATCTCTCTAAAACATCTCTCTCTCTAAAACATCTATCTTTCCTAACAATGAATCTCTTAATTTCAATGGTTTGTTTTTTTTTTCCAATTAAGATGGGCTGAGAATTTCCCAAATCATCAAATCTTAGGTCTTTTCTGTTTCACAGTTCTTCCCTGTATGTATCTCTTTTCCAATATATTTTACTATAATTAGTAAGATATATGGTCACACCTTCAAAACCTCTGCTTAAAAATGTTCTCAGCTAAGTGTCCACATAAAGACTCATGCATCAATATTTGCAGCAGCTTTTTAATATTTAAAAATGGGGGTGGAGTACAGACATCAATTAAGATAAATGGATAAACTGTGGTATATCCATACAGAATATGACTCAGTAATTTTAAAATGGACTGTTCATACATACCATGGACAAATTTCAAATTATGTTGCATGAAAGACAGCATGCAAAATTAACACTTTATAGGCAGACTTACATAAAATTCTAGAAAAGACAAATTTACCTACAGTGAAAACTACTCAGTGGTTGCCTAGGGATTCTGGGGGAAGGCGAGCACTGAGAGAAAGGTTAAGGGCCTCAGGTTAACTTTGGGGGTAACAGATATGTCCAATACCACTGATAGGGTGATAGTTTCAAGTGTGTGTGTGTGTGTGTGTGTGTGTGTGTGTGTGTGTATCAAGACTTAACTCGTACACTTTAAATATGTGCAATATATTGCATGTTGATTACACCTCAGTGAACCTATAAAAAGTTATCCCATTTAAAAATCTGGATCTCCCACTTCTATTGGAAACTGGACAACTGGACATCACTAAGAGTGACTCTACCTCACTATGGTGACTCTTATCACTCCAAATATCTTGGGAAGACAATCTCTTCCTCAGTAGTAAGAAAAACTGGCAAACAATGAGGACCATTGCCAAAAGAGTCACCAGAAACTCCAGCTGGTCACAAAAGCTACTTCCTTGGACCACACCTCTTTACTCCCAGGGTTACCGCCTGTGCCGCAAAGACATTAGGTAAAGAGCCCAGGGAGGGAGAGGAATCTAGAAAAACTACATTCGTTGCTGCACCAGTGACCTTGACCTAACAGTAACATGGCCCTGGAGATCCTGAGATTTCTGGATACCCTGATCCCATTCAGCCTTAGTGCCTGGACTGTCTGTGGATGTGTTTTTACAATGGGCACTTCCCCTCTAGTTTGCCACAATCTCCCCAATCCCAATTACTCACACTCAATATTTATCAATTTTGTTTCCCTACTGGATGCTTTAGATCTTACCAACAGTGGCCTGTGAAACAGATTCAGGCCTTCAGGGAATATGGCCACTCAGCAGGTCCTGAGGAACAGCTTTCCCTCAACAGTGTTGGGGAACATGGGACACATGCTGCAAACAAGACACCCAATCCATGCTGTTTCAAAACACTGCAGGCTGTCACAGCAGCAGCACCCTCCTCAAGGTGAAATATGGGCTCTCAAATAACTCTAAAATCCAGACAAATCAGGTCTACACAAGATCTTAATTCTTACTTAACAAGCTTTGTCAGCTATGGAAGTTAACATCAAAACTGGACTAAGAACTGTTCTCCCTCAACCCACTGTCCCATTTGAGGCAAAGTTGGAGGCACCGCACAAAGGCTGTCTTCAGTTTGGCAGAGCCTGTTTTCAATCCACCCCAGACCATAAGAAGAAGCCCCAAGATTAAATGTGGCTTAAACTGTAAAGCCTTTATTATCACAAACCAGAGCAACATGAGGCAAGTACTTTCCCAGGCCAGGTGACTTGGAGGCTGGAAAAACTTGATTACAAGTATGTGAGACCAAGAATATCCATGAAGAAAGTAAACTTTTTGTATAAGCCACCAGCAGATACAGCTCAGACCCTCTTGGCTAAAAATGGGTCATATCCATACCTATACCTGTCATACAGAAGGGAATGAGGACCCCCAATGAACTCAGGCATTTCATGATTTTCTCCAGGGACTGGACAATACAAAACCCTGCCTTCCCCAATGCTGGGGTATCTTAGCTGGTAGAGTTAAGATGGTTTCGGCCACATGGATTGACAGTGACATAACTCTGGCAAAAAACCTGAGCAAGTCAGAAAGTGCAACATATCCCTAGAAGGTTCCCACGTACCTGGCACCATAAGGTATCTCCTTTGTGTCAATGTTCAGATACATGAAATTCAACATCTGATTGATGAGTCCTGTTGTATTCAAAGCACTCCTAAAGCCTGCCTGCAGTGTGAACTTTCTGGTGCCGATTGAGGTGGGAGCTTAAGCTGTAGGCCTTCCCACATTCACTGCACTCATATGGCCTTTCTCCAGTGTGAACTCTTTGGTGTCGAACAAGGTGGGAGGTTCTGATAAAGTCTTTCCCACATTTACTGCACACAAAAGGCCTTTCACCAGTGTGAACCCTCTGGTGTGCAATATAGTCAGAACTTCGACTAAAGAATTTCCCGCATTCAATGCACTCAAACGGCTTTGACTCAGTGTGAATTCGCTGATGTTTAATGAGGGTGTATTTGTGGCCAAAGGATTTCCCACAATCACTGCAATCATAAGGATTTTCTCCAGTGTGAATACTCTCATGCTGAACAAGTGTAGATTTGTGTCTGAAGACTTTCCCACAATCACTGCACTTATAAGGCCTTGCTCCATTGTGAACTCTCTGGTGTACAATTAGATTGGAGTGATGGCTAAAATATTTCCCACATTCATTGCACTTATAAGGCATTTCTCCAGTGTGGATTCTCTTGTGCTGAGTAAGGTTGTCTTTTCGACTGAAGGTTTTTCCACATTCGCTGCATTCATAAGGCCTTTCTCCAGTATGGATTCTCTGATGCTGGACAAGTGTAGCTTTGCGGCTGAAGGCTTTCCCACATTCGCTGCACTCATAAGGCTTCTCTCCACTATGAATTCTCTGGTGCTGGACAAGTGTGTCTTTGCGGCTGAAAGCTTTCCCACATTCACTGCACTTGTAATGCATTTGTTCACCATGAAATGCATCCCCACTCTCAGTGCTCCTGTGTGTCTTCCTCTTACTGTGGATGGCCTTTTGTTGGCAGCCACCCAAAGTAGCCTGGAAGTTTTTCTGCTCCTCCTTACACGTAAAGGGCTTCTCTGACGGATGAGGTTCTTTGCTAACTGTGCAGTTCTTCACAATTGAGGCCTCACTTTTATCCCTTCTTAAGGGTTGCTCTATACTGTAACACTTCTGGTACTGATGAAGGTTTGCACTGAACCAGAATTGTCTCCCACATGCCCCACATGTGTGAAGTTTCAGTCCATGGTGTGTACCCTGGTGTTCATCCAGGTGCAAAATATCTTTCAAGATGGGGCCACATATGTCACAAGGGAGAGCCGTCTGTGCGGGCAAACCTGCCTTGGAAGTATTAACATGTGACACTGCTATAGAAATGCTCTGTTCAGAAGATGACTCTTCATCCTTCACTTCATGCCAACAACCTGAAGGCAGAAAAATACTATTGATGTACATGCTGACTTTGGTGGGTGGGGCAACTACATCACAAATATGTGTCTGCTGTACCCAGGACTGAGTACCTAAGTTTCCTGGTGGAACAGAGCTAGGATCAGGTTGAAAAAAGGGCTGCTGTACAGTACTGGAATCTAAGAGTCACAGAATGGAGATGGCCTCACAAGAAACAAAGACACGAGGATGGGGTGTAGTACAAGGTCTCCAACTTAATCCTCTGCAATGACTTTTAGCAGGACCTTGGCTGACTGTGGGTGACAGGTGACTCCTATGCGAAATGTGAGTACAGGCCCAGGAAAATGTGATTAAAAATAAGTAACGTGTTCAGGGACTATTTACAGATATGCACACATCTTATGACACAATAGTGTAAGTGTAGTACAATATTGGAAAGCATCGCAGAGAGAGCTATTGCTCTACTAGAGCCCCTCTGGTAGAGAATGGGAGAAGACAGCCCTGGGTCAGAAGTCAGATTAGAAATGACAAGAGTGTACAGAATGGGGATAAAAAGGTAGAAATAAGTTAGGGCCTCTGGCCTTGGCACTTGTGATGGGCACAACATAGGTTTCCGGAACTACAGGAACCCAGCCCTGAGGTTATGGCGTCCCTCAGCTCCCACTCACCAGGGCCTGTCCAAGCCCCTCCTGCTGTGACTAGAGTCATGCCCTCTCAGGCAGCCAGAGTTCTCTCTCTTGTTACAATTCAACAACCACAGAGGATCTGGAAGATACAAAGCATAGGGGAAAGGTGAAACAGGCTGAGAGCACTAGCCAGAGTAGCCCACCCATGCAAAATTGCAAGAAAACAAATGCTACAAAATGAACCTCAGAAAATTGTCCTGCAGGAACAGTGCAGTGGGCCCACAAGTGGTGACCATGATGACTGAAATTGAGGACACAGGCAGACTCAAGGAAATTACAATTAGAGGAAGCGGGTGGAGCCTGGAGTCCAGAGGTGTCATGAGTGTGGACAGTCACCTGGCCAGGGAGAGGCCAAGCAGAATTCACTGGGTCACCTTAGGACCCCTGACCTCCAAACCCTTCCTGGCAAGGCTTCAGGGCAGCAGGAGTTGAGGAACACAGGGAAGAGAGGGGCCAATGCATCTAGCTGAGCCTAGGCACCCAGGGGACCTATGTGAGGGAATCAGAGAAGAGAGCAGTACCCATGCTCTAGCTATGGAAAGGAAAGAGCAACCCCTAGGGCAAAAAGGAAGAGTAGGACCCAGCCCAGAAAAATGGGATACTGGGGCCTTACCCAGGGAGACTATAAATGCGAAGCACAGAAGCCATTATTTCATAATAGAAGAGTCTCTGAGCCTCATCCAGCAGCTCCCATTCCTCCTAAGAGAAGTAAACAAATAAATCCTTGAAGGTCACATAGCCCTGTGTGAGGTGGACAACTGAGCTTAAGGACAGCCTCTCTCTCCAGGACTCCTTGTCACATCTAACTCAAATGAGATAACAGGCCCTGGTGTGATTGGTGCCTGTTCTCGACTCATATTCCATTAATCATTTTGTCCAGCTCAGAACAGGCAAGTGGACAGATAAAACACCATGGGCCTGGTATGTAGGACCCAACCCTTCTCCTATCAGCCAGCTCCCTGGGGATCAACAGATTATTCCTCATACACAAACCTGAGCTAAGCATTCTTTCAGAAACCCTCCATACCAAAGCTCTGGGCTCATGAATTCACACTCCATCTCCATGTGCACATCACCCTTTTGGCTATACCTCCTTTACATCTATGGACACCCACAACACTGGTACCTCCATGGCTTCCCCACATGCAAATCTGCACACAGCATCCAGAGAATGCTTGGATAATGCATCCAGGATTACATCTGGTCCTGATCAACGGCCACACTGCCATGGGTTGCCCTGAATCCACCTATTAAATCTTCCCCTCCTGGCTCTATTTCATGGGTCAATTCAGCAATCCAGAACCATGTGCAGATCCCAGATAAACTCAGCCCTTTTCTGCTTTGTTGTTGTACTACTGAGGTCAGTCACAGGCTTCTCAACATTTAACTCATTCAAAACCTACACTCACTGGGCACCTACCCCAAGCACAGGGATTCTGCCTACTGACCCAATCTGTCCCTGGGCTAATTCACTAGCTTGACTGAAACTCCACAGGTCCCACCAAAGGTCACCATGGAAGCCTGAGGAGCACATAAAGAGCTGAATAAGCACTGGCTCTGGCCTCACTGCCACCTCACTTCTATTACTACAGTACTTCACCTCACATCCACTCTCTGCCTGGAACGCTTTGCCACCTGCCTGACCCTATTATTCCCCTTCCTCCCAGGGACATTTCCCTCCCTCTTCTAGACTCTAAGATGGCCCCTACCTCTACCCTGCTGTGTCTGCCCTTACAGTGTGCTGATGGCACTGTCACCATGACCTAAAGATTCTCTCTCTAAATTGGAAGCAAAGCTCCATCCTGATCCACATGCTGGCTGCCACCCTGTGGATAGCTCCAACCTGAATCCCTTCTCTGAACTTCAGATCTCTGTGTCCAGCTGTCTACTTGACACCTCCACTCAAGTGTCTTTGGAACATGGTAGATTCCACATAGCCAAACTGCACTCCTGATATTACCTCTGAAAGGTACTCCTACCACCAACTTTGTCACTTCAGTTGATGGCATCTTTATATCTTCTCAGACTAAAAAATCCAGGGTCTTCCTTCACCCCTTGCCTTTTCTTTCTCATCTTCCACATCAGAAAATCTGGTTGGTCCCACTTTAAGAAAAATGATTCAGAATCCATCCACATCTCCCACCTCTACAGCGACCACTCTGGTCCAACCTGAACTGTTGCATTAAGCTCCTCAGTGGTATTCCTTCCTTCATCCTCACTCCCACAGTCTTTTTTCACTGTACAGAGGAAGTTGGTTAAGACCAAAGTCAGATCACTCCCTCCTAGCTCCAAACCTGCAGTGGCTCCCAATTCTCTCAGCATACAAACCCAGATCCTCAGGCTGCCATTTCTGGGCTGAATCCTGTCCCTGCTGTCTGATCCCACCAGACATAATGGAGGCCTGAGGTTCCCTGAACACTCCTAGTTTAGCCTTAAGTTAAGTATTTGCACATGCTGGTTCCTATGCCTGAGATAATGTTCCACATTTCATCCCATTGCTTGCCAGAAATAGAAACCCTTCCACATAATTCCAAAACAGAATTTACAACACAGAGCTTTGGGTGACTGCAGGACCTCCAAGAACGGTAGGCAGAAGGGACACTGAAGAGTCCCAGAACACTATCATTCTCCACACTGAGTTGCTGAGATAATGGGGGTGTGTTGGGCTAAGTGAGGGCCTGAGACAATCTACTCTCATCTAGGTAGGAATCATAAGTTTCTGCCACCATGGCAACCTCACAAGAGGAGGGAAGCTGGGAGTGGCAGGTTCCCACAGTGGGATCTCATCGACTGAACTGTTTCCCTAAGCCCTGCCTACCCTGCCCTTTGGCAGGAATGATTTTGGGTTACCTCTCTAACTTCAGATACTCAGATCTCAGTGCTGGCTCCCACCAGCTGTGTGAACATAAAGACCAGCGTCTGAGTGTCCTCATCTTAAAAGTGGGGATAATAATGGCACCCACCTCATAGGGCTACTGTTTGTATCAGGCTTGTCTGTACATCTCAAGTGCCTTTGAAACAGCTACTACTATCCATGCAAATGAACTGATGAGTTTTTGAAAAATTAGGTTTGTTTTGCCTGCTTTAAAGCTTTTAAGAAAATTTGGTTAAGATTTTTCCATTGTAATAAAATACTTCAAGGCAACTTAATATTTTGACCAATCATTAAGTGCTAGTATAAATTTCCCTTACTTTGTACATACATTTTTTAGTTCCTTCTGCGTACTTGCAAGGTGTACACTAGCCCTTGCACTAAACCAGCCTACCTGATACATATTCCTCTGAAGGGGAGCTGCAGTGATCCTTCATTAGAGATGTTCATCAATTCTGCTTACCTGAGGGTTTGGGTAACTGAGGCACCAATGCACTGGTTGGGGATGGGACTGCTCCACAGGCAGCGCCCATGAAGGCATGCTGAGCCTGTAGGGTGGCAAACCTACTGCATCCCTCACCTTGGTCTCCAGTGCAGGCCAGGCTACTTATGCTCTACAGCCCTCTCCTCTTGCTGACACTATAAGATATAATAAAATTCCTCTTCAAAGGTTTAGCCTGTTAACTTCCTTGTTCTTTGTTCTCAAACCTTTCTTGTTCTCCATGCCTCCTTGCCCCTAGTTACTATAAACAACCTTCCTGTAAGCACTAACCAATAATTCACATCTGTTCCCTTACTCACTTTGCACCCATTGCCCCCGCCAAAACCACACGTCCTACACAACTCACATGTCCCACCACTGTAACTCACCTTCCCCTTCCCTCTTCCTTATTTGGAAAATACTCACAAATACCCAATTGGCTCAGCTTAGATTAAGCGGTCCGACCCCAGCCCATGGGGGAGTGACACAGAGGAAGGTAGGGACTATGGGTTAGAGATAAAAACCCCTTCCCTCCTTTGTTCAGTGTGCTCTTGGGATCGTGATTAACACAGGCAGCACACTTGCACAGAAGTAAATTGCCTTGCTGAGAAAACTTTTGCCTGAGTGCTGGTTTCACTTTGCAGCACCAAGCATTGACTTCCAACAACACCATCTAGAATGCTTTCACATGCCAGGACCCCTCCTTTCTGGAAGGAATCTTAAGTGTCCACCCCTTCATCCCTGGCCTTCCACCCTAAACCCACCTCTCACTTCAGAGACCACACAAAATAACTTCCTTGAAATTCCACCCTCTAAATCTGATCTACTACAGGCTTTGACCTTATGCCTCACCCATTGAAGTCTCTAGCACAACTCCCTCTCTAGAACCCCAGACCTGCATGTTCAGCTACCCGTGATGAACCTCCAGTGCAGAACACCTTAGATTCACCAAGTCCAAAACCCAATTCCTGATGCCCCTGAAACGTGCTCCCTGCTGTGACTTACCAATTTCCATTCTTTCACACGTTCAGGAAGGAAAACAGGCCAAAAAAACCCTGGATAGCCCTTTCCTCCCTACATTCACTCACGACCACATCTGATGCGGCAGGAAACCCCATTGGTTCCATCTTTAAAAATCTACCCAGAATCTCATGACTTCCCCACCCAACCCCTCCTGCCACTGCTCTGGCCCAGCCACCACCGCAACACTTCTGGAGTTTGTTGCAGGGACCTCCTCAAACGTCTCCTTGCCTCCATCCTCATCGTTTCTACCTCACTGTAGTCGGTTTCCTCCTCAGCAAACATTGGAATACTTTAAAAATCCTTTTTCGGATCCCTTCCCTCCACCATTCAAAACCCGCCATGGCTCCTATCGTCCTCGCAATGAAGGAGCAACTTCTCCCCTCGACATTGCAGGCCTGACTACGGTTCACACACGCTCCCGACTGCTACGGGCTCAGTCCAGCTCCAAACCTATGCTCAGGCTGCCCCTCTGCCAGTCACACTCGCCCCCACCCACCAGCGCCCCGCTGCCTTGGACACTGGGGCCTGCGCTGCAGGGACTCAGACAGGCGCTCCTCATTTGGAACTTCAGGATTTGGGGCGGGCGAAAGTCTGGGAAAGGCAGCACCCACCTGCGCCGGGCCCATCACCGCGGCCGCCGCCATCACAGTTCGTAGACCACCCGGAGCCGCGAGGGGGTCCCAGGTCGCGGGACCCTGGCACCGCGGTCGTCCGTCCCCGGGGGCGCAGGCGGGGTCTTCGCTGGCGAGCCACTCCGCAGAGCGAACAGCGACTTCTCCCGCACCCTCCCGCTTCCGTCACCTCGGAACCGCCCAGCAACCCCGAGCTTCTGCTCCGATGGTTCCACCTAAGAGCCGACAAGATGTCCACCGCGAGGAAGATACCGGAAGTCCCGCCCAGAGAGCTTCCGTCCGCAGGGAGACGCCCCTAAGAGTGCCGCCGCCGGGCGGCGCACAGGTTTCTGGGCAATGCAGTTCTCATGTGCACTTGGCCGTGGTGACGGCTAACTCCCCTGCACGCTGGGCAAAGGCCAAATGGTACTGCGAGGGGCGCTGAGAAATTATGCCCTGAGACTCTGAGGTCAGGGCGTGGCTTCGCTCCTTTTAAAGGACCCTCAACCAGGTCTTGTGTAGTGAGGTCTGCAGGGATCCCCGAAATATTGGGATATATTCTTACAGATGTTCCCTGAAGCCACACCACCAAATGGACACACAACATCCAATGTCACTCTGAGTCCACTCATAGTTCAGTCAAATTTCCTTCATTTAAAAAATATGTGTACTGTAGAGGGAAGCTTTGAGTCAGTTTTGTGAGCCTCAGTTGGGTCAGAGTTAACAGAGAATTGTCCCCAGGCAGGGCCATGGAGTGGAAGAATGGTCTCCAGACAGTGGCTATGGAGGGATGCTGGAGCTCCCTGAGGCAAGTGGACTAATATAGAGCTCTTCCTCTGGTTTCCTCAGAAAAAAAATACCTGAGAGAACCATGAGGAGGAAGACAGGCGAGAGAAGGTGGTCAAGGAAGGCACCTTTCCTGCCTGTATGGTCACTAATGTCCAACCAAAGGAGAAATATTCTTTTATCCAAATGAGAGTTCCTAGCCCAAAAGTTGAGATATATCTATTTCCTTTTGGTGATGTTTCTTATCTGAAAAGAAGAACCATTATAAATGCTTTTATATGCCAAGACAGGGGCTGAAAATGTGGTGTCTGAACCCAGAAATAAAGATTTGGAAAATTGGGATCAGATTTCTTGGCTGGGAGGTGATTCTCATTTCACCTGCAATTACACCGACAGTGTCTGAATTGAGAATTGAGATTTATTTATGGTTTTAAAAAAGAAAAGGGCGAGTGTATGGGGAAAGAAAGACAAAAACATTTGTGAATTGTTTAAATTACTCAAAAGTTGTTTTGTGTTTTTTTTTTTTGAGACGGAGTCTTGCTCAGTCGCCCAGGCTGGAGTGCAGTGGTGCGACCATAGCTCACTGCAGGCTCCGCCTCCCAGGTTCACACTATTCTCCTGCCTCAGCCTCCGGAGTAGCTGGGATTACAGGCGCCTGCCACCATGCCCGGCTAACTTTTTGTATTTTTAGTAGAGATGGGGTTTCACCGTGTTAGCCAGGATGGTCTCGATCTCCTGACCTCGTGATCTGCCCGCCTCAGCCTCCCAAAGTGCTGGGATTACAGGAGAGCCCCCGCGCCCGGCCAAATTACTCAAAGTTAATAATTCTGTAGTTATTCACAGATACATGACGAAATGGACCTGGAGAAACATATCTGTGATAAGTGAAAACGGTTAAGATGACAGCAAAATTTGAGCAGGAGACATTGAATTCTGAGAAGTGAGCAAATGAAGCTGAGCACACAGCTGTGTTAGAACTATGACTACAAGCAGCGTTTAGTCTCCAAAATGTAATTTTATTTATTTATTTAATTTTGGAGACAGGATCTCACTGTGTTGCACAGGCTGGAGTGTAGTGGCACGATCATAGCTTGCTGCAGCCTCAAACTCTTGGGCTCAAGGGATCCTCCCACCTCAGCCTCCCAAAAAGTTGGGATTACAGATGTGAGCCACCATGCCAGGCCTCTTTTCATTCTTGAAAACACTCAATAATACCTGGAAGGAGAAGTAAAGAAAACATTTAGAAAGTGCTATCAGAATATTAAGGTGAACAGGGATGCTGTAGTATTATGCTTATTCATAGTTCTAAGAAATATTCAAGGAACACCTACTGTATTTCAGACACTATCTTAACTGCATGGGACATTTACAAAACAAGAGACAGACCCCAATAGCTTACGCTGTACTCAAGAAAGAGGAGGAAATATGAAAAAAATGCTAAATTATATGGAATGTTAGAATGTGGCAGGCATAATGGAGAAAAGAGAAGGTGAAGGCATTGAGAAGTGCTGGAAAGATATGTAATATTACATAGCCAAGAGAGGCCAATTTGTGGATGGGTCTTTATTGGAAAAGGACATGGAGAGCTCAATGCCAGTGAAATAAAAGTTTAATGTTACTCAGAATTTCCCTAGAAATGGGAAGTACAGTATGCCATGCAGGGCCACAGGAGGAACAGGTTTCAGTCTAAAGGAAGAAGCAAGAGCTAGGGGAAAGCCTAGGCCAGATCAGAGCAAACAGCTGAGTACTGGCTAGTCTGAATAATTCTGGTTGGCTTCGATTTACAGGGGTGGTCTCTAGTTGCCTCATACCCTCACCCTGGTGTTAGAGTAGGTAGATAAGAGTAGGGCAGGAGAGAGGGACCCCAGGAATGTCAGGCAATTTTGGAGTCAAGGACAGGCAATCATAAATCTTTTCCTCTGAGATAATAAACAAAACAAGAGAGGGACCCCCGAGATGTCCAGCTCTCATTGGGTGAAGGACAGGAAAGCATAAAACTATCCCTCTGAGATGATAAGTGGCCATGATTGGTACCAGGAGGGAAAAGAGTTTTCCAACAGATAGAAAACACCTGGAGCCAGTGAACCACAACCCCTGATAAGGTTTCGAGCATGCACAAAATGGGGCAAGATGGCAAAATTTGACTGGTATTTGACCTTCCTCTGGGGGTGCATGACTTGTTAAGGGAAGATCACCCCAAATGAGTATATGTATGACTTCAGTAAACAAACTGCATGCGGCCCCTCCCAAGTACTGGCAGACCACTGTGCATGCAGTAGTCAAGCAACAGCCTACCGAAGGAAGGAGAATAAAGAGCCTGGGAAATAAGCAAATGTATAAAGTCCCAAGCCAAGGATCAAGTGGGGCACTTGACCTCTCAAGTTATCCACTTGGCCCTTTTCCAAGTGTACTTTGATTCCTTTCACTCCTACTCTAAAACATTTTAATAAACTCTCACTCCTGCTAAAAAAAACTTGCCTTGGTCTCTTCCTGTGCCTTAAGCCAACCTCTGCCTCCTCGGTTGAATTTTCTTCTGAGGAGGCAAGGACCAAAATTGCTGCAGACTGCTGCAAAATCACTGGCAGTAACGCTGGGATGATTTAGTGCAGGGAAAGTATTGGCTTGGTGAGTAAGAGTTAGATAAAGAGGGTAGTTGGCTTGCCTTGCTCTCAAGGTAGTTGTTTACTATTTTTAGAAATTAGCTACCTCTGGTAGGGTAAGTCTCTCTGTCACCAGCAAGAATTTTAAGATGTCAAGACATATAATACAAAAAACAGAAACCATGATTAATACATATGCTTCCTTAATGAGAGGGTGGTTGAAAAAAAAGGTTGAGGAATGACAGCCCTGAACAGACCATTTCACAATTATAAACATAAAAATATTCACTTAATATGTGTGTTCTTGGAAATTATAAGATGTGCACAATGAATTTGGGGGCTACTGATTCAGGCAAGGTTTTAAGCTCAGAATTTTGTCCAAAACGGTCACCTTGTTACTTTTCTGGCCTTCAGGGAATATGGCCACTCAGCAGGTCCTGAGGAACAGCTGTTCCTCCCTGTTTCCTGAGGAACAGTGTTGGGGAACATGGGACATATGCTGGAAACAAGACACCCAATCCATGCTGTTTCAAAACACTGCAGGCTGTCAAGTTGTCCAGTTTCCAATAGAAGTGGGAGGCCCAGATTTTTAAATGGAATAACTTTTTATAGGTTCATTGAGGTGTAATCAACATGCAATGTACTGCACATATTAAAACAGTAAGTATACACACACACACACACACACACACACACACACACACATATGTACACTTTTGAAATCATCACCCTATCAATGGTGTTGGACATATCTGTCACCTCCAAAGTTAACCTCAGGCCCTTACCTAAGGGGAAGTTTTATAAATAAAAGCACAAAAAAATACACACTTTATGATGTCTAAAATAAAATTCCAGAAAATTCAAGTCAATCAATTGTAAAGGAATGTTAAAAGTTGCCTGCATATTCTGGAATGTATTATAAAAGAGCAAAAGTAAAATATGCAGGTGAGATATGCTCATTCTTATGATTACAACAATGCTTCCATGGGTTTACATTTATGTCAGAACTTATCAAGTTGTACACTTTAAATATATATAATTTATTCCACATCAATTATAACTTGATTTTTTTTTAATGGATGCAATAACAATCTTGGTCATTGACACTTCAAAAAGTCTGGTTTACTAAGTCTCTATTGACTCTACCATCTAGCTCCCCAGGCCACGTAGAGGCAGACCTGCTTCAGTGGCAGGAAATACAGGTGAGCAATGAAGGCCATTTCCATCAGCGTTAAGAGGATTGCTACTGGATCACAAAAGCCGCACCAAGGACAACCGAATCTCTCTTGACTTCATCCTTTTTTTTTTTTGTCTGTGCAGCAATGGCCTTGAAGTAAACAGGCCAGAGAGGCTACAGGAATCCACAAAACCCTTGTTGTCTCTAGTAATAACTTGAGCTACAAGACACACATTTCTAGAGATTTCTGCACACAGTGATCTTGCAGTCATAGTCACTGGAACATTTGTGGATACTTTTTTTTTGAGACAGAGTTTCGCTGTTGTTGCCCAGGCCGAAGTGCAATGGTGCGATCTCGGCTCACCTCCCAGGTTCAAGAGATTCTTCTGCCTGTCTCCTGAGTAGCTAGGATTACTGGTGCCTGCCACCACACCCAGCTTTTACTTTTACTTTTTACTTTTACAATTTTTGTACTTTTAGTAGAGACAGGGTTTCGCCATGTTGACCAGGCTGGTCTCGAACTCCTGACCTTGGGTTATCCACCCACCTCGGCCTCCTAAAGTGCTGGGATTACAGGCGTGAGCCACCACGCCCAGCCTTTTTTTTTTTGGAAACAGAGTCTCACTCCATCACCCGGGCTGGAGTGCAGTGGTGTGGTCTCAGCTCACTGCAACCTCCACTTCCGGGTTCAAGCTATTCTTGGTGCGTCAGCCTTCAGAGCAGCTGGGATTATAGACGTGCACCACTGCACCTGGTTAATTTTTGTATTTTCAGTAGAGATGGGGTTTCACCATGTTGGCCAGTCTGGTCTCTGACTCCTGACCTCAAGTGATCTGCACGCCATGGCCTCGGAAAGTGTAGGGATTACACGCATGAGCCACTGTGACTGGCCTGAATGGATCTTTTTTTTTTTTTTTTTGAGACGCAGTCTCGCTCTGTCACCCAGGCTGGAGTGCAGTGGTGTGATCTGAGCTCACTGCAACCTCTGCCTCCCAAGTTCAAGCAATTATCTGCCTCAGCCTTCCAGGGTTTCACCACCTTGGCCAGGCTGTTATTGAACTCCCGACCTTGTGATCCACCCACCTCAGCCTCCCAAAGTGCTAGGATTAAAGGTGTGAGCCACTGCGCCCGGCCGGATGAAACTTTATATGAGGAACAGTCCATCTAATTTGCTGCAGTCTCCTCCATTCCCTATTATTCAACCCAGCGTTTCTTTACCAATTATGTTTCGCTCCAGCCCCATGGTTTTATAGCTAGGGACACTAGCTCACTGAATTCTGTGTTTCAAGGGACACAGCTCCTTCACAGGACCTCATTAAGGGATTCTAAACATTGCAGGGCATTATGTGATATCCTCACTCAACAAGAAAAACTTTGTGTTGTCTCCAGAAACAATGGAAGTTGCCACAACTGCCCCCTCTGCAGAATGACCTCTGAGCCCACATGCAGGCAAAAATCAGAGCCAGAAAGCCCTGCAGTGTCTCCTAGAAGGCCTTGGAAACAATGCGAAATAGGCCAAAAATGGAGCAAAATCTATATTCTGTGAGCATACTGTCCCCTCTGAGGCAAACAAAATTTGAATCCCCACAAATGTTATATACCCTTTTAAGCTGACAGAGTCCTATTATGTTTCCAAACTACTCAACAATTAATACAACTTACAAGATTAAAGGTACTTAAACAAAAGGCCTTTATCATTGCACAAGCCAGTTAACAGGCAGTTCCTGGTAAGTGGTGGAAGCTAAAAAATGCTTCATCACAAGCATCGCCTGAGATCAACAATGTCCTCAAAAAAGGCAATCCTCTGGAAGCTGCCAGCAGAACTCAGATCAGGTCCTGGGGCCAACACTGGGGTAGTTATATGCACTATGTAGCCACAGGAGGAAATGAGAAACCCCCCTAAGAGCTTAGACTACTCGTGCTTTCCTCCAACTAATGGAAGAACTCTGCCTCCCTGAGCATGTTGGGGTGGTGACTGATGCACACTCTGTGGGTCTCCCAGCGGGTAGTGATGAAAAGGCTTCAGCCGCAGAAACTGGCAGTGACACGAATCTGGTAAGGTCCCTGGGCAGGTTTAGAGAGTACAACATAGCTACACATGCTTCCCACATACCTCAAATTTATGGGAAATCCATGGATGTTTGGATACATGAGTCACATCAGAGAAGGCTCTTCTCAAAGGCTAGCCTCCAGTGCCGTCATACCAAGTTAAAACAAACTAACAAGCAAAAACACATTCACAGCATATATAAGGCCTTTCTTCTTTGGGAAATCTTGTGTTAAATGTCACAACACAAGCCGGACATGGTGGCTCACGCCTGTAATCCCAGCACTTTGGTAGGCTGAAGCAGGTGGATTACCTGAGGTCAGGAGTTCAACACCAGCCTGACCAACATGGTGAAACCTTGTTTCTATTAAAAATACAAAAATTAGCTGGGCATGGTGGTGGGTGCCTGTAATCTCAGGTACTCAGGAGGCTGTGGCAGGAGAATCACTTGATCCCAGGAGGCGGAGGTTGCAGTGAGCTGAGATTGCACAATTGCACTCCAGCCTGGGTGACGAGCAAAATTCCATCTCAAAAAAAAAAAAAAAAGTGACAAAATAATTTCCCACATTCACTGCACATGAACTCTTCTGTGTCTTAAGAGGCCAGAGCTTTGGCTAAAGGATTTTCCACATTCACTGCATTCATAAGGCCTTTCTCCAGTGTGAACTGTCTTGTGTTGAATGAGGTGATTTTTGCGGGTAAAAGATTTCCCACATTCTCTGCACTCATAAGGCCTTTCTCCAGTGTGAACTCTCCTATGCTGAAGGAGGGCAGAGCTTTGGCTATAGGATTTCCCACATTCATCGCACTCATAAGGCCTTTCATTAGTGTGAACAGTCTGGTGTCGAATGAGGTGGGTTTTTCGGATAAAAGATTTCCCACATACACTGCACTCATAAGGCCTTTCTCCAGTGTGAACTGTCTGGTGTCGAATGAGGTCAGTTTTGCAACTAAATGATTTTTCACATTCACTGCACTCATAAGGCTTTGTTTTAGTGTGAGCTCTTCTGTGTCGAAAGAGGCCAGAGCTTTGGCTAAAAACTTTCCCACATTCACTGCACTCATAAGGCCTTTCTCCAGTGTGAACTCTTTGGTGTTGAATGAGGACAGATTTCTGGCCAAATGATTTCCCACATTCACTGCACACATAAGGTCTTTCTCCAGTGTGAAATCTTTGGTGGTGAATAAGGTAGATATTGCAACTAAATGCTTTCCCACATTCACTACACTCATAAGGCCTTACTCCAGTGTGAACTCTCCAGTGTCGAAAGAGGTTAGTGCTATGGCTAAAGGATTTTCCACATTCACTGCACTCATAAGGCCTTGTGCTAGTGTGGGCACTCCTGTGACGATAGAGGTTAGTGCTGTGGCTAAAAGATTTCCCACATTCACTGCACTCATAAGGCCTTTCTCCAGTGTGAACTCGTTGATGTTGAATGAGGACAGATACCTGGCGAAAGGATTTGCCACATTCACTGCAGTCATAAGGCCTTTCTCCAGTGTGAACTCTTTGGTGTTGAGTTAGGTGAGTTTTGCGACTAAATGATTTCCCACATTCACTACATTCATGAGTCCTTGTTCTACCGTGTGCTTTCCTGTGTCGAAGAAAGCCAGAACTTTGACTAAAGGATTTCCCACATTCACTGCACTTGTAAGGCCTTTCTCCAGAGTCAGCTCTTTGGTGTTGAATGAATACAGATTTCTCTCTAAAAGATTTCCTGGATTCAGTGTATTTGAGAGGCTTTCGTCCAGTGGGAACTCTCAAGTGTCTAATCCTGCTGTGTGGTCTCTCAATGGTGGGAGTCACCTGATGCTGGAGAAGTCCTGAGGTGGCTGAAAAGTCCCTCCCGACTTCCCCAAACGTGAAGGGTTTTCCTGACACATGGAACCTGCAGTTCATCATAAATGAGGCCTGGTCCCCATCCACTTTAAAGAGCTTCTCTCCATTATCAAGCTTCTGGAGCTGGTGAAGGTTTGAACTCATCCAGAAATCTCTTGATGCTCCACCCAAGTACAATTTCTGTCCACAGGGTGAGGCATGGAGCTCAATCATTTGTAAAATGTCTCTCAGGACTGGGGTACAAATCTCACAGGGGTGACTCTTATCAGTGGATGTATCTGCCTTTGGAGTCCTGCCCTGTGACAGTTCTTCCACAGAAACGCTCTCTGCAGAAGGCGTCCCCTCATCTACTGCTCCACACCAGCAACCTGAAAGAAGAGAAATGCTGAGAAAACACAGATTTACTATGGTGTGAGAAGTTACATCAAAAATGTGTGTCAAAGAATGAGTCTAAGAAAATGTTTTTAGGATATGAGAGCTGGTGGAAATTTGTGGAAAAAAGCCTCTACAAGTCACAGAACAAGGGAGGCCTTATGAGATGAAAGACACAAAGATGGGGCACAACTCAGAGAGAACAGGTAGGGTCTCTGACTCACTATTCTGCCAAAAGCTTTTATCAGGACTTCCTCCCCTGATGAGAAGAGAGGACTTCGGTACACTGCACAGAAGATTATTGGTGTCCAGGCCCAGTAGACACCCATGGGAACTGAATACTAGGTGTGGAAGGACTATTTAAAAACATGTGCACATCTGACAACATATTACATGTGGGTCAGTGTTAGAGAACACTCTAGAAGTTGCACTGGAAAGGAACAGGTGACACATGGAGGCCAGAAATTGGTAGCAGCTAAGGGCTGGAAGTCATGGATGAAATAAAAATCAGAACATGTGTAGAAAAGAAAAAAAAGAGAGAAATGATATATGTCCTATGGAATCAGCACCCAATCACTGAGAACTCAGGACAGGTTTATGGTGTGATTAGAAACAGCCCTAGTGTCTTGCCCTCCCTTAGTTGTCACTCATTAGGGCCAGGCCTCCTCTGAGACTATCTTGCTGTTTGCACCCTGTAAAGCAACCAGAGCCATCCTCGAATCCCAGTTGTGCAACTATACCAGACCTATAAGATGTATGCCCTAAAGGGAAGACCAGAGAGGTGCACAGCCAGCACTGGCACAGAGCAACTCAGCACATGACAAACTACAGCAGTGAAAAATAATGTTACAAGAAAATCTTTCAGGTGGATCTTTATGAAAAGCCTATGGACCAGTTAAGTAGTTAACATGATGATACCTGCAATTCCTGAAACAGGCAGCTTGAGATTTTAGTTAGAAGCAAAAGGCAGAACATGGAACAAAGAGCATCCTAGAACTGGAGAAAGCCATCCTGTCATGGAGAAGGCAAGGACAAATCCTTTAGGTTGAAAGAAAGATCCTGTCTCCCAGACCCTTCACTGCATACCTAGAGGAAACAGGTGTTAGGACAGTCTGAGAGTGCCTTGCTTGGCGATGTCCCTCAGAATACATATGCCAAGAAAGTGGGAAGGTCTGTAGAGCTCAGGGTCTAACTGAAGAAAGGACAGAGCTGCCTCAGGGACAGGGGAAAAGGAGAGACCCACAAAGGAAACTGGGAGGAATAGGAGGGCCTTACCTAGGGATGCCATAACTGCAAAGTTCTCCAGCATCACATCGCGGTACAGGAGCCTCTGCATCTCATCAAGGAGCTCCCACTCCTCCTGGGAGAAGTAAATGGCCACATCCTCAAAGGCTACAAAAACCTGCTATGATGGGGACAGTTCATTCCATGGTCAGCATCTTTCCTAGGACCCCAAGTTGATTCCCCCAAACATCCATCCCTGGCTCACCCTCCTCCCCATCTCCCCACCTCAGCGAATACAACAGGCCCTGATGCCACTGATGCCTACTCTCTCATGGTCTCATTGGTCACTGTGTTCTCCCACAGCAACAACAGGCAGGTGGACAGATAGAAACCACATTCTTGTGTCTATAAATTCTCCTGGAATCCCTCAGACCATGGCTCCCAAACACAACTGAAGGTCTGGGTTCACATTTCACCCTCATGTCCTCAATGTCCAGACTCATGAAACAAAAGCTCACACTCCGTCTTCATATGTGCATCACTCTTTCCACCACACCTCTCTTACCCAACTCACTCCCTCAGCCACCTCCACCCCGATCCCACAACACAGGCATCTCTCCTGCCTTCCTATATGTTACTCAGCACAAGACATCTAGAAAGTGCTTGCAAATTCAAACAAGTTCCAGGACTACCCAGACCTATGATGGTCCCTACTGCCACAGGCAGCCCCATATCCTGCTCTGAAGCCCTTCCTACCTGAGTCTACTCCTTTCATCAACCTCAGCCACCCAGAACCACATACATATCTCAGATACACATGGCCCTTTCCAACTTGTACTGCACTAAACAGTAACTGCACTAAACAGTAACAGTAACAGTAACTGTCTTGCTACCCTTCATTCAAAACCTTGCCTGGTGGCCCTCCACCCAAGGTTAAGTGATGCTCCCAGATGACTACTTCTGCCCCTAAACTGATCCACCAGCCTGCATGAAACTCCCTAGGCATAGGAGCCAGTCATAAGATCCTGGTGAGGCTATATAGCAGTAAAGCATTAGGTCTGGCTTCAGCCTCATCTTGTCTGAAATCCCATTATGTCTCTAATATGGTTTGGCTGTGTCTCCACCCAAATCTCATCTTGAATTGTAACTCCCACAATTCCCATGTGTCATGGGAGGGATCCAGTAGGAGGTACCTGAATCATGGGGGTGGGTCTTTCTTGTGCTGTTCTCGCAATAGTGAATAAGTCTCACGAGAACTGATGGTTTTAAGGCTGGTTGCAGTGGCTCACGCCTCTAATCCCAGCACTTTGGGAGGCCAAGGCGGGTGGATCACTTGATCAGGAGCTTGAGACCAGCCTGGCCAATGTGGTGAAACCCCGTCTCTACTAAAAATACGAAAATTAGCTGGGTGTGGTGGTGGATGCCTGTAATCCCAGCTACTTGGGAGGCTGAGACAGGAGAATCCCTTGAGTCTGGGAGGTGGAGGCTGTAGGGAGCTGAGATCTCACCACTGCCCTCCAGCCTGGGGAACAGAGCAAGACTCCATCTCAAAAAAAGAAGAACTGATGGTTTTAAAAAGAGGAGTTCCCCTGCACAAACTCTCTTTTTGCCTGCTGCCATCCATGTAAGATGTGACTTGCTCTTCCTTGCCTTCCACCATGATTGTGAGGCCTCCCCAGCCATGTGGAACTGCAAGTCCATTAACCCTCTTTTTCTTCCCAGTCTCAGGTATGTCTTTATCAGCAGCACGAAAATGGACTAATGCAGCCTCCACATCCATCTTATATTCACTCATCCTTCATAACCCTTGGCCACCTGCCTGGTATCCTCTCTCTGTATTATTCCTAGGGCTGCTTCCCTCTATAACCTGTATTTGTGATTTCCACAACATCCATCCAGATACCCAAGTATGGTACCCTCTTGTGGCTCCCACCCTTCCCCTTCCTGGCCTGCTATTAATATTATCATCATGACCAGGAATCCCACTACTAAATGGGATCTATGATGTTATGGGCTTAATGTTTCTGCCCCACGCCCACCCACAAAATGCTTACATTGAAGCACTAACACAATGAAGCCTAATATAATGTGATAGTATTTGGAGATGGAATCTTTGGGTGGTAATTAGATTTAGATAAGGTCAAAAGAGTGGGGCCCTCATGATGGAATTAATGCTTTTGTAAGAATAGAAAGAAAGAGATTCCTTGCTTTCTTTACATACTCCCTCCCAGGAAAGGCCATGTGAGGAAAAAGCAAGAGGGCAGCCACTGCAAGTCAAGAAGCAGCCCATCACAAATAAGTGAATCTAGAGGCACCCTGATGTAGAATTTCCTAGCCTGCAGAACTGTGAGAAACAAATTTTTGTTGTTTAAGCCACCAATATAGGTTATTTCATTATCAACCCAAGGTAAGACACTGATATAGCCTGGATATTTGTCCCCTTCAAATCTCACCTGGAAATGTGATCCCCAATGTTGGAAGTGGGGCCTAGTGGGAGGTTATCTGGGTCATGGAGGTGGATCCCTCATGAATGGCATAGTATCCTTCCAACAGTAATAAGTTCACATGAGACCTGGTTGCTAAAAAGAGACTGGTGCCTCCCTCCTGCCTTGCTGGCTCCCTTTTTGCCTTCTGCAATGATTGGAAGCTTCCTGAGGCCCTCACCAGAAGTGGAGACTAGCGCTAAGCTTCCTGTACAGCCTGCAGAACTATAAGCTGTAATAAACCTTGTTTCTTTATAAACTACCCAGCCTTAGGTATTTCTTTATAGTAATGCAAATGGCCTAACAGACATAGGGCTCCATCCTAGTTCAATAATATCCTCCACTCTTTGTAGAAGTCTCTATCCTGCACCCTTCCTCAGAGTCCAAGACCTGTGTGTCCACCTAGCCACTTGATATAGCTACTTACTTATTCTCTAAAACATCTCATATTTTTAACATGGACAAAACACATTCCTGATGTCCTGAGTGAAAAACAATTCTACTATCTACTTGGCTCTCCCAGTAGATGGAGCTTCTATGCTTCCAGCTACTAAACTCAAAAAGCCTTGAGTCACCCCTTCTTATCTCTCAGTCCCAATACCAGAAAATCAGAGCCGACCTACAATCCAAAATTCAACCATTTCTGCCACACTGTGGCCACTACTCTGGCCCACATCATCTACACTCACCTGGACTATTGCAGTAGTCTCCTCTTTCCTCTTTGGTATTGCTACCAACTCCCTTAAACCCACAGTCTGTTGTCTGTGCTCAGCCACAGGAGCCTCATGAGGCCTGGGGAAGATCACCTCCCTCTTCTGCTCCAAATCTTCATTGCTGCCATCATCTCCAGAACAAAGACATCTGAGACAGCCATTTAGTTTCTAACTCCTGTACCTCTGCTCTCTGTTCCCATGAGAAGGAAATGAGACTTGAGGTTCTCTTAACCAGCTCAGCCTCACCTCCAAGCAGCTCCAAACACCTGTACTTATCTCTGGGACAAACTTCCACATTCATCCTATTATTTGCCAGCAACAGGCACCACCTCATATAATACTCACCCTGGACATATTTTTGTTCAGAGTCCCTAGGCTCAAGGCCTGGAAAAGCGGTAAGTAAAGAATCCCAGGTCACCACAGTCCCAATCCTAGAGATCCCATTGCTGGAATCAATGAGCTTCTGGATTTCCTCCACTTACCCTTGTAGGGTCTTCAAGTGCTTCTTACGGACCTGTAAGTACTAGTGGCAATCTGTGGGAGGAAACATGTTCTGAGAGGCAGGTGACCAAAGTGTGGCTCCATGGACTTCTGGTTCCAATGTGGAACACCAGAGCCAGGTGTCCAGGGATGACTGCTTTGTATCTGGGTGTCAGTCCTTGGTGCTGACTTTTACCAGCTTTGTGACCTCGTAAAAAGACTAGGTCCCTCCATGCCTGCTATCATCACTGCCCTTCCAGCGCGTTCCTCTGAACAGCTTTTGTGAAACTTTTAGAAGCGTGACTGGGGCCGTGCCCCTCTTCTGTCCTACGCGCTGTGGCCCTCAGTGTGCTGGTGAAACTCAGTGGGGCCAATGCAGCGCGGCGCTGCCCCACCCTCTGCTACCTGCACGCGTGAGGCCGGCCTGGGTCTCCCCAGCCTCCCGGCTCAGGCGCAGCTCCAAGCTGTTGCCCGCGCAGCCCCCTGACCGTGTCGCTCTCCCGCTCCCTGCCACACTACCAGAAACGAGATCCAGCACCAGCGCCTCACTGTGCCGGACAGTGCGGTCCGGGCTGCAGAAAACCCTTCACGCGTCCCTCAGTTTCGGGTGGGGAGGGCAGAGGAGGCCGGGAGGACGCAGCGCTCACCTGGGTCGGGGCCCTCAGTGCCGCCGCCATCGGACTCTGGGCGGAGCGGGCCGGGAGCGGTGGACGATCCGGGCGGAGACAAGAGCAAAGCTGTCACCACCGCCGGCGACCGTCAGGCCCCGGCTGTGCAGCTGAGAAAACGACTCTCCTCGCGCCTTCTCGCTGTCAGCACCTAGGTCCAGATCCGGCACCCGCGGATGGAACTGACACAAGCCAAAGTGCCCGCCACAGGGAGGACGCCGGAAGTTCCGCTCCGACAAGTTGGACAGAGCGGAAATGTCCCTCCCCTGAGCCTCATTGGCTCCACGCCAAGAACCTGGCTCACGGGCCTCTGGGTAATGTAGTTCTCACCGCTTCTTGGGCTGGCAGAGGTCGCCCTTCTCCTGGACCTCAGGGAGGAATGACCCCGTTGCTATGGAGAAAGGTGGAGGGGAAGGCTGAGAGGTGGTGTCTCCAGCCTCCTTGGACAAGGGAGGAGCTTCGCTGCTTTTTTAAGGTACCATACAGAGATTTTTGGAGGGTATTGTGTACAACTAGTCACCTAGGTAGTCAGAGTTATTCAGATACAAAATGCCTCTACCCTTGGCGAGAGCCTAGTAAACATTACCTTCTTTCTCCACACATTTATGTAAAGTAGAACGTTAGAGTCAGCTTTGTGAGTTTCATTATGCTCAGTAAGGAATAAGGGAAATAGAGTTTACATAGCGCCATGACAGGAATGATAAAACATCCGTTAGATCGCACCGAAGCTGGAGGACGAAAGAGGAATTTTGTCTCACAGAAAATGCCTCTCCTGCCTGTGTAATCGGTGAGTGTGTCTAGCCCTGTAAGGAACAGTGTTGTATTCATATAATATTTCTTCCTCCATATTCTTAGATATGCTTCTTTTAGGATTGTAGCAACTTTCTAAACAGAAGAGCCACTTAGCATATGCCATTTTAAAGTAGAACAGTGTCTGTAGTGTTCACAGTCAGAGCACTTGTGCAAAGGGGACATCAGAATACCAGAATAAAGGTTTGGGACACCTAGCTTTCATCTCTTTGATGGGAAATTTTGATCATTGATACTGTTACTGCAGGGACAGTGCTTGCATGGGGAGTTGAGATCATCTTAGAAAAACAGTTGTGAAATGAAAATTACTGAAACCTATTGTATTAGTCAGGATTCTCCAGAGAAACACAGAACCAATAGGATACATAGATGTACAAGAGGGGATTTATTATGGGACTTGGCTCATCCAGTTATGGAGGCTAAGAAGTCCCAGGATATACCTTTTGCAACCTGGTAAGACACGAAGGTGGGTGGTATCATTCAGTCTGCATCTGAAGGCCTGAAAACCAAGGGAGCCTATGGTGAAATTCCCAGTTGGAGGCTGAAGGCCTGAGAACTGGGTGAGGGTCATTCTTGTATGTTCCAGAGTCCAAAGGCCCAAGATCCAAGAACTTTAATGTTGGAAAACAGAAGGTGGATGATCCAGGGCAAGAAGAGAGTAACTTGCTCTTTCTCTGCCTTTTTGTTCTATCTTGGCTCTCAAAGCATTGGATGTTGGCCCCTAACACTGATGAGGCCAGATCTCCTTTACATTGTCTACAGACTCAACTGCTAATATCTTCCATAAACATTCTCACAGACATATCCTGTACTAAGGTTTTCCCAACTATTTGGGTAGCCCTTAATGCAGGCAAGTCGACACAAAACATTATACGTCACAACTATTAATAATCTTGTGGCTAGGCCAAGCGCGGTGGCTCATGCCTGTAATCCCAGCACTTTAGGAGGCCAAGGCAGGTGGCTCATGAGGTCAAGAGATCAAGACCAGCCTGGCCAACATGGTGAAGCCCTGTCTCTACTAAAAATACAAAAATTAGCTGGGTGTGGTGGCGTGCGCCTGTAGTCCCAGCTACTTGGGAGGCTGAGGCAGGAGAAGCGCTTGAACCCAGGAGGTGGAGGTTGCAGTGAGCCGAGATCACACCACTGCACTCCTGCCTGGTGACAGAGTGAGACTCCATCTCAGTAGAGAGAAAAAAAAAAAGAATATTGAACATAATTAATTGAACTGAACATAGACTTACTTTGCTTTTTTTAGTGCAGTCATATATAAGTCTATAAGTACATTTGGCTTGGCTCTGGAAATGTTTACCCTGAAGACACATAGAGCAGATAGCTCTTCAGTTGCTGAATTTAAGTCCTGTCTGAAAAGGAAAGGGAGAAGGTGTGGCTCCAGCATGATTTCATATAGAAAGGTAAGTGGGGAGCCCTTCTGAGTGACTCCACAAAGGACTCATTTTGCCTGCATATTTGAGTGTCTAATGGTAATTTTTTTTTTTTGAGGAAGAGTCTTGCTCTGTTGCCCAGGCTGGAGTGCAGTGGCAGGATCATAGATTACTGCAGCCTCAAACTCTTCGGCTTCAGCGACATTTCTGTGTCAGCTTCCTGAGTATATGGGATTGCAGGCACTCACTACTGTGCCCAGCTAATTTTTAAAATATATATATATTTTTTTTTTACAGACAGGGTTCTTGCTATGTTGCCCAGGCTGGTTTAAAACTCCTGGTCTCAAGTGATCCTTCCGCCTCAGCCTCCCAAGTAGCTGGGGCTACAGGTACACACAGCTCTTATGGCAATTTCTTAGGCCAATAGTCAAAGTAGGGAAATAGTGAGCTTGGAAAGTGCCAGAAAATCTGTGTATCTACTTGTTTTTGTTGTTTAAGTAGATAAATTAACTAGGCTGCTCATGGAAATAACTGGCTTGCCAAATTCAATTTGTTAAAATTAATCTCCCTTGAGTTATACAAATACACAGCACAAACATTGCAAAATACATATTTTAAACTAATTTGCAAATTAGTTAATTTTAATTTTTTTAGAGACAGGGTCTCACTCTGTCATCCAGGCTGGAGTGCAGTGGCACAATCAGAGCTCACTGTAGCTTTGAATTCCTGGGCTCAAGCAATACTCCCACCTCAGCCTCCAGAATAGCTGGTAACAGACATGCACCTGCACCACCATGCCCTGATAATTTTTTGATTTTTTGTAGGCACGGGGTCTCGCCATGTTGCTCAGGCTGGTAAAGTTTTAATAGATTATTTTTTAGAGCAGTTTTGGTTCATAGGAAAATTGAGCAAAAAATTATAGAGCTTCCACATATCCCTTGTCCCATGCATGTACAGCCACTCCACTATAAATATTCCCCACTAGAATAGTATATTTGTTACAATTGATGGTACGCTGGCATATCATTATCATCCCAAATCCATAGTTTACATTAGGATTTACTCTAGCTGGTTGTTATATGGGTTTTGACAAAGGCATAGTGACTTGTATACACACCACGGTAGTATCACAGAGTAGTTTCACTGCCCTAAAAGTCCTCCGTGCTCCACCTGTTCATCCCTTCCTCCCTTCCCCCAAACCCCTGGCAACCACTCATTTTTTACTGTCTCCATAGTTTTGCTTTTTCTGGAATGTCATATAGTTCAAATCACAGTATGTAGTCCTTTTAGTTTGGATCCTGTAATAGTCCGTTTTCGCGCTGCTGATAAAGACATACCCGAGACTGGGCAATTTACAAAGGAAAGCGGTTTAATGGAGAACTCACAATTCCACGTGGCTGGGGAAGCCTCACAATTATTGCAGAAGGCAAGGAGGAGCAAGTCACGTCCTAGGTGGATGGCAGCAGGCAAAGAGAATAAGCTTGTGCAGCTAAACTCCCGATTTTAAAGCCATCAGATCTCGTGAGACTAATTTACTGTCATGAGAACAGCGTGGGAAAAACCCACTCCTATAATTCAATCACCTCCCACTGGGTTCCTCCCATGACATGTGGTACTTATAATTCAAGATGAGATTTGAGTGGGGACACAGCCAAACCATATCAGATCCTTTCACTTAGAAATATGTATTTAAGTTCTTCCATATCTTTTATTATTTATTTTAATGTGGATAAATATACCATTTTCTAAATGTACCACACTTACCTGTTCACTTACTGAAGGACATTTTGGTTGCTACCAAATTTTGCCAATTATGAACAAAGGTGCTATAAATATTCATGTACAAGATTTTGTGTGGACATAAATGTTTAACTCATTTCAGTAAAACCAAGAAGCAGTATTACTGGATCTATGGTAATTGTTTTGGCATTGTTTCACATTTCAAATCAGTTGAGAAACCTTCTCAGGTATCTTAGAGGAAGCAAAAACAAAGTGCTTCTTCCTTTTTTACTTTTTCAATAATCTCTAAGCCTCCAGATGTCTGTGAATGTCACCTTTTGAATAGACATACACATACACACAACACAGTCACACTGCATAAGTGTGTTACTATTGCACACCTATCTGCAGGACCAGAGTTCAGTTACCCATTTCCTTAATATCTAGTGCACAGGAATATGGAGAAAGGGTCAGCATGTTAAATGACATCAGAGAGACACAAAACAAAAACACGCACCATTCCAGAATGTGGCAAATTCTGGACAAATGTCTCATCAACTTCAAGAATAATAATAAAAAGTGGTAGCTGTGTATTATTATAGACTCACCAGATGAAACTACTAATAGCCATATAGATTCATTTTGGATCTGATTGCAATGAATTTGTCTTAAAAATCAATTTTGGAGACAATTCGAGGTGACTGAGCACTGATGATATATTTTATGATGCCTTAAATAATGATTGATAAAGTTATAGGAATTATGAAAGAGCTCTTATGCTTGAAAATGCATTCTGAAGAGGTGCAGCATTGAATGACAAGATGTGGGAATTGTAAGTAAAATAATTATGTGTGAAAAGAGTTGAAACAAGAATGGCTACTAAATGATAAGTAATAATGGAAGATTTAGAAAGGTTTCATAGTGCATCTGAACACAGTCCTTTCCATTTGTGTATATACTTGAAAATATCCATTAGAAGAGGAAAAATAAGTTTTTGTACCCATTACTTGTTAAGAGGGATGGACTAAAAAGGGCAGGTGGAAACTTATGGTTTCGAGTATATATTAAAATAGAAATTGTATACTTTAAATATGCAGAATTTAAGACAACTAGATTTCACTTAAGCCACTTTTAAAAACACAAGTAATAAATACTCAAAAGTCAATTCTTAATCATTTTACTGTTTTACTCTTATATATACATTGTTCTATAGTGAGCAGGTGTATGAAAATCTATCCCAAAGGCCAACGAAGCTGAAAGGCCAAAGAAGGAGGAAGAGGCCAAATTGTTTTCAGAAACATTTCATAGGGACTCATGAACAGAAGTGATGTCTTGTGCAGCTGTGAGACAATGGATCCCTGTATCTGCCCTCCAGAAGGCAGTTTCCTTTACATCCTTTATAGGACCCTTTTTGTAGTGGTCAACAAGGCTGGAGTTTTTTGTTTGTTTGTTTTTCTAGACGGAGTCTTGCTCTGTTGCCAGGCTGGAGTGCAATGGCGTGATCTCGGCTCACTGCAACCTCCACCTCCTGGATTCAAGTGATTCTCCTGCCTCAGCCTCCCAAGTAGCTGGGATTACAGGCACCCGTAAGCCACCACAACCGGCTAATTTTTCTATTTTTAGTAGAGATGGGGTTTCACCATGTTAGCCAGGATGGTCTCCATCTCCTGACCTCGTG
Organism: Homo sapiens; assembly: GCF_000001405.40. Lineage (NCBI taxonomy): Eukaryota > Metazoa > Chordata > Mammalia > Primates > Hominidae > Homo > Homo sapiens. The sequence continues at coordinate 57,594,524 of NC_000019.10, read as the reverse complement.
ATCTGCCCACCTTGGCCTCCCAAAGTGTTGGGATTACAGGCAAGAGCCAACACGCCCGGCCTGGAGTTTTTAGGGTAAAACGTGCAGCTCTTCACGTCTTCAGACTTTCTTGCCAAGACTCATGACCATTGGGGGAGAGAAGCATTTTGATGATATCTATGCTACTGCTTCAGAACATAGGTGACCATGACAGCTTCACTTCAAGATGGCATCAGTCTTGCCACACCACAGGCTGTATGGTTCCTACATACATGATCTTCAGGTTATCTGCGGCTACTGTATTGGCATGGTGAAAGTAGAATACAGTGGTGTGACGCTACCCACTTCTTCTCAATTCATGTTCAGTGACATTATTTTGACACCTTGTAATTGGCCATGGTGGGAGTATTTTACCAGGGAAATTGGCAAATATTAAAAACCAGGGCTTATTTGTTTCATTGAATGGTTAGACCTAAGAAAGTGATGGAGAATTTGTCAATGAAGGTAGTGTTTCAGGTATATAGTGTCTGTAGTTGTTACACTGTGAATAGACCAAAAAACTGAGAAATTATTTTCCCAGTATTTGAAAACAATTTTATCATTTAGCAAATAAGTGCATCACATTACTGAAGAATGAGTAAAGTTTCAACATAAGTCTTTGTTATACGTCTATTTATTAATGAAAAAGTATCACCAACATCCATTTAAAAATAAGCAAAAGACATTAATAAACATTCTTCCAAAGAGGATATACAGGTGGCAACTAGATACAAGATGTTCAAATGTTCAATACCATAAAATACCAGAAAAATGCAATAAAATCACAGACAGATGCTATTATACAGCTATTAAAACAACTAAAATTAAAAAGACTAACCATACCAAGTATGGCAAGAATGTAGAGAAATAAGAAGGTTCACATACTGTTGATGAGAATGCAAATGGTACAGTTAGGTTATAGTCTGGCCTTGTCTTTAAAAGTGACGCATTCACGTACACTGTACTACTGACACAGGAGAAATAAAGCATTTCTGCATATTAAGAGTTATATGCCTATGTTCATAGTAGCATTATTTGCAACAGCCCAAAACTGGAAAGCATCCAACTGTTTATCCAAATTGTGACATATCCACAGACTATTTCTCAGCAATACAAATGAACTATTCACATAAGCAATATTGATAAATCTTAAAAGTAATTGTGCATCAGCTGGTGTGGTGGCTTACGCCTGTAATCCCAGCACTTCGGGAGGCTGAGGCGGGCGGATCACGAGGTCAAGAGATCAAGACCATCCTGGCAAACATGGTAAAACCACATCTCTACTAAAAATACAAAAATTAGTTGGGCGTGGTAGTGCATGCCTGTAGTCCTAGCTTCTCAGGAGGCTGAGGCAGGAGAATCGCTGGAACCCAGGAGGAGGTTGGAGTGAGCCAAGATCATGCCACTGCACTCCAGCCTGGTGACAGACTGAGACTCCATCTCAAAAAAAAAAAAAAAATTGTGCATCATCAGGAAAAATGGAGTAAGTATTTTACGTTTCAATTCACATAAAATCCTAGAAAACACAAACTATTCTCCTGTAGGGAAAGTAAATGACAGGACTCCTGAAGGCCTGGAAAGTACACGCAGAGATTGTAAAACAGCAAGAGGTGAATCATGAATATGTTCATGATCATGATTATGGTTTCACAGGCTTGTATGACAAACTCTTCAAATTATACACCATAAATGGATGTAAACTATGGCATGTCACTTACACATCAAGAAAGTTTGTAAAACATGTTTCACAATAAAGTATCTGATCACCCAACTTTCAGAAACCAGAATGCCTAGCAATCTCATGTTGACTGCACTCTCTCTTCAGGCCTGGGGAAGGGCAACCATGAGTCCCTCCATGCAGGAAATGTTGGCAAGCAATGAAGGCTGTGGCAATTTGAGACAACAGCAACACTGGTGGAAATCACAAGAGCTATCAATACATCCCTGGCCTATAGGACTTCTGTTATCTTTATCCTCCTTTTTCTGCCTCTACAGCAATGCACTTGAGGTGAACAACCTAGAAAACCAACAAGAATTAAAAAATAAAACCCTTTAATTATTTTTGCTGAAAATAACCTCAGCTATTGGACATACACAGATTTCTAGGTCCTATGACTGCTCAAAGCCACAGTCACGGGAAGATTTGTAAATGTACTTTTATAAGAGGCACATTCCAACTAGTTTGCTACAGTACACACAGTACAGAAATACCCAGGTATTTCTGTACCAATTACAGTTCACATGTGACTCGCGTTGTCTTCTGCGTGACATCGGCCTATGGAATGTTTGATATCAGGGCATGCCTCCTTATAGAACCCCATGAAAAGCTTCTCAGCAGCACTGGGCATCATATGACATCCTCTGGAAACAATGGAATAAAATTGTCCTATTCCCTGAAGCACACATGCTTGTCATAACAGCTGGCCTCTCCTCAGGATGACCTCTAGTCTCACAGAAAGAATAGGGATCCAGGCCACAAATTAGAATAACCAAAACCTTGCATTTTTTCCTAGGAGATTTTAGGTAGCAAAGCAAGTATGACCAAAACCAGAATTAGAATTACTCTGTCATCTTACTTTCCTGCAGAGGCCCACAAAAGCCATCCATTCCTTCATATAGAGTTGAAGTCTGTCTCCCAGCCACCCCACACAGTAAACAGAACCCCAAGACTACAGGTAGATTCAAATATAAGGCTTTTATTAGTGCACAAACTGGAGCAATGTGAGGCAGCCATTCACCACGTGGTGACATGGAGGCTGGAAGAATGACCAAGTGTCATGTGAGACCAAGAATTTACATGAAGGGAATCCTTGCACATAAGTGTCCAGCAGAACCAAGGCTGGGCCCTCCTGACCCAAACTGGGTCACACGTATGCTGTGATCAGTCAGAAAAAAGAATGAATTTTCTCTAAAGGCTTAGACTGCTCAAGATTTCCTCCAAAGACTTAAGAGAACACACAGATGTCTGCCTTGTCTTAGCACATAGGAGTGACCAGTGCCCACTGTGCAAGGTGGTAGAGGGTAGATGGTTTCTACCAGAGAAACAAGGAAGAATGAGGTTCAACTTCAGGCAGATGGCTCCCTCACAAAGGCTCTCTACTGCTACAATACTACAGAGACAGCACTTTCCCTGTAGGTCTAAGGCTCTACTTAAGTGTGGACTTTCAGGAGCTAAATGATGATAGATCTTGAGTTGAAGGCGCTTCCACATTTGCTGCATTCATGAGGCCTCTATGTGTTATGACATTTTTGGTGATGTATGAGGCTGGAGCATTGGCTAAAGGAATTCCCACATTTGTTGCACTCATAAGGCCTTTCTCCAGTGTGAACCACTTGGTGTTGAATGAGACCAGACTTTTGGCTAAAGGACTTTCCACACTGGCCACACTCATAAGGCCTTGCTCCAGTATGAATTCTCCGGTGTTGAATAAGGATGGAGCTTTGACTAAAGGATTTCCCACAGTCACCACACTTATAAGGCCTTTCTCCAGTGTGAACTCTCTGGTGTTTAATGAGGGTAGCTTTTTGACTAAAGGATTTCCCACACTGGCCACACTCATAAGGCTTTGCTCCAGTGTGAATTCTTCGGTGTTGATTAAGAATGGCACTTTGACTAAAGGAATTCCCACATTCACCACACTTATAAGGCCTTTCTCCAGTGTGAACTCTTTGGTGTTTAACAAGGGTGGCTTTTTGGCTAAAGGATTTCCCACACTGGCTACACTCATAAGGCCTTGCTCCAGTGTGTATTTTCTGGTGGTCAACAAGGCTGGAGTTTTGTCTAAATAATTTTCCACATTCGCTGCACTCATAAGGCCTTTCTCCGGTGTGGATTCTCCGATGATCATTCAGGTGGGAGGTTTGGCTAAAGAATTTTCCACATTCATTGCACTCCCAAGGCCTTTCTCCAGTATGGACTCTCTGGTGCTGAACAAGTGAGTACTTGCCACGGAAGGCTTTCCCACATTTGCTACACTCATAAAGCTTTTTTCCAGTGTAGACTCTTGGATGGTAAACAGGAGTGTGTTTGTGCCTGGAAGCCTTCCCACATTCACCTGACTTGTAATGACTTTTTTGACTGCGAATGTCCTCCCCACATTCAGTAATTGTGCCGGGTTTCTTGCCTCCAGGAAAGACCAGGGACCTCAGAAGCCGCAACATGGCTGGAAGGTCCTTTCCAACCTCCCATTTGCGAAAGGGCTTCAATGACATACAGAATAGGCAGCACTTCACATATGAGGCTCTGTCCATGTCCCTCTTCAAGGATTTCTTTGCACTGTGATGCTTCTGGTGCTGGTGATGGTTTGTACATTCTCCAACCAAGTATGGTTTCTGCCCAGGGAGATCAGCTAGATGCAAAATATCTTTCAGGACTGGGACACACATCTCACAGGATTGAGTCTTCTGTGTGGATGAACCTGCCTTTGACTGTGACACTCCTACAGAAACATTCTGGTCAGAAGGTGTCTCTTCATCCTCTGTTCCATGGCCACAACCTGAAAGCAGAGAACCGCTGATGAAATATACATTGACTATGCTGAGAGCAAGAAGCCCCATTACACACATACCAAACGAATGATTCACCAGGTTTGTTTTGAGGATAATGGAGCTGGGGGCAAGTTGAGGAAGGGGTTGCTTTGCAATACTGGATCTCTAAAGATCACAGAATGAGGGAGGCCTCACCAAATAAAGGACACAAGGATGGGATGAAGGACAGGGAATGGCATTGCCTTCAAACCATTCCTCTACCAACAGCCTCAAAAATTATCCTTGAGTAGCCTTCCAATTCCTAAAACTCACCACATAGTCTTCAGGAGGACCTTGTCTGCTGGTGACACCTGCATGCTGTGCAGAAGGTTGACTGTGCCCAAGCCCAGGAAAATACAATTGAAACTGAGTAGCAAGTGATATGATCACATATCTTCATGTGGTCATATATACATACTTCATGAGACATTATGTGTGTGTCAATGTTGGAAAACATTGCAGAGGGAGCAGTGCAGAGAAGCAGATGATGCATGAAGATCAGAAAGGTGGAGGTAGCCAGGTGCTAGAAGTCATAGATAAAAATAATAAGAGAGAGAAGTGTCAAGTACTGAGAAGAAAATATAGAAATGAGATTTGGCCAGTGGCATGTGCACCCAAACAGTGGTGAAGACAGGACAGGCTCCTTATGTGATCGGAAAACAGCCCGGATATCATGCCCCCAACCAGTTGCCACTCAACAAGCCCAGGCCTTCTCTGAGACCATGTTCACCCTATAAAGCAACCAGGTTTCTCTGCACACCCTCAGTTGTCTAGCTATGTGGGACCTTCATGAAGCCAAGTCCTACCAGAAAGACAGAACATGTGAGTGATCAGCACTGATGCAGAACGACTCAGCACACAACAGCCCATGGGCAAGAAAGTTAATATCATTAAACAAACAAACAAACAAACAAACTAGAAGGAGTGAGTAAGAAGAGCCCATTGTCCCCATAAGTATAGACAATGACAATGACTACAATCATGACACAGGTAGCCACAAGAAAATGTCAGCTAGCAGATGGGGGTGCAGGGAACTTGGGACACAAGGTGTCATGGATCTGAACACAGACACCCAGCCAAGAAGAGAGCAAGGAACAGAGATCCATTTGGCTGACTGAAGAACACCTGCTGCCCAGTGGCAGGTGTTCCCAGACCACTGGGCAGCAGGTGTTCCCAGACCACTGGGCAGCAGGTGTTAGGGCTACTCAGGCAGTGCACAGTGCTGGATCCCATAGCACATATCCCAAGAAAGTGGAGAAGTCAGCAAAAGACCATAGACAGACCAGGACACTGGAGTTGGTATTAGGGCCTTACCCAGTGAGGCTACAAGGGCAAAGTTCTCCAGCATCACTTCAAGGTACAGGAGTCTCTGAGCCTCATCAAGAAGTCCCCACTCGTCCTGTGAGAAGTAAATGGCGATGTCCTCAAAGGTCACACAGCCCTGTCATGATGGGGACAGGTCACTCCACAATCAACGCCTCCACAAGTTCATCCACCCACGCAATCATCCCCACCTTAAGGAAATACAGGCCCTGGTGACACAGATGCCCACTCTCTTTTCATGGTCCCAATGATCACTGTATCCTTCTACAGCACCAACCAGGAGGTGGGCAGGATGCACCACATCTAAACTTTGGGCCCGGTATGTAGGAGTGTATCCCTTCTTGTCAGGCAGTTCCCCAAGGGTCTTTCAGATAGTGCCTCCTAGACACAATCAAATGTGGCTTCACCTTTGACCCTTAAGTCCTCAATGCCAGGGGCCTGGGTCCTTCAGTTCACACTCCCTCTCCATGTACACATCATTCTTTGAACCATACTCGCTCAGTCTCACTCCCACGGCTACCTCCACCCCTCTGCCTGCCAAATTGAGACATCATCCAGTGCTACACAGACCTCTGATGGTTCCTACTGTCATAGACAGCCCCCACCCTGCTCTGAAGGGCTATCTTCCTGACTCTGTTCCTTGCTTCAACCTCAGCCACCAAGAATCACCTGATGTCAGACACCGATGGCCGTCCTCCACTTGTGCTGCACTTGATGTCCCCTCTTCAATCAACAACCTTCTTCTCACCTCTTAACCCTCATTCAAAATCAGTGGCCTCAGTGGCACAGACTCTCAGTGGCTCTCTACCTCCAACCTAATGACTCATACAGATGAACACTTGTACTCCTAAACTTATTCAACTGCTTGACTCACACCCTCCCCAGACTCACCAAGGGTCACAACAAATTCCTGGCGAGTTTTTACCATGGTGAATAAGCACTAGTCCTAGTGTTTTAGTCAGTTTGGCCTGCTAGCATAATACCACAAACTGGGTGGCTTATCAACAACAGAAATTTATTTCTCACAGATCTGCAGGCAGGAAGCCTGAGATCAGAGTGCCAGCATGGTCAGGTTCTGGTAGGGACTCTTTCCAGGTTGCAGACTGCTGACTTCTTGTATCCTCACTTGTTGGAAAGAGCACTAGATAGTAGCTCTCTGGCCTCTTTGTTTAAGAGCACTCACTAATCCCATTCATTAGGGCTCCACCCTCATGACCTAATTATCTCCCAAAGGCCCAACCTCCAAATACCATCACACTGGAATTAGGCTTTAAGCATATGAATTTTGCGGGGACACAGTCCACTGTACCTGGCCTCAGTGTCATCTTCTACCAATTATTTCTTTATCTCCATGTCTGTCTTATGTCCCTAATGCCTTGGAAGCCTTGACCACTTATCAGATGATATGATTTGGCTGCGTCCCCACCCAAATCTCTTCTTGAATTGTAGTTCCCACAATTCCCATGTCATGGGAGGGACCTGGTGAGAGGTAATCGAACCATAGGGGCAGGCCTTTCCCATGCTGTTCTCATGATAGTAAATAAGTCTCACAAGATTTGATGGTTTTATAAGGGGGGAGTTCCCCTGAACAAGTTCTCTCTTGTCTGCTGCCATGCAAGACATGCCTTTCACCCTCCACCATGATTGTGAGGCCTCCCCAGCCACGCGGAATCATGAGTCCATTAAACCTCTTTTTCCTTACAAATTATCTAGTCTCCAGCACATCTTTATCAGCAGCATGAAAATGGACTAATACAGTAAATCAGTATGAGTAAAGTGGGGCTGTGCTGTAAAGATAACTGAAAATGTGGAAGCAATTTTGGAATTGGGGAACAGGCAGAGGTTGGAACAGTTTGGAGGGCTCAGAAGAAGACAGGAAAATATGGGAAAGTCTGGAACTTCCTAGAGACTTGCTGTCTTTATCAGCAGTGTGAAAATGGACTGATACACCAGATCATCCTCTTTCCTACAATCTTCCCATGACCACTTTTCTCTCACAACTGTTTGTGATGCTCACCACCTCTACCACGTGTCCAAGCATGAGACACAGTCATAGCCCCAACCTTCCCTTTTCTGTTTTTTTGTTTTGTTTTTGAGATGGAGTCTCACTCTGTCACCCAGGCTGGAGTGCAGTGGCGTGATCTTGGCTCACTGCAACCTCCGCCTCCTGGGCTCAAGCAATTCTCCTGCCTCAGCCTCCCTAGTAGCTGGGATTACAGGTGCCTGCCACCACGCCTGGCTAATTTTTGTATTTTTAGTGGAGACGGAGTTTCACCATGTTGGCCAAGCTGGTCTAGAACTCCTGACCTCAAGTGATCCGCCTGCCTCGGCCGCCCAAAGTGCTGGGATTACAGGTGTGAGCCACCACACCCAGCCCTTTCCTGCATTATAAATAGCATTATCTTCAAGACCAGGATTACCCACTCCTAATTGTGACCCATAGCTACTCTGGGCCAAACACTGGCCACCACCTTTTGGATTTCTCCATCTTAAACCACTTCCAGAATTCTAGATGTACATGGACAGCTACTCACCTGATGTCTCCATATATCATTCTTTGGAATATCTCAGACTATGATAATAGCTAAAGACAAAACTCCTGTTATCCTTAATGAAAATTAATTGGCTGGGCATGGTGGCTCACGCCTGTAATCCCAGCACTTTGGGAGGCCAAGACAGGTGGATCACCTGAGGTCAGGAGTTTGAGACCAGCCTGGCCAACATGGTGAAACCCTGTCTCTACTAAAGATACAAAAAAAAAAAAAAAAAAAAATTCGCTGGGCATGGTAGCACGGTAGCATGTGCCTGTAGTCCCAACTACTCAGGAGGCTGAGGCAGGAGGATTGCTTGAACCCGGGAGGTGGAGGTTGCAAAGAGCCAAGATCGAGCCACTGCACTCCAGCCTGAGTGACAGAGTGAGACTGTCTAAAAATAGACAAATAAATAAATAAAATAAAAATAAAATCAATCCTATAACATGCTATTTGATGGAGATTCCATCCTTCCAGATGCTAAATTCAAAATGCCTGGAGTAATGCTTGACCAGTATCTCTTACCCTCAAAATCTGAAAATGCAAGCAGGCCTAATTAAAATTCTGACCCAGAATCCAGCCACTTCTTCTACCTTCACAGCCACCACACTGGTGAAGCCACTATCAAAACTCACCTTGGCCACTGCAGTAGCCTCCTCCCTGGTCTTTCTATCGCCTCCATCACACCCACAGAGTATTCTCTATGCTGCATTAACAGTGAACCTGATGAGACCAGTGTCAGATAACCTCCGTTCTCTTCTCTAAACCTCCCATTGTTCTCATCACCTCCAGAAAAAACACCCAATTTCTCAGAGCCATTCCAGGCCTGAGTCCTGCCCTGCTGCTCTGAGTTCCCATGAGAAAGAAAGGAGAGTTGTGTTTCCCTGAATCAGCTCAGCTTCACTGCCAACCTTACACATTATTGTACGTAGGCGGGGCAACCTTTCACACCTCATTCCATTGTCTGCCAGCAATAAGAACGTCTACAAATAACCACCAGTCTAGAATCAGGATGTCAAGCTTCCAGTTTGTGAAGAGTCCTTAGGTCAAAGAACTGGATGGTGGCAAAAAGATCCATGAAAAAACCCCAGGATGGGGCCAGGACCAGTGAGGGCCTGGGACACCCTCCACTCACCTTTGTGAGGTCCATATGTGTTTCTGGAGACACAGTAACCTGTGGAAAGCCAAAGATCATGAAAGGCAGGTGACCATACAGGGCTCTACGGATTCAGGCTTCCCTGGATTCCTGTCCAGGCCAGAGCCAGGTGGACTGAGGATGCCTGCATTATTTCTGAGCCTCAGCGTTCCAGTCCTCAGTGCCAACTCTTAGCAACTGTGGGACCTTGCACAAGAACTCAACCTCCCTGTGCCTCTGTGTTATTCCATTCTATTCTAGTCTAACTCCATGAGGTTTTTGGAAAACTTCGAAAGACCTAACTCAGACCATATGCCGCTTCTGTACACAACCCTCCACGGCTCCTAGCATCCTAAGAATTGAGGGAAAACTCCTCACCTTGGCACTCCAGGTATGAACCTTCTTCACTGTGTCTCCAAGAGTTTAGAAACGCTGGTCCCTTTGCCTGTAACCCTCTTCCGTGCCCCATCACCCAAGTTCTGGAAATAGGGACCCCACCCACGAGCCCCCACTGTACTGGACATGAGGATCTCGACCGTAGTGACCCAAGAAGGCACTAATTTGGGGATGGAGGGTGAGGCCCAGTAGAGGCAGCGCTCACCTGAGTCGGGGCCCTCAGCGCGGCCGCAGCCATCGGAGTCTGTGGGCAGAGCGGGGCCGGGACCCGACAGCTACGGGCGGAGGGACCTAGGCAAAGCCGTCAACCCCGCCGCCGCCGACCCTTAGAACCCCCACTGTTCAGCGGGAGGACCCCTCCCCTCGCGCCTTCCGACTGTCGCCAAACAAAGCGCTCCCAAAGCTCTGACGGTCTGGATGCACCCAAGCGCTGCAAAAATGACCGCCACTGAAGTGATACCGGAAGTCCCTCCCCGACCCATTGGTCCCAAAGCGGAAACGACCCTTTTCTCAGCGCGGATTGGCTCAGCATCCCTGCGGCTGGAGACAAAACCTTCTGGGTTCTGTAGTCCCCGCTGGTCCCCAGGGCTGAGGGAAGGATGCTGCCGCCCAGCGTCACCTCAAACAAAAGCCAAGCGGCCGCGCTGGGGGCGCAGGGAAATGGCGTCGCCACAATGCAGGAGAGGGCTGGGCCTTGTCGCTCCTTAAACAGGCCGCTGGTCGATTTCTGTGGTCCCGTCGCGGCTGAGCGCCCACGTGATTAGAAGCATTGATTCAGGCTCAGGAAGCTGAGGCCAGATCCACACCGACGCGTATTCCATACGTATTCGACGCTCCTGCGGGAGCAAAGGAGCCTCGTGCCCCTCCCTTGCGGGGTCAAGGCGTTCGAGGCCGTGCCGGGGCCAAGGCTATTCTGTGAAAGGAGCGACTTAGGTGTCGCGCTGTGGGCACGTGTCCCGGGAGGCCACGTGGGGGCCGCGCCCCCGGCTGCTCCTGCTCTGACCTGAGCCCTTTGACTGTACCCAGAGGCGGGAGGCGGGGCCGAGACGTCCCATGGGAAGGGGTTCTCCGTAGCTCCACCCCGGGGGACGTCTCCTCCAGGGGGGCCGGGCGAGCTGGGAAGGCCCCAGAGCCGCCGAGGAAAGCGCCTCTGCTTCCCTGAGTCCCCTCCTGGGTCTAGGAGCCGTTCCTGCGTTTTCTGACGCCCTCTCCACCGCCCCTCGGCTGAGAACTGGGTCCAGATGAGCCTTGGACCCCGTTGAAGACGTCTCCTACCTCATCTCCCACACCTGCTGGGACCATCTCCAACCGCCCTCAGGGCAGTAGGGAGGTAGGCGGGTTCCCAGGGCACCCCAAGCGGTGGCGTACAGTGGTAGGAACAAGGCCTCTGGAGCCCAAGAATGGGATTTAGTCCCCGAGGGGAAGTCCATGCTCTGCCTTACAGCGGCTGGTATGGGCTTCTGGGGGCACCCTGAGACTCGGCCTGTAGGGATACTCATAATGGCCTCCATGAAGGTGCAGGTTTAACCACTGGACCAGTCTCATCTGGCCATCCTCTGTTGGTAACATAATGTCCAGTTATTTTGCAGGCACAGAGCTAAAGAGTTGCAAGTTACACAGCTAGAGAATGTGCAGAAAAGAAAATGTCAGGCCCAGCGCGGTGGCTCACACCTGTAATCCAAGCACATTGGGAGGCTGAGGTGGAAGGACCACTTGGGCAACATAGCCAGACCCCGTCTCTACAAAAACTAAAAAATTACCCGAGTATGGTGGTGCACCTGTAATCCTAGCTACTCAGGATGCTGAGGTGGGAGTATCGCTTGAGCCCAGGAGATCACGGTTACAGTGAGTTATGATTATGCCACTGCACTCCAGCCTGGGCAACGGAGCCAGACCCTGTCTCAATAAATAAATAAGTAAATAAATAAATAAATAAAAAGAAAAGAGAAAAGAAAACATTGACCCAACACTCGGAGCTGAAGTCTCACCTACCAGACTCCACCCTGTCACCACAGGAAACCAAAATATCAGGCTA